>NC_000017.11:12612323-12915353 GCF_000001405.40 Homo sapiens | reverse complement strand
ATTTCAAAGATGTTAAATTCTACCCAAATTGTACACAGGCCATTCTCCCATTGTCTGGTACCCATTTTAACTAAAACTCAAGTAAAAAGTTATTACAAACCAGCCTGGGCAACATGGTGAAACCCCGCCTCTACTAAAAATATCAAACTCAGCTGGGCATGGTGGTACATGCCTGTAGACCCAGCTTCTCTGGAGGCTGAGGCACGAGAATCACTTGTACCTGGGAGGCAGAGGCTGTAGTGAGCCTAGATAGTGCCACTGCACTCCAGCCGGGGTGACAGAGCGAGACCCTGTCTCAAAAACACATAAACAAACAAAAAAGCTTTTACAAGTCAACAAACGTATGAGCAGAGGTAACTGCCTTTTTACTGTGAGGATATTCCTTTCCTGTTCAGATTTTCACATTTTTACTCTACATGTATGTGTCCCCATACAATATATAATACTGCTGCTTTGCTTAGTTCAGTCTACATGCATGGTTTTATACTGAGCATATCCTGATGCTACTTGCTTTTTTTGTTTGGATTTTTTTTTTGAGGTTTTTTTTTTTTTTTCTTGAGATGGAGTTTCACTCTTGTTGCCTAGGCTGGAGTACAGTGGCACGATCTTGGCTCACTGCAACCTCCGCCTCCTGGGTTCAAGCCATTCTCCTGCCTCAGCCTCCTGAGTAGCTGGGATTACAGGAGGCTGCCACCACACCCGGCTAATTTTTTGTATTTTTAGTAGACATGGGGTTTCACCATGTTGGCCAGACTGGTCTCGAACTCCTGACCTCAGGTGATCCACCCACCTCGGCCTCCCAAAGTGCTGGGACTACAGGCAGCCTTGCTTTTTTACTCTATCATTATGTCTGGAGCTTACCCATGTTGGTACATGCGGAATCAGATCATTTTGCAATGGAGAATTTCGTTCTTTGAATATACCACCATTATGTTAAGCTGTCCCACAAACAAGAGTTTTTGGCTATTACATGCAGCGCTTCAGTAAATATGCTTGTGCAGTCTCTTTGTGCATGTTTGGAAATTTCACTAGCACAAATGGGAGTTCCCATTGCCCTATGCCCTTGCCAACCCTTGGTCCTGGTAGGTGTCTTAATTTCTGTTAAACTGGTGGATACAAATTATTATCTCCTTCTGGTTTTAATTTACATTCCTTGACTGCTAGTAAGACTTAATATCCCTCTCCCATGAAGTGCCTGTTCATATTCCTTGGCTATTTTTGTATTAGGATCTATTTATTTGAATTTATTTGTAGGAACTTCATATACACACGTGTGTGAAGGCAGATTTTCACTCTTTTTCCTATCTGCTACAAATGTCAGTGCCCAGGTGTGCTTTTATCTTTGTATGTCTTTAATGGTGCCTTTTTTTTTTTTTTTTTTTTTTGAGACAAAATCTCACTCTATCACCCAGGCTGGAGTGCAGTGACGCGTACTTGGCTCACCACAAACTCCACCTCCCGGGTGCAAGCAATTCTCTTGCTTCAGCCTCCCGAGTGGCTGGGATTACAGGTGTGCACCACTGCACCCAGCTAATTTTTTATATTTTTAGTAGAGACAGGGTTTCACCATGTTGGCCAGGCTAGTCTTGAACTCTGGACCTCAGGTAATCCACCTGCCTCGGCCTCCCAAAGTGTTAGGATTACAGGCGTGAGCCCAGGTAATCCACCTGCCTCGGCCTCCCAAAGTGTTAGGATTACAGGCGTGAGCCACTGCACCCAGCTTAATGGTGTCTTATATCTGATTTTCTGGTATTTATTCCATATTTCTAATACTACTTAATTAAAAAAATTTAAATATTAGCTATTAACATTACAGAAAATGAGAATTTAGCTATGTTTCCGTTTCCATTTCCCCTCCCTCCCTTTATTCATATTAATAAATGCTTATTATTTATATTACACTTTGACTCCATATTATTTGGAGTTAATCTGGGTAGTATACTATAATTACTGGTTTCCCTGCACACTTATTTGTTCTCCCTGGAGTTAATAATTGCCTTGTTTTGGCTTGCTTGTTTTCTACGTACCCAATCGAATTCAAAATACTCTGCCACTTTCCTAGTTTGTCTGTTAAGATATTGAACCAAAATTTGCTTAACTTGATTAAAAAAAAATTAAACCTCATCCTAAGCAGTGATAAACATCACATTTATGAGTTTTGTGTGCTAATTTTTTTCTTCTGTTATATATTAAAATAAAAATATTACCAAAAAATATTGAACCACACATCATGTAAATGAATTTCATCTTCTTGAATTAATCCCTCCTGGACCTGTCTCAATGCGGATTGAGTTTTCCTGTATCCCTAAGGCACATCTGTCTTCCTGGAATCTTCCTTCACCATTCCCTGGGATTCTCTTCCTCTGTCTTGTATTGGACATTCTGTTATCTTGAGTCTACCTTTCTTTTGGTCACTTCCTCACCAAGGACACATCTTGCTGTCTTGCTTTAGCTTGCTGAGAAAGAATAGGTGGGAAGTCAATTTCTGAGGCCACGTATGTCACGGTATTCTCCTCTGCCCTCTCGTTGATTGAAACTTGGGCAGAATATTGAACTCCTAGGCTGAGCATGGTTTCCTTCAGAATTTTAAAGGCACTGCTTAATAACCTTCTTTCTTCCATTGCTGCTTTTGCTCAGTCTGGAAGCATTCGCATTTCTGATCCTTTGTATGTGACATGTTTTCTCTCTAGAAGGTTGTAGACTCTTTGTCACCAGTATACATGATGGTGAGCTCTGTGGCATACGCTTAATTCTTCCCATTGTATTGGAGCTCAATGGGCCTTTTCAGTATAGAAACTCATGTCCTCAAGATCCGGAATATGCTGTTGGATTATTTATTATTATTTCTTCCTCTTCTTTTCTAAGAACTCCTGTTTTTCGGGCATAAGACTTCCTGGATTGATCCTCTAATTTTCCAATTTTTTCTAATTTTCTAAAATTTTCTAATTTTTTAATTTTCTAATTTTTTCTACTGTCTGTGTGTTCTATTGTCTGAGTGTATGAGGATTTCTTCATATTTATCTTCCCAACCTCCTGAGAATTTCATATCTTCTATCATATTTTCTCATTTCTACAAGCTTGCTTTTGATCTCTGGCTATTTCTTTCCCATAAATATTTTGTATTAACATCCTGTTTTTCATTTCATGGACATGTTATCTTCCCTTACCATTTGAAAACACAAGTGATTGTTCTCCTAACCTTTTTTCCTCCCCTACACAATCTGTTTCTTCCAAGCTGCATTGTATCCACCCAATTGTTTTGGTCTCCAGGTTTCAGGTTAGAGACTTTCCTCAGATGTCTGATGATCTTTGGTGCCTCTCTATATTCAAGAGTGGAGACTAAAAAGTTCAGAGTATGTGAATTCATCTGTAGAAAGACGTGGTTGCGTCACTTATTGAGGCACTGACCCCCTCCAACATCCTCAGATCTTTAGGTCCTTCCTTTTGGACTAACCTGATTCTCCTGAGAAACCTCTTCTAATTTCCTGCTTAGAGGGTAAAGTCCTGGGGGGCTGCATGAGTGGAAGAAGACGGCTGTGGAGTATTAGCATCCACATCCAGTACACATTAGATCACTCGAGCCTCTTCTTTACTGAATGGTACCCATACACTCCACTGCACCGGGAGTCCCCCATTCTAGAGATGCTCTCTTATCCCCTCTAGAGAATTCTGCTCAGGCGGGAGTCGGGGGATGACAGGTTCCTAGACATGTGGTTGGGGCAGAGTTTAGTGATCCAAGTGGTAACTGAAAAGCTTTCAACCACATTCGTGAGTTTAATCACCCACTCCACCCCCAAAGACCCACTATTCCAGAGATCCCTGGTGCCAATTCTTGAGCACTGTAAGCATTACGTGATGTAATTTACATGGGATCTTTGCATATCTACTTCTGGCTTGGGAGTCAGCTTTTGGGGACTTGCCAAGTTAGTTCCCAGTCATTCATATGCTTTACAGCTCACAAAACTGTGTTGCTGTTGTCTGCTTTTTCCTGCCATTGTGGGTTTATGTCTTTTAAGGAAAAAAAAAAATCTCCATATTGTAGTTTTAGCGGATTTTGGAAGGAGAGAAAATCAGATGCATGTTCAATCTGTCATCTTTATTTCCAACGTTACTCTGTCATTATATTATAGGCATGACTCTTGGAAATACCATACAACAGGATTTCATGTCTGTCAACCTGAAATTTTCTTTGAACAGTTGAGTTTATTCCATTTACATCTCCTATGATTGCAGAGATATATGCAATGATTGCTACCACCCTCATTTTCTGTTTTCCAATTATTATGTGGTTTTTTTTTTTTTTTGGTTACTTTTTTCTCTTGTAGTCCCTTCCATGTATTTTTTTTTATTTTCCTTTTCATCCTTTGTTAGTTTGAAAGTTATATATCCTATTTCTATTCTTTTTGTGGTTAGTCTTAGTTTTATAACATGCATATTTGACACTAAATTTATTTTATTTTTTTATTTTTTGGATGTTAAATTTAAATGTAATACCTTTATCCTCCTTTCAAACAATACAGGAGCTTGAAATACTGATTCTGCCACCACAGAAACGTAAAAGTCCTTCTCTTTTGTCTTGTCACTTCTCTAAAAAAATATCATTCTTTGTTAAAATGCTACATAAGCACTCCTGTAATCCCAGTACTTTGGGAGGCCGAGGAGGGTGGATCACTTGAGGTCAGGAGTTCATGACCAGTCTGGCCAGCATGGTGAAACCCTGTCTCTACTAAATATACAAAAATTAGCCCGGCGTGGTGGCACCCGCCTATAATCCCAGCTACTCGGGAGGTGGAGGCAGAATCCCTTGCACCCGGGATGCAGAGGTTGCAGTGAGCTGAGATTGCGTCATTGCACTCCAGCCTGGGTGACAGAGCAAGAATCTATCTCAAAAAAAAAAAAAAAAAAAAGGCTACATAAGCCCATGTTCTATCCTTTGATCTACTCATCCCTGAGTTCTTCCATGTGTATGTACTACACATTTTAATAAAATTTATTTGCTTTTCTCCTGTTAATCTACCTTTTGTCAATCTAACTTTCAGGGCCCAACCAAAGAACCTAAGATGTTTAGAGAGAGGAAAAAAAAAAAAAAAAAAGTTTCCTCCCCTACAACACAATCTTTTTCCTACCTTGGTACTTGTACTTCTCATCTTTCTTCTGTTTCTGTGAAAGAGATGTAATCTATTTCATGTAGCCTTAACTAGTCCTTTCAGTGAGAATATGCAGGTAGTATCTTCTTCAAATCTGCCTGAAAATATCCTTACTCTTCCCTATTTTATCATAGAATACTAGGTTTCTTACATTTTCGCTCAATACTTGAAGATATTACTCCATTATCTTCTGGCATTCATTGTGGCTGACGAATACATAGTTTGTTAACAGTTTAATTGCTATTTTATAGTAATGATCTTTTTTCCCTCTGGTCAATTTTACATTTTTCTATTTTTTGTTGATAATCTGTGGTCTTACTACAATATGTCCAGGGATGCATTTTTTTCTTGTTGATCTCAATCAAATCATTTTGTGCTCCTTAAATCCAAAGACATGTTTTTCTTTAAATCTGGAAAAGAAAAATTCAACCACAAACTTACCTTTCTCCCTATTTTCTTCCTCAGGAATTCCCACTAGATGGAATGTTAAGCTTTTGCATTCTATCACCCATGTTTCTCAGTTTAAGAATGCCTACCTCCTTATCTCTGCACTTCATTCCCTTCATTCTGGGTGGCGGCTCTACATCTGTTTTCAAGTTCAGCAATTATTTATTTGTGTATAATCTTGAGTTTCTTTTGACTAAAGATCATTGAAAATTTTCAGCATAATTTTGGAAAGTTCTCTTTGGTTTGCCTTCAATCCCGCCTATTCTTTTTTAATATTGTTTGATTCTCTTGTCAAGGATTCTGTTTTTTAATTTTAAAATTTCCATTTAAATAATTGTTATATTTTCTTCCATATAGTTCTATTATTTTTCGTTCTCAGGG
Organism: Homo sapiens; assembly: GCF_000001405.40. NCBI lineage: Eukaryota > Metazoa > Chordata > Mammalia > Primates > Hominidae > Homo > Homo sapiens. The sequence goes on along the minus strand of NC_000017.11, from coordinate 12,909,378 downwards.
TACTGACTCTTCTACTGATTGTGTCTGCTGATGCTCTCTCATGACGATTCTATTTTCAGTTTGTTTTGTTGTGAGCTCAACATCGGCAAAGGCTGCTTTTCTGAGAATCTCGTAAGTTCTGACATTTGAATTGACAGGTTTCATATTTGCTTCTGCTAGGGCCCTAGGGATTTCAATTGTCCTTCATCAGTTTCATGTTAATCTCTCCACTTGGGCCTTGCCTCACCGCACAGACAATATGACTTTAGAGCCAAGAGTTCTGATTTCCTACTGGTAACATTTTCCTTTTTTCCACTAAAGTCCCCAGTGAGAATTCAGGTGCTTCCCTGAGAGGGTCTAGTCCCCTTTTCACGGATGGGGACTTACTTAGATTTGGCACCAAACTCACGCAAGGTGTCACCTTACCCAAGAAGTGTGTCATCTCCCAGGATAGCTGACCCCTCCATCAGACACTGAGCCAGTGTTGTCAAAGGCAACTTTTTCTGAAAAGAAAGCAAATGCTGTAATGAAAGCTACTTTCCATATTCATCTGTTGAATCTAAAATAGCAAAAAGTCAAATACTTGCCAAGGTATTATATTAACTATGAAACAAGCTAACTTTAAAATAGGTTTAAACATAGAAATTCATAGTGCACCATGATGGGTTAGACTTAGAGATGTCAAAATTCAGAAAACGAGAACTGAATTATATTTGCCACTTTGGGAAATAAGCCTAAGGCTTACATGCTGCATTTTAAAATGAGGTAGGATGGCAAGAAGGAAAAATGAGAAAAATTTAAAATGATGTTAACAAAGATTTGAGCAATGCCTTAATTTCCAAAAATAATATGTCTCTTAAGGAGTGTATTAGCCTTATTTTAAAAATGAGGCAGTGGCTGGGCGTGGTGGCTCACACCTGTAATCCCAGCACTTTACATGAGGCAGAGGCCGAGGCGGGTGGATCACCTGAGGTCAGGAGTTCGAGACCGACCTGGCCAACATGGTGAAAGCCCGTCTCTACTAATAACATAAAAATTAACTGGGTGTGGTGGTGCATGCCTGTAATTCCAGCTACTTGGGAGGCTGAGGCAGCAGAATGGCTTGAACCCGGGAGGCAGAGGTTGCAGTGAGCCGAGATTGTGCCACTGCACTCCAGCCTGGGCCACAAGAGTGAAACTCCATCTCCAAAAAAAAAAAAAAAAAAAAAGAAATGAGGCAGCTATGGTCAAAAAAGAGACAGAAAAGTGTTCACATGCAATTATAACCCAGAAAGAGTAAGCATGAAAATAAAGACACACTCCAAAAAAGATAGATGGCCAAAGAGCACATGAAAAGATAATTAACCTCATTAGTCATTAGGAAAACCCCAATCAAGACCTCACTTTACACTCACTAAGATGGCTATAATAATATTAATGCTTAACAAAGCAAAAAAAAAATAAGGATTGGTGAGCATAAACCTTCATGCATTACTAGTAGATGTTTAAACTGGTGCAGCACTGTGAAGGTGTACTTAGTATCTCAATAAGTTAAGCAGAATTATCACATGGCACAGCAATTCCACTCCTGGGTATATATCCAAAGTAACTGAAAACAGATGTTCAAAAAAGAGGTACACAAATGTGAAGAGCAACACTATTCACAAAGGCCAAAAGGTGGGAACAACTCAAATGTCCACCAATGAATAAATGGACAGACAAAATGTGGTATATCCATAAAATGGAACATTATGCAGCCATGAAAAAGGGAATGCTGCATGGTACAACACAGATGAATCTTGAAGACATCATGCTAAGTGAAATAACCTAGACACAAAAGGACACATATTATATAAATCTATTTAATGAAATATCCAGAATAAGCAAATTCACAGAGACAGAAAGTAGATTAGTGCTTGTCACAGGGCTGCAGGGGTGAGTAAAATAGGGAAGGACTGCTTAATGGGTATGGGGTTCCCTTTGGGGATGATGGAAACGTTCTGGAACTAGATAATGGTGGTAAATAGACTAACTGTTAAAACCACTGTACACTTTTAAATGCTACATTTTATGTTACAGGGAGGGAGAGACAAGCTGTGATAGGAGTTTAGCATGATCCGTTCCCCAGGCTAAATATCAAAGAGCTCTCTCCTTTCTGAACTAAGACCAGCCAGTACACACAGACAGAACAAAAACAAGGTAAGAACCACTAGCACCTTCTCAGGTCTTCCAGTCTACGTAGCTACAAAGGTAGTTCTTCAAAAAGAAAGTGACTGAACTACACCCAGCCCAGAGCCTCCTGGTGTTAACACATAGAGCGTTTCCACTTATAATTCATTTACTAATCCAATATTTATGGAGGGCAGGCACCAAACCAGTGATAAACAAAACTAGACACTGCTCTCATAGAACATTTTTCTTTTCTCTTTTCTTCTTCTTTCCTTTTTTTCTGTTTTTTTTGTTTGTTTTGTTTTGTTTTTTGATACAAGGTCTGGCCCTATCTCCCAGGCTAGAGCACAGTGTTGCAATCATAGCTCACTGAAGCCTCGAGCTCCTAAGCCCAAGCAATCCTCCTGCCTCAGCTTCCCGAGCAGCTAGAACTACAGGCATGCACCCCCATGCCTGGCTAATTTTATTTCTAAATTTTTTGTAGAGATGGTGTCTCACTATGTTTCCCAAGCTGGTCTTGAACTCCTCGGCTCAAGCAATCCTCCTGCTTTGGCCTCCCAAAGTGCTGGGATTGCAGGTGTTAACCACCACACCCAGCCACAGAACTTACTTCTAATGGTGAAGATAAATAATAAACATCATCATACTTTGCCCTAAGTTTACTCTTTTCATCTGGCTGTTCATTTGTATCCTTTATAATATCCTAACTGATAAATACAACTAAAGTGTTTCCCTGAGTTCTTCGAGCCATTTTAGCAAATTATCAAACCTGAGGAGGGGAGTTGTGGGACCCCTAATTTATAGCTGGTTGTTGAGAAATACCAGAAGGCTGGATTTGCAATTGACATCTTAAGTAGGGGCAGTCTTGTAGGACTGAGCCCTTAACCTGCGGGATCTGACACCAACTCCAGGTATACAGTGTCAGAATAAATTGCAAGACATACACCTGGTGTTCAGAGAGTTGGGGAACTGCTTGGTGTGTGGAGAAAATCCCCCCACACATGTGGTCACAGAAGTGTTATGTAAGTGTAGACAAACAGAGTCTGTTTTTCAGAGAAGCAGGCATAATATTCCAGTTGTAGCCTCACAGAGAGGGCATAACTTAAGGTATTGGTTCTCAACCAGGGGTGATTTTTGTCCTCCTGGGGTCATTTGGCAACATCTGGAGACATTTCTGATTGGCACAGCATGGGAGATGCTATTGGCATCTGATGGGTAGAGGCCAGGGATGTTGCTAAACATCCTACAAGGCACAGAACAGTCTCCTCCAACAAAGAATTACTAGGCTCAAAATGGCAATAGTGCCATGGTTGAGAAACCTGGTTTGATCTGCAAGTGTCTACAATACCTCAGTGACAAGTCAGTGAAGATGCTTCGTCTTGAATGTCAGATGGTACGATCATAGTATTGATGAGCTCACATAAAAAGACCATTCTGGTTTGTGATAAACATTCACAGTCCCATGACCTGCCATCAGGACAAGACTTCAGCATTTCTGAATCTTTCTGAAATTGGACAAAGAAGAGAGGATTTGCCTATAGTAAAGGGGACTTCTGATAGTCCAAGAGTTGACATCCTTTGAAGAAATACATCTACCAGAAGGTAAGTAGAGTTTTTCCAAATATGGAAAAAGACTAGTCAGATTATCCTGTCAGTGAGTGGAGCAGAAAACTGTGCCCAAGGGGGACCAAATGAACGAAGGTCAAGATCAACAGGACAAGACCGGCCACTGGAGGAACATGAGGTTGATCGGACTTTTGGAGGGAGGATGGAGAGGGGACAGCCAGGCAACTGTTCTGCAAAGTGCAGACTGGAAAACACAGTTTGAAGCTATAGGGCTGGAGGCACCCTGCTCCTGAGCCAAGGAAGCTACATTTTCTCATCATTTTGAGTCATTTAACACCTGCACTAATGATTTTGACATCCTCTTAGGTAGCAGAGAGGACAGAATTAAGTGAATTCTTAAGGGATATGCTTTTTAATTTTAACAAGGAGCATAACCTCTCCCTCCTGCCCTATCTCATTCTCTATCATATCTATTATAGGAAAAGAATTAATTTGCCAGTAATCCCAGCACTTTGGGAGGCTGAGGCGGGCAGATCATGAGGTCAGGAGTTTGAGACCAGCCTGGCCAATATGGTGAAACCCCGTCTCTTCTAAAAATACAAAAAAAAAAAAAAAAATTAGCCAAGTGTGGTGGCACGCCCCTGTAGTCCCAGCTACTTGGGAGGCTGAGGCAGGAGAATTGCTAGAACCTGGGAGGCAGAGGTTGCAGTGAGCTGAGATTGTGCCACTGCACTTCAGCCTGGGTGACAGAGTGAGACTCCGTCTCAAAAATAAATAAATAAATAAAACTAAAAGATGCTAGAGGATTTATAGTAAAAAGTCCCTCCCACACTCACTCATCCCTCAACCACTTCATTCCCCTCACCAAAGACCCTAATAGTGACCAGATTTTGTGTATCCTTTCATAAATATTCTAAGCAGATTCAATTATACATACATGTGTGTGCGTCTACTTTTAGTATTTCTCCCCACGTTAGCATACTAAATATACACACCACTCTGTGCCTTGCTTTCCTTTTCACATAGAGATAGATACCTTTCATATCATTTCCTATCACTACCTATGGAACTGTCTTGTTCTTTTATTTTAATGGTTACACAGATCATTGAATGAAGATGACAAAATGTATTTACTCAAGTACCCTACCAATGGTGTAACTGTCACTCTAAGAGGAGAGATGTTAAGGTGAATTTGAGAGCTTGGATTCCAAGGTGGGGGTAAGCTGGTGAAAATCAACATGAGTTTTTATTTGTGTAAATGCTTTAAGAATCAAGAAATTGGCCGGGCACCGTGGCTCACGCCTGTAATCCCAGAGCTTTGGGAGGCCAACGTGGGCAGATCATGAGGTCAAGAGATTGAGACCATCCTGGCTAACATGGTGAAGCCCCATCTCTACTAAAAATACAAAAAATGAGCCAGGCATGGTGGCATGCACCTGTAATCCCAGCTACTCGGGAGGCTGAGGCAGGAGAATCGCTTGAACCTGGGAGGCAGAGGTTGCAGTGAGCCGAGATGGCACCACTGCACTCCAGCCTGGGTGACAGAACGAGACTGTCTCAAATTAAAAAGAAAAAAAACAAAAGAATCAAGAAATTACAAGGAAGCCACCAAATGACAAGAGAAAGGAAGAAATGCGTTAGCAACCCCATAATCAAAGACAGTACGTAAGAAGAAGTTAATGGACTGTAACGCACAACAGACTACAAATGATTTCTCTTTCTAAAAAGATTCTCTAAGGTGAAGGGACTTTATCTGCTCAAGAGATGCCAGGCATTGTAGCAATCTCATATAACCTAAGATTGCCTCTAACTAAGATACTGTTTGCTCTCTCCCTCAAACTTTGGTCGCCCCCATTTCAAGTATAATGATATCCAGTCTTCTACAGAGGCATAAGAATGATACAATGGACTCTGGGGACTCAGGGGAAAGGGTGGGAGGAGGGTGAGGGATAAAAGATTACACATTGGGTACAGTGTACACTACTCAGGTGATGGGTGCACCAAAATATCAGAAATCACCACTAAAGAACTTACTCATGTAACCAACACCACCTGTTCCCCAAAAACCTATTGAAATAAATTAATTAAAAATTTTTTAAAAGGATATCCAGTCTTAGAAGAATTAAATTGCTCAAAAATCTAGAAAAGCTCCCAAAATCTTTTTCCCTCCAGTACCAAGGATCCACACTGACAAAGCCAGTCCCAATCCCTGGTAAATATTAGTGCCCAGGTAAAAAGATCTTAGCAAACTTCATGCTGCCAGTGATTTTCAGAGCCAAAGAGGAGCTACTGAAATAATTTTTCTCCCTAGCTCTAGAATGCAGATAGAACCTTGAGAATTAAGGGAAGGAAAGACAGACTGTCCCAGAGTTTCGATATAGTCAATCTGACATTTCTGAGATGACTATTCTCTCTAAAACTATCTTGGGCACAAGCAACACAGTTTGTAGGATGACCCAGACAATAAGCCTCATTCTAATATCCACTCCATTCCTCCAAACACACACACACACACACACACACACACACACACACACACACACACTCTCTCTCTCTCTCCTCTCTCTCTCTCTCTCTCTCTCTCTCTCTCTCTCTCTCTCTCATATATTCCCTATCTTGGAAAATTCTTGTCTACTGTCCTCTAATTCCAGCCCCAGGCAACCAGCTCTTCTGTGGTTCAGCCCCAAACAGACACACAGCCAAGGCTTGATGCTTGGGTCTCAGTGGTTCTCAACAGCCACTCCAGTCTAATAGCGGGCCACTGCTAACAGCATCAGGTTACACTTCTTTAATATTTACTTAAGTTAACATTGCACAAGGCATGTACGTGCTTTACCTCACTGACCTCTCAAACAACCCTGCTGGGTAGGGAATTATTATGATTCTTACCATTTTCCAAATGAAGAAGCTAAGGCTTATGAGGTAATTAACTTGCCCAAGCTCAGGTTAAATTAGGAAGTGACAGAACTGGGCTTCACCCTTGGGTCGTCAGATTCCAGAGCTTAACCTCAGAATTGCCTGTTACAGAAAAGGAAGGGCATGCTAGTGTGGTAGGCAAGTTCTGTGCCTAAAATATTCACAGACCATCCATTCATGACACACATCTACTTGTACCATTGCCCTGCTGGGGCAGGCTCTTTTTTAGGCACGGAGAACGGAGCTTATGGGGACACAAGATCCCTGCTCCCATCACAATGATGGAAATAAATGATCACAGTGATTTCAGATACTAATATGTGCTATGAAGAAAATAAAATAGGGAGATGGGATTAGGGTGAGGGAGGAAGCAGACACATTAGGTGGTCAAGAAAGCCTCCTGAAAAGGTGACATCTGAGCTGAGAACCGAACAGGGTGCTGGCTTGAAATGCTGGGTAAGAGCATTCCCTGCGGAGGATAGAGCAAGCACAATGGCCCAAGAGGAGTGTGAGCTGGGCATGCTCAGTACCAGGTGAGCACAGCTGAAGAATGATGACAGAGGGGAAGGAAGCCCAGAGCTAAGCTCAGAGATGCAGGTAGAAGACACATCATAGTGTTCCAAGGGCCAAGATAAGGAGTTCAGATTTTATTCTACAAAGGGAATCCCGGAGCAGGATTAGGCAGGAGAGTGAGTTACTGGATTTCCAATTTAAACATTGGCTCCTGCGCTTGCAGAGAAGGGAAGAGGAAGGAGGAGGGAAGGGTTTGGGGTGGAAGATGTGATAGGAGCCACTGTGTTCAGAAAGAGCTGACAGCTGCTTAGACTAGGGTGGTAAATGTTGAAGCCAAATGGAAATTCTTTGGAGGAAGAGTCAGCAGGGCTTACTGACAGCCTGGACATGGCGGGTATGGAAAGGAAAGAATAAAGAATGGTGTCTGGGATTTAGAGGAGCAAGTGCGTGGATTTACAGTACCATTCTCTACTGCTCTGCCCTCTTTGCTGGGTCCTCCTCCTGGTAGAGCAGGAAATGCTGCAGTTCCCAGGGTTCCTGATTCAAAAGCCATATGTCTTCTCACCCTGCATTTTCTCCCCAGGTGATCACAGCAGCTCCCATGGATTCAACAGTCACTTGGGGTTGAGACCATGAGACCTCTCTCTCTTCTTCATACGCCCACATCCACTCAGTTACCAAGCCCTGATACTCTCCCTCCAGGATCTACCATGGACGCCGATTTTTCTCCATCTTCAGGTCCTCGTTGCATCTCACTGAAATTGTTCCCATCTCTGTGTAACTGGCCTCTCACTTCTACCATGGCCCCACCCATGAGTCCTTTATTCATACAATTTTGAACATATCTGATCATGTCTCCCTCTGTTAAAATGCTGGCTTTCCTCTGCTCTTAGGGATAAAGTCCAAACCCTCACCATGTCCTCCTGTAAGGCGTGATCCCATCCTCTGCAGTCCCGCCCCATGTCACGTCTTCCCCATTCGCTACAGTCTGGTCACTCTGGCCACCTTTATGTTTCTCAAAAATGCCAAACTTGGCCGGGTGTGGTGGCTCACACCTGTAATTCCAGCACTTTGGGAGGCTGAGGCAAGTAGATCACCTGAGGTCAGGAGTTTGATACCAGCCTGGCCAACATGGTGAAACCCTGTCTCTACTAAAAATACAAAAGTTAGCTGGGCATGGTGGCAGGTGCCTGTAATCTCAGCTACTTGGGAGGCTGAGGCAGGAGAATTGCTTGAACCCGGGAGGCAGAGGCTGCAGTGAGCCGAGATTGTACCATTGCACTCCAGCCTGGGTGACAAGAGCGAAACTCCATCTCAATTAAAAAAAAAAAAAAAAAAAAAAAGCCAAACTTTCTCCTGTCTCTCGGAACCTGGCACATCTTGTCCTCTTATCTGAGAAGTGTGTTTACCCCTTTTGGTGCTGCTACCTTTCACCTGTCCTTAACGGCCACTTCCTTATGGAAACCTCCCACCATTTAATTCCTAGCAAGCACTTCTTCTTGGCACTAAGACACGGTCTGAGCAGCGAATGCACTGTGAGTATGATGCTTGCCTCCCCCTGGGTGGTGAGCTTCTGCAGCACAGAAATCCTGCTCAGCTGGCTCAGCACTTGGCATACACACCGCCTTGCGTGGCAGACTTGTTGCTTTCTAAATATTTGCTGAATAAGGTGGAGAAACACTTCCACACGGTAGCACTTTATTTGTTGGGTATGACTTCCTAATGAGAAATGCAAGGACTTCAAAAAACTAAACATCTTCATTATATTAAGAGTCTCAAAAACCTAGGAACTAACCAGTTATTATCCAGGACTAAAGATGGCAACATGGAGGCCGGGTGTGGTGGCTCACGCCTGTAATCCCAACACTTTGGGAGGCTGAGGCGGGCAGATCATGGGTCAGGAGTTCAAGACCAGCCTGGCCAACATGGTGAAACCCCATCTCTACTAAAAATACCAAAATTATCTGGGCGTGGAGGTGGGCGTCTGTAATCTCAGCTACTCAGGAGGCTGAGGCAGGAGAATTGTTTGAACCCGGGAGGCAGAGGTTGCAGTGAGTCGAAATGGTGCCACTGCGCTCCAGCCTGGGCGACAGAGCAAGGCTCTGTCTCAAAAAAAAATAAAAATAAAAATAAAAAAAGATGGCAACATGGAAAGGTAATTCATATGCTTTCTATTCTTCATTCCACATAAGGAATCCAGTTTTACTCAGTACCCACAAGACAATAATGTTCTCTCTGGTCACTGAGATAATGGCAACAAAATCCGATTTTTATGCCTACCCACATCTGGCTGGCAGCCACAGCTTTCAGGGCAAAACTTTTAAAAGTGGTATGACAAAAGTTCAGGAGTTGGAACACATGACTAAAGAGCTACTGAGCTTGTTAAAAGAGAAATAACAAAAAGCAACTTACACGTACTCAAGTAGCAACTTACATGTGCTCAAGTAGCAACTTACATGTGCTCAAGCAGCAACTTACATGTGCTCAAATAAAAAGCAGAATATTGCATGGATCCCCATAAAGTCTCTCCTGATCCTGAGACTCTATGACCCACACTCCCGTGTGATTGTCCATCTCTGGACCCTCCCTTAACATTCAATTCCCGAGACAGTGTCTGTTCATTCACTCCCTCCCTCCCACCCCACCTTCCCTTTACCTGATCCTTTTCATTTTATTTCTTTTCCTTTTCACCCATTGCTCCGATCTTGACATATCTCCCTACTTAATCATCACAAAGAACTGGATATACATTTCAGTATTTGAGGTGATTTATAAGTGTCACGTTTCCTATTACATCTCTTAATGTGTTCAGAGAAAAACTGAAAAAAATTGAGTTTGGAAATTTTTTTCCCACAGTTCTTTGATTGTTTCCTATTTTAAATGGCTCTTTGACTTTCAGACCATTTATTCAGTCATATGATGACAAGCAAAGATGAATCAGCATAAGAAATCATTGACAAAATCAAGCACTTAAAATCCATGCAGTGAGGCTGGGCACAGTGGCTCACACCTGTAATCCCAGCACTTTGGGAGGCCTAGGTGGGCAGATCACGAGGTCAAGAGATCAAGACCATCCTGGCCAACATGGTGAAACCCTGTCTCTACTAAAAATACAAAAATTAGCTGGGCATGGTGGCGCACACCTGTAGTCCCAGCTACCCAGTAGGCTGAGGTGGGAGAATCACTTGAACCTGGGAGGTGGAGGTTGCAGTGAGCCGAGATTGCGCCACTGCACTCCAGCCTGGTGACAGAGTGAGACTCTGTCTCAAAATAAATAAATAAATAAATAAATAAATAAATCCATGCAGTGAAATCACTGACCTATACATGCTTGGGCACCTACTTCCACTGCGGACTTCTCCCAGTTTACACGTTTATCACTGCATGCATGTGACTGCAGCCTTCAGAGCCTGGTAACAACCACTGTGTGTCTTCTCTAGTAAGAGAAGCCAGATAGTGTACGTCCTCGCTGGTGAATCATGGCCAGTCATAGCAAACCCATTTATCTTGGACACATATTCACCTTCTCAGCCTCCCTTGCAGCTAGAGAAACATAAATGAAATGAATTCATGGTCTTATCAATCTCCCACTTCCTGCCTGTGATATGGTTATGTGAAGATGTGATGCGTGGAGCTGGAGCAGCCACATTACAGTTGTAAGTGGAGGCCCAAGCGTCACATAGCTGCTGACCCAAAGCTGCTGAATAAACCTTGGAACTGGCTACATCAGAATCTTGTTAAGTGAGGCAATTAAGTGCCTTTTTCTCAAGTCTCTAGGAAGCAGTGTAGTTATTAACCATGTGTTTTATTTTCTGTATTCAGATGCTCTGACAACATCTTGGGCCCTTGCTGACCCTAGAGGGACTGCCCCTCCCAGGCTAGGCAATTCCTAGAAATAGTAAACAACTCACTCACAGCATGCTTTTTAAATGCAAACCAATCTGGAGCTCACACTTCAACAACCTCCTCTAAGGGGCTGTCACACCGCAGGCCACTGTTCATCTGCCCTAATCACCCTTGACTGGTAGGTCAGACAACTAGAAATCGTCCGTAATAATTCAAACTAATCAATCCTATATCTGCTGCAGACACCACAACAAAGGCTCTGGCCCACAGTCCCCTCCTTTACCTCCTGACCAACCCTAGAGCTTCCCCTGTGGCCCTCTGGGTGATGTGGCCTGTCCCCTTCTCTTGGGGAGGGTGAATAATTATCTCTCCTTGGCAATCATCTCCTGATCTGCTGGCTTTGCCATACCTCAAATCTTCTATCAGTGCCCTATACTTCAGATCACTCAAGGATCCAAATGTATCCTTACTGATATAATACGTAAGACTCTCAATCCAATGAAAACTCCACCAATCCAGGTAAATTCATCTGATCCCAGAAAAATAATGTTAGTACTAATCCGCCTACCAACACCAAAGGCCGAATTCAAGCCTCTGGTGGTAGCATTCAGATGATACTCCCGATACCAAAACATACTGTACTTTGGACCAGTTATTTTAAAAATAGTGCTTCTTAGAGCAAAAAAAAAAAAAAAAAAAAGACACAGATCAAAGGCAGGCTTGGCTCCAGCACCCCCATCCGGAACCGTTCCTGGAGTCCCCCATTAGATGTGGGTTTGATAAAAGGGTTTCATGCCCAAAGTCATTTTGCAAACTCTCCCTTTAGACAGTTCCTCTTGCTGAATTCCTGATACATGCAGAATTATTTCTATAGATATTTTTCAGAGCTGTGAAAGTTTTATTTATACACACACAAATGATTCCTGCTGGGAATATTAAGAAAGAAGAAACCAGGGCTTGGAAAAAAAAAAAAAAAGAAATGACTCGTAGGACAAGTAGAGTGGGTTTTTGCACTGCGGCAGGAGCTGGGAAGAAGTATTGTGGCACATTACATGACAGTCCAACAGAAATGAGGCTAACATAAGCCGAGGGGCATCGGGGGACCAAGGGGATGCAGAAATCAGCAATAACTGCAAGTCAAAAAAAAAATGTCTAAATGATACCAATCATGTAGATTATAAACTCAAGGAAGGAGGAGAAAAACCTAGATTGTATATCCCTTGTAATAAAGCCAAGTGAATGTCTAAGAATATCTTTTAATCTTTGGTGGGGCTGAGAGGGATGGGGTCAAGAGGAAGGTAAACCTGCAGAGGCTGTTCATGCCAAGAACTGTTGAAATGGAATCGCATTATACAATGCCTGTTATTTCTAATGCAGGTTATAGACAAAGGCATTAGAGAAGCTTTATTTAGCAGGCTCTTTTTATTGTGTCTCATTAGGGCGAAAACAATTTTCAAGGGCCTTTATAGGTCACTTGTAACCTCTAAAACCACAATACACTTTTTTTCCATGAGATCTTAAGATACTATTGAGGCAAATGCAATCTATGAATGAGCTGAATCAGGGGTCAGATATCGATCAAGGATAAAGCTTCCCTAGAGGTGGGATCTCAAGCACGCCCCTGCCGTCTTCCCAGTTGCTCCAAGCTGGGGAGGACAGGGAGAGGACCTCAACTTGCCTGTGGAGGGCGGGGGATGCTTCAGGCTGGGCTAAAGAGCAAGAACAGTAGGGAGGGTCATTACCCCACAGAAAACAGAAAATAGGCAGCTAGAGCTGCTGAGTCAATTCTCAGGCACGTAAGCAGCTACATAAACAGCTACATCCAGGAGTGTCACAGGAGTAGGAACCTTGTCCTCAGTAGGCAAGATTTCAGCTCCCCAGGGCTGGGAGGGCACTTACGGAGCGCTTGTCAGCCTCTGCCCCTTGCTGGCCCTGCAGACATGCGGTGAGCTTCTTGTGCGTGCTGTGGGACACCTGTTTCACCAGCTCCAGACGCTTCTCCACCTGCAGAGAGAAGAGCGGGTGGTGCCACTGAGAGAGGGCAAGGTCAGGGGAGGAGGGATTGTGGGTGTGGACAATCACAACTCATGTTTCCATGGAGACAAGGACTCCTGGAGAGACAGCTTTGTTTTTTTGTTTGTTTGTTTTTTAAATTATACTTTAAGTTCTAAGGTACGTGTGCACAATGTGTAGGTTTGTTACATATGTATACACGTGCCATCTTGGTGTGCTGCACCCATTAACTCGTCATTTACATTAGATATATCTCCTAATGCTATCCCTCCCCCTCCCCCCTCCCCCTATCCCATGACAGGCCCTGGTGTGTGATGTTCCCCAGCCTGTGTCCAAGTGTTCTCATTGTTCAATTCCCACCTATGAGTGAGAACATGTGGTGTTTGATTTTCTGTCCTTGCAATAGTTTGCTCAGAATGATGGTTTCCAGCTTCATGCATGTCCCTACAAAGGACATGAACTCATCCTTTTCTTATGGCTGCATAGTATTCCATGGCTTACATGTGCCACATTTTCTTAATCCAGTCTATCATTGATGGACATTTGGGTTGGTTCCAAGTCTTTGCTATTGTGAATAGTGCCACAATAAACATACGTGTGCATGTGTCTTTATAGCAGCATGATTTATAATCCTTTGGGTATATACCCAGTAATGGGATGGCTGGGTCAAATGGTATTTCTAGTTCTGATCCTTGAGGAATCACCACACTGTCTTCCACAATGGTTGAACTAGTTTACAGTCCCACCAACAGCATAAAAGTGTTCCTATTTTCCACATCCTCTCCAGCACCTGTTGTTTCCTGACTTTTTAATGATTACCATTCTAACAAAGAAACAAATTTACAAGAAAAAATCAAACAACCCCATCAAAAAGTGGGTGACAGATATGAACAGACACTTCTCAAAAGAAGACATTTATGCAGCCAACAGACACATGAAAAAATGCTCATCATCACTGGTCACCAGAGAAATGCAAATCAAAACTGCAATGAGAGACAGCTTTCAATGCTGGAGAACTGGAGGGGCAGTGATCACAGACTCCAGGACCCTCGGGCTAACTGTGGTGAAATGACTTTAAACCTCTCCTGAAAGAGCTTAACCCAAATCAGTATTCATCATGCAAAGTACTGTCGTAAAAGACAAAAAAACTTCTCTCCTAACAGTTCGTAAGGAGCAGCTGGAGCAGTTTTAACCACATCGAGGGATGGCTTAGTTTTTTGGTTTTTTTGGTTGTTTGTTTTTTTATTTGTTTGTTTTTTGTTTGTTTTGAGACAGAGTCTCGCTGTATCGCCAGGCTGGAGTGTAGTGGCACGATCCCGGCTAACTACAACCTCCACCTCCTGGGTTCAAGCAATTCTCCTGCCTCAGCCTCCCATATATCTCTGGTATCTGTGAGCCAGTGTCAATGGCCGCCTTACCTGAAGAAGGTCTTCACTCAAAACTTCTGTCTTTTCAGCCCTAAAAAGAACATTGAGAAACATATCAGTAACAAAACTAACAACAGAGCCTCATAATTACTCCCTAATCTCTTCAATTAAGGCAATACCAGAAAAACAGAGACATGAGTAGTAGAAACATTTAATAAGAGAATAGAGAAAACTAGAATTTATTAGGAAACTTAAAAAACCAACACACCAGCAAACACAGCAAAGCAGATACCCTGAAGACTCTCCTGCTACAGATTGGAACCTGGATTCATGACAACAAATGTATGCCTTTGTTTCCAGATATGTATATATTTTAAGTATCAGAATTAAGGTTTCCCCACCCATAACGCTTGGCCTCCCCCAAATAAGTAAGCTAATGTAGCAGAAATCTGAGAAAGGATCAATTAACAACAAACACAGAGACAGTATTGAATCTTGGCAACTAATGCAAATGCCACCACCACGGTCTGGCAACCAAGTGTTATGTCCACAAGAAAGTGGAGGGCTTGAACCTGAAACTTCTACATTTAGAGAAAGAACCTGGATGCTGGAGGAACTGGTCCCAGCTAACCCATTAGCACTGCCTGCCTCATGTCAGAGAAGAGTGCCAATTCTCTCAGGAACAAAGCATTCTGATTTAACGCTCTCTCTCTCTCTCTCTCCCCCTCTCTTTCTCACTCTCTCTTTATCTGACAACACGCACGCACGTGCACACACACACACACACACTCTCTCTCTCTCTCACACACACACACACAAACACAGCAAATTCACATGAAAACAAATCATCAAGATTTAAGAGTACAGAGAAAGAAGAAACAACATACAAGAAGTCTAAAGAATTTCGACTATTGCAATGATCAAAGACTATAATACATGTATAAAATATCAAAGAACAAATGATATATTAAAAAATAAGCAGTAGGACTTCTGCTTCCAGGAGGAAGGAGTGAATGTATTTTAGCAATTCTCCTCACTCACACAACTAAAAACCTAGGATTGTTTAGAAACGTAAGACCCTGAAAAGGAGAAGGAAGGCATACTGGCTGGGAACCTTCAGAATAACATGGTAAAAGTGTTGTCCTTCACATTTCTCAGACTTGGAGCTTAAGAACAACAGCAACACCTAAAACACCAAGAGGCTCAGACAAAACAAACCCCAACAAAAGCCTGGTCTCTGTAGACAAAGGACAAAGAAAGGAGCAGCCTAGAAAGACAGACACTTTTTAGAAAACTGCTCACTGCAGCCAACACCACAGAAAAGAACTGTGTCCTACTCCACCCAAGCCAGCAAAAGCTGAGTAGGGAGCCCTGACTTCTACTCCTACCAGGCTGTAACAACCACCCAAGCCCGTACCCCTCATCAGTGTGGGAGCATCAGAGAACACTGAGAAACATAAAGAGAACATCCATCTAGGGAGTGGAAGCGTCTATCACTACTAGGCAACTGACAAAGCCCATCCTCCTCTGCTGCAGGACCAGTGGAAATCATATGGTCACCTGGACACCCACGCCCATGTGGTGATAACGAAGCATCTCTTCACCTTCCCATTGGTGTGGTGTCAAAGGAGTCCTAGTGGACAGACAGGACTCTTGCCAACACCCAGCAGTAACAAGGCTGCTCCCTTCTGCAGTATTAGTGAAAGCCAAGTAGGGAGCAATAATGAGACACTCATAACCCCACTCCCACCAGCCACTGAGGTATCAGTGGAGGCCCAGTAGAGAACCAGAACTCCCACACCCACCAAGTATTAACAAGAAGAACCTCCATCTTCGAAGGGTCAATGAAGGCCAGCCAAGTGGGGAATCTGGACTTCTACCCCAGCTCATCAGAAACAAAGCACTAGAAACTGCTCCCCCCACTAGAGCAGCATCAGAGAAAGCTGGCTACAAGACAAAGTTTAAATGAGATCCAGAGTCACATAATATAACAGCCATAATATCCAGATTTCAGTTACTCATCACACCAAGAAGCAGAAAAAAAAACTCAAACTGAAAGAAAAAAAGACAATAGATTCCAATTAAAGTATTCATTATGAAAATGCTTCAACGTGTAGTAATAAACACTTTTGAAATAAATGAAATAGGAAGTCTCAGAAAGAAAATAGAAGATATAAAGAAGAAACAAAAATTTTAGATCTGAAAAATACAACAATCTAATTGACAAAAAAAAAAAACTCAGTTGATGGGTTCAACAGCAGAACAGAGCGGGCAGATGAAAGAATCAGTGAACTGGAGGAAGCATAACAGCAATTTTCCAATCTGAACAACAGGGCAAAAATAGACCAAACAAATCAACAAACAAAAAAACCCTCAGGGACCTGTGGGGCTATAACAAAAGATCAAATATTTTATGTCATCAGAGTCCCAGAAGAAGAAGGGAAAAAATGGTAGCTATATTAGACTAAGTTGGCCACAATAAAAAAGTTAAAAAAAGATAGGCTAAAAAATACTCAGAGAAATAATGGCTAAAAATGTCCCAAATGTGGCACAAGACACAAACCTACATATTTAAAAAGCTGAACAAACCCCAAAGAGGATAAACATAAAGAAATCCTCACCAAGACACATCATGGTCAAACTTCTAAGAACTAAAGACAAATCTTGAAACCAAGGTGAAAGAAATGATACCTTAACAATGGGGGAAAAGCAATTAGAATGACAGCAGATTTCTCAAGAAAAATGGAGACTAAAAGAAAGTGGCACATCATTTTTCCAGGGTTGAAAGAAAGAAACTGTCAACCTAGAACCCTTTAGCTAATGAAAATATTCTTCAGAAATGAAGGGGAGATCAAGACAATCTCAGATATACAAAAGTTGACAAAATTTGTCATCAGCAGGCTTCTTATTGCTAAAGAAAGTTATCTAAAAACAACCCAAAGGCTGGGCACAGTGGCTCACGCCTGCAATCCCAGCACTTTGGGATGCCAAGGCGGGTGGATCACCTGCAGTCAGAAGTTCGAGACCAGCCTGGCCAACATGGCCATCTCTGCTAAAAATACAAAAAATTAGCCGGGCGTGGTGGTGCGCACCTGCAATCCCAGCTACTGAGGAGGCTGAGGCAGGAGAATCGCTTGAACCTGGGGAGGCAGAGGTTGCAGTGAGCCGACATCATGCCACTGCACTCCAGCCTAGGTGACAAGAGTGAGACTCCATCTAAAAAAAAAAAAAACCCCAAAAATGATAAAAGAAGGAAACTTGAAATACCAAGGATGGAGGAAGCTATCACTTAAACCGGTAAAATAATGATAGCAGCAGACTATGATAAGTTATGTAAATAGTAGGTAACACCTAGAGCCATCTCAACTATACTCCTGTGGTTTGGATGTGTTCCTCAAAGTTCACATGTTGAAAACTTGATCTCCAATGCAGCAGTGCTGAAAGGTGAAGCCTAAGAGGAGGTATATGGGTAAGGGGACACAACCCTCAATGAATTAATGCTGTCACTGTGGGAGTGTGTTCATTATCATGAGGGTGGGTTTCTTATAAAAGGACAACGTGAGCTCCCTCTTGCTCTCTCCTGCCCATGTGATGACTTCCATCATGTTACAATGTAGCAAGAAGGACCTTGCCAGACGCTAGCTCCTCCATCTCAAACTTCCCAGCCTTCAGAACTGCGGCCAATAAATTTTTGTTTATTATAAATTAGAGACCATAGTATTCATTTATGGCAGCACAAAGACAATTGGTACCAGAGAGTGAGGTACTGCTATAACAAATACCTACAATTGTGGAAGCAGCTTTGGAACTGGATAGTGGAGACTAGACGAGTCTGGAAGAGCAGGCTAGAAAAAGGCTGCATTGCTGTGAACAAAGAGTTAAAGGTGATTCTGGTGAGGGCTCAGAAGAGAAGAGCTGTATGAAGGGTAAAACTTCTTAGAGGTTACTTAGATATTAATGATCACAATGTGGGCAGAAATATGGACAGTAAAGACCACTCTGATGAGGTCTTACATGAGAATGAAAAATATCTTATTAGAAACTGAAGTCAAGTCCATCCTTCCTATAAAGTTATACAGAACTTGACTGAACTATGTCCATCCCCAAGGGTTTTAATGAAGACAGAAATTAAGAGTGATGAACTAGGATACATGGTGGAAGAAATTTCTAAGCAAAATATGGAAGAATCTGCATGGCTTCCTTTAACTGCATACAGTAAGATGCAAGAGGAGAGAAAATATTTAAAGGTGGAATTTATGATTAAAAGAGAAGCAGAATGTAACCATCTGGAAAATTCACAGCCTGGCCACGTAAAACACAAAAATGTGCCAAGTGTCCCCTTTGAGAAAAGGCTTAGCATGGATAGCAGGAAGCCAGGTGCTATTCATCAAGGCAATGAGAGAATTACCTCCAAGATATTTCAGAGATCTTTGAGGCTGCTCCTCCCATTACAGGCTCAGAGCTCTAGGAGGGGAGAATGGTTTCATCAGACTAGCCCAAGATGCCTTCCATGGGTTCACTGCCCAAGGACTCTGTTCCCTGCATTCCAGTGCAGAGCTCCTTGGCTGCCCCAGCCATTACTCAAGTAACCCCAAGTGTAGTCTGGGCTGCTGCTCTCCAGAGGGCATAAGTGGTAAGCTTGGTGGCATCCATATAATGCTAACTCTGCTGGTGCACAGAGTTCATAAGCTGTGGAGGTATACATTTTTGGAGACAGGGGTACAAAACTACCTCCACCTAGATTTCAAAGGATGTATCAGACAGCCTAGGGATCCAGGCACAGACATGTCACAAGAGACATGTCACAAGAGTGGAACCACCACAGAGAGAGTCTATTAGGGTGATGCCCAGCAGAACTGTGGGGACAAAGCCACTGTAGAGAGTACTCACTAAGGCAATGCCTAGTGGAGCCATGGGGACAGGGCTGCCCCCAAACCCCAGAACTGTAGAGCTACCAGCACATAGCCCCAGCCTGAGAAAACTGCCACACCCAGCAAAACCATGAAAACAGGACTGCCCAAGGCTTTGAGGTCAAAACCTCCACCCCAGTATGCTCAAAAGTTACACATGGAGTAAAAATGATTCTCTAGCTTTAAGATTTAACATTTTCCCTATTGGATTTTGGACTTAGTTGGAACCAGTTATCCCTTTATTCTTGCCTATTTCTCTCTTTTGAGATAGGAACATCTATCCCATGTCTTTCCCTCCACTGCATTTTAAGGTAGATTACTTGTTTCGATTTCACAATCTCACAGCTAGAAGAAGTTTGCCTCAGGAAGAATTGTACCTTGAATCTCATCAATATCTGATCTAGATGAGATTCTGGACTTTTGAGGTGGTATTGGAACCAGTTAAGATTCTGGGGCTATTGAGATGGAGCAAATGCATTTTTCATGTGAAGACATGAATTTTGGGGGTCAGAGGCAGAATGCTAAAAGCTGAATATGTCTCCTGAAGTTCCTGTGTTGGAAACCGGATCCCCAATGCAGTGGTGTTGAGAAGTGGGATCTAATGGGAAGTGTTCAGATTAATGCTGTTATTGTGGGAGTGGGTTCATTGTCACAGATGTGGGTTTCTTATAAAAGGACAAGGTTGGCCCCCTCTTGCTCTCTCACCCATGTGTTCCCTTCTGCCATGTTATAATGTTTCAAGAAGGCCTTCACCAGATGCTAGCCCCTTGTTGGACTTCCCAGCCTCCAGGACTCTGAGAAAATAAAATTTCAGCTTCTTATAAATTACTCAGAATGTGGCATTCTGTTAGAGCACAAAATGGAACAAGACAAACACAAGAAATACATCAATGGAATTCTCAAAAATGATAAATTAACCCATAGGAATACAAGAAAACAAGAAATGAATACAAGAAAGAAGAAAGGAATACAAGCAATGAAAAACAGAAAGAACAGAAAACAAAAAATAAACAAAAATGGCAGATTTATGTTTAACATGTCTATAATTACATTAAATGTAACCAGCCTAAACACACCAATTAAAAGACAAGAACTAGAAGAATGGATTTAAAAATATGGTGTCTACAAGAATCTCATTTCAAATAAATTATACAGGCAGCTTAAAAATAAAAAATTGGAAAAGACATAATGGAAGCACTGATCCAAAAAGGCAGAAGTATCTATATTAATGTCACATAAAGACAATTTCAGAACAAAGAAAATTACCAGAGATAAAGGGGAGCATGAAATAATGACAAAAGGGTCAAGCCACTAAGACACAACAATCCTAAGTGTATATCCACCAAAAAACAGAGCTGTAAAATATATGAAGCAAAAAACTGATACAATGAAAAGAAGAAATAGACAAATACACAACTATAGTTGGAAACTTCAACACCTTCTCTCTCAATAATTAATAGAACTAAATTTTAAAAATCAGCAACAATATATAAAAAACACAACACCTCCATTAACCAATAAGATCTAATTGATACTTACAGAACACTCCACCCAACATGAGCAGAATATATGTTATTTTCCAGTTTCCACGGAACATATACCAAGATAGACAGCATCTGGAACTACAAAACAAACCTCAACTAATTTGAAAGAATGAAAGTCATATGCAGTTTGTTCCGTGACCACAATGGAATCAAATGAGAAATCAGTAACAGCAGCATAAGAAGAAAATTTTCAAATACGTGGAAACTAAACAACTTTTAAATAATCCATGGAGGGTCTCAAGGCAGATGTTTAAAAATTAAACTGAATGAAATAAAAACATAACATGTAAAAATGTTGGGCACAACCAAAGTTGTGCTGGGAAAAAAATTATAGCATTAAATCTATACATTAGAAAAGAATAGTTCCAAGTCAATAAAAGATCCTACTCCAACAACCTAGAAAAAAGACCAAATAAAGTCCAAAGCAAGCAGGAAGAAGGAAATTATAGCATAAGGGAAGAAAATAATGACTTTAACAACAACAACACAACAACAAAAACTAAAGAAACTCAAAGAGCGAGTTCTTTGAAAAGATCAATAAAGTTTAAAAAATCTCTAGCAAGACTGAAAAGAACATTATCAACAATAGGAATGAAGCAGGGAATATCATTAACATACCCTGCAGAAATCAAAAGGATGCCTTTGAAAAACCTACACACACAAATTTGACAACTTAGATGAAATGGACAAATTCCTAAAAAAAAAAAAAACAAAAATGATTGCAATACACATAATATGAAATAGATCATTTGAATATTCTCTATAGCTATAAAAATTTGAATTTGTACTTTAAAAACTTCCCTGCAAAAATCTTCAGGCCCAGAAGATTTCATTAGATAATTCTACCAAATGTTTTAAAAAGAAATATCACCTATTCTAAACAATCTCTTCCAGAAAATGAAAGAAGGAACGCTTCTCAATTCATTTTATGAATCTAATACTACTTTGATATCAAAACATGACCAAAAAAATAATTATAGACCAATATTCCTCTATGAATATGGGTGTAAAAGTCCTTAACAAAATAAAAGTAAATAGGCTGGGCATGGTCACTGACGTCTGTAATCCCAACACTTCGGGAGGCCAAGGTGGAGGATCACTTGAGGATAGGAGTTTGAGACCAGCCTGGACAACATAATAAAACCCCAACTTTACAAAAACAAAAGGAGAGAGAGAAAAAATTAGCCAGGCATGGTAGTACATGCCTGTAGTCCTAGCCACTCGGGTGGCTGAGGTGGGAGGATCGCTGGAGCCCAGGAGGTCAAGGTTCAATGTGAGCCATGATCACTCCTTTGTACTCCAGCCTGGAGAGCAGAGCAAGGCCCTGTCAATCAGTCAATCAATCTATCAGTCAATGCAAATGTAATTCAGCAATGTATAAAAATAATTTTTCATTATGTATGACTAATTCACCATTATGAATAACAAACCAAGTGGGATTTATTCCAAGGATAAAAAGTTGGTTCAACATTCAAATATCAATCAGTGTAATCCACTCACTGTATTAAAAGAGTAAGGAAGAAAAACCACACGATCATAGCAATTAATGTAGAAAAAGCATTTAACAAGATTCAAAACCCATTCATGGTAAAAAAAAAAAACAAAAAAAAAACTCTTAGAAAACTAGGAGTAGAGGGAAACTTCCTCAACTTCATAAATAACATATATGAAAAAATCTATACTTTTGAAAGACTACATGCTTTCCTCCAAAACAGGAATCAAGGCAAGTGCATTTGCTCCTACCACTCATTCATCATGGTCCTGGAAGTTTAAGTTAGTGTAATATGACAAGAAAAGAAAAAAAGCATGTAGATATAAGAGGGACAAATAAAAATGTCTCCATTTGCAGATGATATAATAGTCTATGTAGAAAATGCCAAGGAACCTATAAAAAAATTCGTAGAACTAATGGTTTCTGCAAGATTGCATATGAGATAAACATACAAAAATAAATTGTACATACTAATAATGAACACATGAATACTGAAATAAAAAATACCACTGACAGTTTCTTAAAAAAACACTTAGGTGTTAATCCATTAAAACATGTACAGAATGTATAGGCAGAAAGCTAAAAAATGCTTATGAAATAAATAAAAGCAAATCTAAATAGAGAGAAAAAGCATGTCTGTGGTATTTGTATCTGGCAAAGATATCACTTCTCCCCAAACTGATCACAGATTAAATGCAATCCCAATCAAAATCTTAATAAGATTTATTATAGTTACAGACAAATTGATTCTAAAATTGATACGAAAGTACAAAGGAAATAGTTAAAATTTTCTAGAAAGAAAAGCAGGACTCACATGATCCAATGTTAAGATTTAGTATAAAATTAAGTAGTCAATCAAGAGAGTACGGTCTTGGCAAAAATAAAGAAACCCAGATCAGTGGAAAAGAATAAAAGTACAAAAAGTAGACCTAGACAAATATGATCAGTGGTCTCTAAAAAAGGCACAAAGGCAATTCAATGGAGGAAGGATAGTCTAACAAATTGCTACAGAATACATAAATAGGCAAAACTATGAACCCTGGCCCATTTGTACATAATTCACAAAAATTAATTTATAATAGATCACACACTTCAATTAAAAAAAGTTATAAAATATTTACAGGAAACATAGAAGAAAATATCTGTGACCTTGCTTTAGACAATGGATTCTTAGAACATCAAAACCATGATTCATAAAAGAAAAAAAATGATACATTAGACTTCTTCAAAACTAAAAGCTTTTGTTCTGTGAAAGACACTGTTAAAAGATGAAAAGATAACTCAGAAAAAGAGAGAAATTATTTGTAACTCACATATATAAGAATTGTATACAGAACATGCAAAGAACTCTGAAACTTAACAATAAGAAAAAAAATCCTATTTAAAATGGGCTAGAAATCAGAATAAAAACTTAACCAATGAAGACAGATAAGCAGAAAATAAGCACAGAAAAGATGGTTCAACATTATTAGCCCTTAAGACAATGTAAATTAAGAGCAAAATGAGATACTAGTATTTGAGTGACAACACACACACACACAAACACACACTCACACACACATCAAGTTCTTGACCATATGGAATAACTGGAACTCTCACACATTGCTAGGAGTTGGGCACAGCAAAATGGTACAGCCGATGTAGAAAACACTTTGGCAGTTTGTCATAAACTTGAACATACACTTGCCATATGACCCAGCAGAGCCACTCTAGAGAAAAGAACATTTATGTTACACACACACACACACACACACACACACCTACTCTGTGAATGTCCATAGAGCTTTATTTGTAATACTAAAAATCTGGAAGCAACTCAAATGCCCTTCAACAGGTGAATGGATAAACTAGAGAATAGGTGCATATGACAGAATATGCTCAGCAGGTGCTGGGTGCGATGGCTCACGCCTGTAATCCCAGCACTTTGGGAGGCCGAGGAGGGCAGATCACGAGGTCAGGAGTTCGAGACCAACCTGGCCAATATGGTGAAACCCCATCTCTACTAAAAATACAAAAATTAGCTGGATGTGGTTGTGGGTGCCTGTAGTCCCAGCTACTCAGGAGGCTGAGGCAGAAGAATCGCTTGAACCCAGGAGGTGGAGGTTGCAGTGAGCTGAGATCACACCATGGCACTCCAGCCTGGGTGACACAGCGAGACTCCATCTCAAAAACAAACAAACAAACAAACAAAAAATGCTTAGCAAGATATAGGAATGGACCACTCATACATGCTACAACATGGATAGATGTCAAACCATTACGCTCAGTGTAAAAAGCCAGTCCCCAAAGGCCTCATACATACTGAATGATTTCATTTATAAGGCACCCTGGAAAAGCTAAGTCATAGGGACGGAAAGCAGCGCAGTGGGTGATGTAGATGGGGGTGGGGAAGGTTTGACTGCAAAGATGCCGCATGAGGGAACTTTTTGAGGTAACAGAATTGTTCTGTAATTCGTTTGTGGTGGAGGTTACATAAATCTATGTCTGTGTTAAAACAAATAAGAGTCTACAAAAAAGTAAATTTTACTTCATGTAAATTTTAAAAGTAAAAAAGAAACTTTGAAGATGGAACTGAGATACAAGACAACAATATCATGTGAATCAAGAAGGTGAAGTGGTTGAAGTTAAGTGTTCTAAGCTCTTAGCAGATTTTGTTAAACTAAAATGTAATAAACATTACAAGGGTACCACTGAAAGAGTAGAAATAGAGTATATATCTTCCAAAGTAACAGACAATATAATAAAAAGTTAATGATTGAAAACAAAAAATGGTGCTGCATAAAGCAATATAGAAAAAATAGCACAAAGTAAAATAGTAAACACAGACTCAAATATATCACAAAACATACATAAACTAAATATTCTAGTTAAAAGCAAAAGATGCTCAGCTCAGATACAAAAAATCTAGCTCTGTGCTAATAATAAAAAGCTGTATCTAAAACACAAACAATCAGGGAGATCAAAAGAGAAATAAAAACATATACCAGCCTATTTCAAACTAATCTAATAGACTTTGAGGGAGAAAAAAAACATTATGAAAGAAAGAGGACAGCAATATAATGTTAGAAAACTTTAACTCATCAAGAAGTTACGAGAATTCTGAATTTGGTGGTACCTGATACGAATCACACAATATAAAAATCAAACTGACAGAAACTCAGGGAAGCCTTGGAAATTTTGCCACAATAGATGTCATTATTCCTCTTTCAGTTAGAGAAGTAAGGCAGAAAAAAAGTGGACATAGAGGATTTGAAAAGGATAAGATAGCAAGATTTATTAGATTGATTTATGCACACAATAATTTATTTTCAAAGATTAACCACTTGTAAGTCTGTAAAGCACATCTCAACAAATATCAAAGGTCAGAAGTCACAAAGATGATGTTCTCTGACCCCAGTGTAATTTAAATTCAAATAAATAACAAGTTTAACAGCAAACAAATCTGGGATCTTGTAAACACTTCTAAATCGATAACAGGTCAAAAAGAATTACTGTTAGGAATTTAAAATATTTAGAGTTGAAAGACAATGAAAATACTGTATATCAAATTTGTTCGGTAGCAAAATGATATTTAGAAAAAATACAGAAACTCAATTTCTTAGAAGAGAAGCTGAAAATATTTAAGAAGCTGAAAATATTTAAGAAAATATTTAAGAAGTAAACAGAATAAACTTCAATAAATTAGAAGAAAAAACAATAAAAAAAGAAACTAATAATATAGTAAAAATCATATAGGTTAATTCTTTGAAAAAAACTAACAAAATGGCAAGCCTCTACAAGATTTACTCAGAGAAAAAATGAAAAAGAAACAGGTAAATAATAATAGGAAATAAAAGTGGAATATAAACAGAAAAGCTACAGAGATTTAAAAGATATATAACATTTGTGAGCAAGTTTTTAAAAAAAAAACTTAGACAAAATGGCCATTTAGAAAAACAAAAGCAAGACAAAATTCACTAAAGAATACAGAGGAAGCCTGAGTCATTCTATAAATATCAAAGAAATTAAACCAGTAATTAAACATCATTCCAAAAAGAAAACAGAAGACCAAGATGTTTTACAGGTAAATTTTCAAGAAATATTTCTTTCTAAACTTATACAAAGAATATAAATTCTTAATATGCCTAATATACTATTATGAAAAAAATAGAAAAAGAAGTAACACAGTGCAACTCATTCTGAGAAACAAGCATAACTGGATACCATAATTAGAAAAGGACAGTATAAAGAAAATTATAGACCATCTTCATGTATTAATGACACAGAAGTCCTAAAAAAATTAGCACATTATGAAAAAGTTTGATTAATTACTAGAGAATGTAAGAATGGTTTAACTTTAGCAACCTGCAAGTATAATTCATCACATGCACAAATTAAAGGGCAAAATAAGACTATCTCAAAAATGCAGACAAAGTATTTAATAAAACTCCATGTCTGTTGATGAAAAATATAACAGGGAAAATCCCTAACTTATTTTTAAAAAGCACCTATAAAACATTATTCTTACTGGAAACATGTTAAAAACATGCCCTTGGGGAGAGGGTGAAAATAAAATAAAATAAAACCATGCTCTTTAGAATCATGAGTAAGACAAGGATTCCCACTATTACTGTCTACCCAGCTCAGTAAGCAACTAAAATAGAAGATTTTAAAACTAAAAGGGAAGAACCTATACTGACATTTGAAGATTATATGTTTGTTCACAAAGATAATCCAAAGTAATCTACAGAAATTATTATAAATAATAAAACTTGAGAAAGATGGCTAGATACAAGATCAATATAACAAAATTAATATAACCAGTACATACTCAAAAGTCTAATTTAAAAATTCATTCCATACAGCAAAGAAACTTGAAATAAATTTAACAAAAGATGAGCAATGTCTTCATAGGGAAAAATTTAAAAATTAGTAAAAGACATGAATGAAGTCAGGTAAATGGAGAGATACAGTGTATATATGAATGGGAAGAATTAGTTCTGAAAACATATCAGTTCTCTTCATAGCAATGCAGCTTCAATTAAATATCCCAATAAGAATTTTAAAAAATAATTTCACAAGCAGAATCTAAAATTTATATGGAAGGCTTGGCACAGTGGCCCAGGACCGAAATCCTGGCACTTTGGGAGGCTGAGGCAGGAGGATCACTGAAGGCCAAGAGGCCAAGACTGGTCTTGACCAGCCTAGACAACATAGTGAGACGTTGTCTTACAAAAATGAAAACATAGCTGGGTGCGAAGATGCATGCCTGTAGTCCCAGCTGCTCAAGAGGCTGAGGCAGAAAGATCTCTTGAGCCCAGGAGTTCAAGGCCACAGTGAGTTATGATCATACCACTGTACTCCAGCATGGGCAACAGAGAGATCCTGTCTCAAAATAAACAAACAACAACAACAACAAAATAAATAAATAAAATTTGTATGGAAATGCAAAGGCTTAAGAAAAAATAAGATTATCCTTAAGTAGAATAAGTTGAGGGAGCTTCAGTGACCACATACTGAAACTTACTGAAGTCACAGTAATTAAGAAAGTATTATATCAATGTTTGCATCGGTCACTGAAACAGAAGGAAGGGTATGTTCAGGAATAAACTCACAAAAATGGAAAAAAATGACAGATAAAAAAGTGTTATCTAAGATTGGGGGAGAGGAAGAGGAGACATGACTTATTTAATTAGTAGTGCTGGGTCAACTGTTTATCCAAATGAGAAAAAAATAAAGAAATAGGGTTTCTACTCTACACGGTACACAAAAGTCAAATACCAATGAATTAAAGACTTAAATGTAAAAGGTGAGATATTAAAACGCCTAAGGGAAAAAATATAGAATATCTTATATTTTAGACCATTGAATGACATCACAGAAAATAAAAATAAGGAACACTAACCATAAAAGAAAAGATTAAAAGACATATTTATATTAATTGTCATGATGGTTGAAAAAACAATAAAAAGAAAGACACTAGAAAAAAGACATATATAAGAAAATACAACTGCCAGAAAAAAAAATCAACCCTAAAAAAAATGAGCTAAAGATCAGCACTTTTTAAAGGAGGAAATTGTAACTATTACTGAATATATAAAAGCTTGGTCAACTTCATTCGTAAGGAGGAATATACAAATTAAAACCACAAAGCATTACCATTTTATATCTGCCATTTTGGTAAAAATGTAGAAGTCTGACAATTCCAATTGGTGGAGATATGGAGTAATGGGAACCCACTACTATAAGGATAACTTGTTAAAAGCATTGTAGAAAACAATGTCATTATTTTGTATATCTGACAATGAAACTAAGTACCCACATGAAACACCTTTTAACAGAACAATATTCCCTCTACATGTGATGCACACTAATCTTTTCCACTATACTCATTAAGTTGATTTCACTACCACTAGTTGATTTCACTACCACTAGTGAGTGGGCCAGCATTCAAAAAATGGCCATCGAGAGGAGAATAAAGAAATTGGAATATATTCACATAATGTCATATTATATGGTAATAAAGAGCAATAAAATAAAGTTTACCCAAACAACATGAGTGACTCTTAGAGGTACAATGTTGATTGGAAAAAAATAACAAAAAGACTACTTAAATTACGATAACCATTTTCATAAAGCTCAAAAGCAAACACCATTAAACACCTTATTGGGAAAGGATAAATGTATATGTAATAAAATGAAAAGAAAGCAAGAGAATTATAAATACAAAATTTTTAATGATGGTTATCTCTGAAAAACGGAAAGAGACTGGGTTTGGGAAGGAAATACAGGTGGCTTCCATAGAATTGGTAATGTTTTGGTTCTAAATTTGCGTATAGGTTCATAGCTTTCTTCTTAACATTGTTTCATAATATATATACGAGCATATGGAATCTATGCATCAAATAAATAATATGAAAATTAACAAAAACAAAGTACTAAGTATTTAAGCATATTACATAAATGATTCCTACAAGATGAAAAACAAAATGTTCATTAGATTCTGTATATTATTGGGGTGTATATATATGTGCACACAACACACAGACACACAAGCCCTCAGACAACATGAGTTCATTTATAGATGGATTTTCTTCCACCTTTGCCACACCTGAGACAGTAAGACCAACCCCTCTCTATATTTTCTCTTCCTTATGATTTTCTTAGTATTTTCTCTTGTTTTATTATAAGAATACAGTATATAATACATATACAAAATATGTGTTAATTGACTACATATGTTATCAGTAAGACTTCAGGTAAACAGCAGTCTATTAGTAAAGTTTTCAGGGGGTCAAGACTTACACAAAAATTTTCAATTGCATGGGGGATGAGTGCCCCAAACCCCTTGTAAGTGTGTGTGTGTGTGTGTATATATATATATTTTTTAACTGTGTGTGTGTATGTGTATATATATATATACACATACACACACATATATTTATACATACATAAAATATAAATGTATATATAATTTTAACTGTAACACTTCTTTAAAGTTTTTACTACTTTTTGCTTAAAAACAAGTGCTGAGTTGTAGGGTATCCTAACAGCTAGCTACAGCAAGTACTCATACATCAACTACATGCAAATTAAAATCACCAATAAGCAATCCCACTCCTGGGTATCTACTCAGAGGAAAAGAAGTCATTAAACGAAAAAGATACTTACACATGCATGTTTATAGCAGCACAATTTGCAACTGCGAAATATGGAACCAGACCAAATGCCCACTGATCAATGAGTGGATAAAGAAAATGTGATATACACCATGGAATACTACTCAGCCATGAAAAGGAATGAAATAATGGCATTGCCAGCAACGTGGATGAAACTGTAGACCATCGTTCTAAGTGAAGTGACTCAGGAATGGAAAACCAAACATCGTGTGTTCTCACTCATAAGTGGGAGCTAAGCTATGAGGATGCAAAGGCATAAGAAGGACTTTGGGGACTTGGGGGAAAGGGTGAGAGGCAGGTGAGAAATAAAAGACTACACATTGGGTACAGTGTACACTGCTCGGTTGATGGGTGCACCAAAATCTCAGAAATCACCACTAATGAACTTATTCATGTAACCAAACACCACCTGTTCCCCAAAAACCTATTGAAATAAAAACAGTAAAATAAAATTACTGATACAAGTATTGCAGCTACATAGCTGATAAAAGAGGAATAAGCTCTCTTCTTTGAAGGAAAAAGATTTATGCTAGAAACAAATTCTGCTTAAATTTGTTCTTAAAAATGTAAGGTCATAAACTCATTTAATGATCAAAAGGATTTAAGAAAATTCTAGAACAGGTTTTACTGACTGGGGAAAAGACTCATGACTGTTGAGTTGGAAGGAGCAACAGAGGTCACTTAGCCCAATCTCCACTCCTCTGAGACTTCCCTCCTTCACTATTCCTGAAGCACTTCAGCAGAGCATTAGTGAAGGCCTGACCTATGGAAGCTAACCTTCAAGGAAACGCAGCGGCCTAACAGGTGATAGTATTTTTAGGAAGGCTGGTATTTTAGGTCTCATCTTTGTAAATGAAACAAGGATCATTATTCATCATCAAGGTAAAAAGCACTATCCACCATTTTCAAGGGATGAGTCATTCCACAGGATGACAGGCGCTGTGTAGATGACATCTGGGTACAAGTCATATCTTTTTAAACTTTCTGTATACGAGAGACTAAAAGCAAAACAGAGCCTGGGCAAACTGATCTTGAAATTGTGCACTGTTCCACTTATGAGTTTCAGGAGAACAATCAACACCACCCACAAAAATCTTGATTGCCACCAGTGTTATACATCAGCTTGTTAGGTCATGGCAGCGTTTCCCAAAATTTGTTCCATGAAAAAATAGATTCATAAGACGCTCTGAAAAAAAAAAAGGTTCTGTGAACAAACGAGTTAGAGAAACACTGAATACAATAATTTCCATTAACAGAATCCCACTACCATATTAAAGGCTCTGAAAAGGTCTGCAATACATAAAATGGCTTAATTTTAGTTCACCTGTCATTTCCCAATCTCTAAAAATATGAAAACATATTTCATGTAACGGCTAATTCATAACTGAGGTGTGGATGAACACCAGGTGAATACACTTTAGGAAATGTGGAGCTGATAATCACTACAGCACCTCTTGACTCTTGCAATATCTTCCTTAACATGCTACCTGGGAGTTCTGGCCTCATCCAAAAAGACATTTATGTGGACTAGAGTCAAGCAAGGAGGACTTCTCTGATGCCATCCAAGAAGTCACTGAACAAAGCAGCAAGGCTGCACTTAAGGCAGAGACAGTCTTTTTATTTTTTTAACCTATTAATTACAATAATGTTTATATATCTTTAGTGTTTTTTTTTTTTTAGACGGAGTCTCGCTCTGTCACCCAGGCTGGGGTGCAGTGGCGCGATCTCGGCTCACGGCAAGCTCCGCCTCCCGGGTTCATGCCATTCTCCTGCCTCAGCCTCCCGAGTAGCTGGGACTACAGACGCCCGCCACCTCGCCCGGCTAATTTTTTGTATTTTTAGTAGAGACGGGATTTCGCCGTGTTAGCCAGGATTATCTTTGGTCATTTTTTAAAGTTCTTTGAACATGTTAGCAAATTTAATACTTCCTAAATATCTTTTAATTAAATTTTCTTTAAATAACTAAGCATTGAAAATTTTATAAACCAACGATGATCTTAAAATGGTTGAGATTCTTTTTCCTTTTTTCCCTTAAAGAGTCTAAGCCAGGGTGGGTCTCTTGTAGACACCCCTATTTTCCAAGGGCATGTGATCAATCAAATCAACCTTTTCCAAATAGAAATGGCTATATGAACAGGACCAGTCTACGGTAAATGAATTTAGATGATGGTGTTCGTTTTCAAAACATCTTTAGTAAGTAACTAAAGGGGCAATGTAAAATGTTGCAGTTTGCTGGGTAAATCTTAACTGCAAAATTTCTTCTTTCAGAACTGTTTTCCTGCTGCATTTGCTGCTTTTTCAGCCATGATGCAGAGACGGTCTTATTACAAACAATTTCAGATAAATAAGTTTCCAACTTGCAACACTGACAAAACTGTCAAATCCTCTTAATTTTATATCACAAATATTTTCAGCAACTATTGGTCCCTTTCTACTTGCATAGTCCCGAGCTAGGCCCCATCAGACTCAGCCCTGGACTATCAAAATATCTTTTCTTCTTTTTTTTTTTTTTTTTTTGAGACGGAGTCTCACTCTGTCACCAGGCTGGAGTGCAGTGGCACAGTCTCGGGTCACTAAAACCTCTGCCTCCCGGGTTCAAGTGATTCTCTTGCCTCAGCCTCCCACGTAGCTGGGATTACAAGTGCACGCCACCATGCCCAGCTAATTTTTGTATTTTTAGTAGAGACAGGGTTTCACCATGTTGGCCAGGATGGTCTCGATCTCCTGTCCGTGATCCGCCCACCTCAGCCTCCCAAAGTGCTGGGATTACAGATTATGAGCCACCACGCCCAGCCCACAATATCCTTCTAACCCATCTCCCCATCTCCACCTCCCATTCATCCTTCACACTACCCTCAGACATTCCTCCTAATATTCCTCCCAGCAGTCCCTTTTGCCTAGTGCCTAGCAGGTGTTCTGCTGGCACTTTACAAGTATTGTATCACTATTTTAATGTGTACGCAGGATTTGTTTTATTGGCTGTGGTAAGACACACAGAGATGAACACGACTGTCAAGTTTATACTCACAGATCCCTAGAATCAGCAGGTAGCGCCACATGGGGACACACCAGGGCTGGTCAAGAGGCAGAGGGAGTGAGGGAAGAGTACCCGCAAAAGCCTTTCCTGTGGTTTTCGTGGGAGGGAATTAGTAAAGCAAGGTAAGCAAGCCGAACAGGTTTGGGATTGGATGCTTTTAATAATTTTGGTGGGCTCAAGGCTATAGGAAGGTCCTCAGTGTCCAGTACTTGGCCCTGGGATGACTTAGGACACATGGAAAGAGGTCAGAGCTGCAGGGGCCTGATAAAAAGAGCTGAGTGGGGGTATGGATTGGTTGATTTTGAATATCCAAGATATGCTCTCAGGCAAGGTGTTTTCTAGCTCGAGAAAGCAGTTAGAGCTTCTAGCTCTAACTGGTCAGTGTGACCCACATGATGGAATAACATAGAATATAAGAAAATATCATCAATACATTTTTTTTTTTGAGACGAAGTCTCGCTCTTGTCCTCCAGGCTGGAGTGCGATGACGCCATCTCAGCTCACTGCAAACTCCACCTCCCGGGTTCAAGTGATTCTCCTGCCTCAGCCTCCCCAGTAGCTGGGATTACAGGCACCTGCCACCATGCCTGGCTAATTTTTGTATTTTTAGTAGAGACGGGGTTTCACCATGTTGGCCAGGCTGGTCTCGAACTCCTGACCTCAGGTGATCCACCTGCCTTGGCCTCCCAAAGTGCTGGGATTACAGGCGTGAGCCACTGCGCCCAGCCTAATACATTTCTTAAAATAGCTTGAGGGTGTTATAATGCACCCCCCCTTTTTATTTATTTATTTATTTTTGAGATAGAGTATTGCTCTGTTGCCCAGGCTGGAGTGCAGTGGCACAATCATAGCTCACTGGAATCTTGAACTCCTGGACTCAAGCCATCTTCCCATCTCAGCCTCCCGAGCTGGGGACTACAGGCACGTACCACCACACCTGGCAATTTTTAAAACTTTTAGTAGAGACAAGGCCTTGCTATGTTGTCCAGGCTGGTCTCAAATTCCTGGGCTCACGCAATCCTCCTGCCTTGGCCTCCCAAAGTCCTGGGGTTCATAAGCATGAGCCACCACGCCCAGACCCCAATTTTTTATACAAGAAAATGAATCTACTCTAAATTAAGTCATGGTTTTAGCACAGTATGCCAAAGGGTGGTCCCTGGACCAGCAGCATCAGCATCACTTTGAAGATTTGTTAAAAATAAAAATTCTCAGGCCCCAGCTCAGACCCATAGAATCAGAAATTCTGGGAGTGGGGTCAAGCAATCTGTGTTTTAACCAACCCTCCAGATGATTCTAAGACATGTTCAGAACCACTGGTGTGTGGAGTAAAATCCAAAATATCTGACCTGGAGCTCACCCACTCTGAGTTAACAAACTCATCTCTTCAATGTCTTCTAAATCTTCCCCATTTTCCATCCCACCCCCACCCCGCCATCTCCTGACCCCCATTCTGTCCCTCTCCAATCCTGCCCTGCCCGATATACTCTGTGTTCCAGGCATATCTAACTTTCCCTTTTTCCCCAGACAATCCTTCGTGGGATTCACAGCACCACCTGCACCCAGCACAGTCACCTGGCATAGCAAGTATCCTGCACTTGCTTATTAAAATGGAGTAGAATGTTTAATACAATTGGGCACAACTGCCTTTTTTTTTTTTAAGACAGAGTTTCACTCTTCTTACCCAGGCTAGAGTGCAGTGGCACACTCTTGGCTCACTGCAACCTCCACCTTCTGGGTTCAAGCGATTCTCCTGTCTCAGCCTCCGAAGTAGCTGGGATTTACAGGTGCCCACCACCACACCCTGCTAATTTTTATATTTTTAGTATAGACGGGGTTTCACCATGTTGTCCAGACTAGTCTCAAACTCCTGACCTCAGGCGATCCACCTGCCTCAGCCTCCCAAAATGCTGGGATTACAGGTGTGAGCTGCCGCGCCTGGGCACAACTGCTTTTAATGCCCTCTCTTGCCCATTGTGGCAGGCTCTGTTACCTTGTTAACTGGCTCTCCTAAAGCTCATCTCCACCTCTGCTTCTTTGCTGCCTCCCACGACAGAGGGTGGAAAGCCATACTGTCCCAGTTTCCCCTGAAACTAGGGGGACCCATGTGACCCGGTCTTCAGCCATGAGACAAAAACAGAAGTATGCTGCAAAGTCCTCTGTGAAAGCTTTGCTTTCCTAATAAAAATGATTAAGACTCAACCGTCAGCCTCTTTTTCTTCTTTCTATTTTGAATGCTGACATAATGGCAGGAGTGGCAGCAGCCATCTTGTAACCATGAAGGATTGGCACAGAGAACTGCAGAAATGGCAGACATGACATCACTGACTCACTGTTCCATCCCCAACAACCACTTATACCTGGACTTATTTTCAACAGAAACAAACTCTGTCCAAAGCCATTCGTTCTAAGTGGTGGTTTCTTTCCTTCTTTCTTTCTTTTATTTATTTATTTATTTATTTGTTTATTTATTTATTTATTTATTTTTTGAGACTGAGTTTTGCTCTGTCATCCAGGCTGGAGTGCAATGGCGTGATCTCGGCTCACTGCAACTTCCACCTCCTGGGTTCAAGTGATTCTCCTGCCTCAGCTTCAGCCTCCCCAGTAGCTGGGATTACAGGTGCCCGCCACCATGCTCAGCTAATTATTGTATTTTTAGTAGAGACGGGCTTTCACCATGTTGGCCAGGCTGCTCTCAAACTCCTGACCTCAGGTGATCCATCTGCCTTGGCCTCCCAAAGTGCTGGGATTATAGGCGTGAGCCACCAAGCCTGGCTGGTGGTTTGCGCCCAGCTGGTGGTTTCTTATACTATACTTCAATGCAATTCTAGTTTCATATACTTGCAGCAGAGGAACACATTTTAAGATTAGTTTTATTCAGAGTAAAAATGCAATTATTTGATGTTCTTGAAATTGCACATATTTCACACAAATCATTAGAGCAATTATTGACTTCTCCCTAAAGCTCTTCATATAACACTAAGCTGTATATAAACCTAAGTACAGAAATACTCACTAGACAGATAGTTTGGAGAGTCATTGAGAAAGGCTTCCTGGAGGAGGAGGGCATAGGCAAGCCTTGAAGGCTGGGTAAGATCTGCCACATAGAGACATGGGAAAAGTCTGAAATGGCAAAGCAGCCACCAAAAGCTGTCCCTTAGCAGCAATGAAAGGCTATTAAATAAAGAGAATTAAGCTAAGGAGAGGAAAGTCACCTCATGGGAATTAGGGGACAAGAGAGAGGAGGGGAAAAAAATGGCATGGTTACTCTAATGTGGGGATGCAAAGCAGCCGCCAAAAGCTGTCCCTTAGCAGCAACGAAAGGCTATTAAATAAAGAGAATTAAGCTAAGGAAAGGAAAGTCACCTCATGGGAATTAGGGGACAACAGAGAGGAGGGGAAAAAATGGCATGGTTACGCTAATGTCGGGATAAATCCACGTTTTCAAAACAATGTTACCGCGGAATTGACTAATTTAAGCACAGAGAAAACTTACTAAAAACCAAAATAAAATTCCTAAGTTTCTGCTGAGACTTTCAAAGTAAAGTCATGTATGATTGAAGTTCCTGAAAAAAGAAAGGGAAAATAGAATGGAAATTTTTAAGAAAGAGGGAGAAAAAAAAGAGATACAGATAAATATTAATTTTCATAGAGCTGAAGAGACACAAAAGTCCTCAAACTGAAAGGTCCTGAACTGTGAGGGGCAGAGTGAAAAATAAAGAGATCCTAAAAAGCTTTCAGAGGGGAAAAAACCATCAGGCTGCAACAGTAACCAGTAACAGAATTTATCAGCAATATCGATGCTAGCATATAACAGAGCAATTCCAAAGTACTGAATGAAAATTCGCTTGAATCTAAAAGTTCATATTATGGTAACTTATCAGTCAAATATAGAAGCAAAATAAAATCATATTATTTAGGAGGTTACCTATCTTTCGAGAAAGTTTCTTGAGAATGTACTCCAAGAAAAATAAGGATAAAAACCTAATCCAGTAAGATATGATGGACTTAAATCCAAGTCCAGCGAGAAGAAATTGCAGGATGTCAGACCTGCAGGAGGCTTAGAAAGCAGACTAACCAAATTAGAATTCAGTGGGCTCCAAGATAAAGAAAGCAGTCAAAATAACAGATGGAATTAGTAAATTGGAAGGTATGAAGGCATATGATTCTCATGACAGGAAAAACAAGATAGTCCATAAAATTGCAGGCAAAAAAATATGCCCAGGAAAGTTATGATTAAAAGATGAATCAAAGAAAAGTCACAGACAATTGAATACTTTGTAGAATGCAAGAAAACAGAATCCATTTGGCCTTGGCACTAAGAAAATTCTCCTTTATATGGAATAGGTATCTTGATATTGGATCCACAGAGAAGGGGATGTGTATTTGTCCTTTCTCACATGGCTATAAAGAAATACCTGAGACTGGGTAATTCATAAAGAAAAAAAGTTTAATTGGCTTGCAGTTCTGCAGGTTATAGAGGAAGCATGATGCTGGCATCTGCTTGGCTTCTGGGGAGGCTTCAGGAAACTTACAATCATGGTAGAAGGTGAAGGGGAAACAGGCACATCTTACATGGAAGGAGCAGGAATAAGAGAGAGACGGGGGGAGGTGCTACATACTTTTAAACAACCAGATCTCAGGAGAACTCATTCATTCACTATCACAAGAACAGTACTGGTATGGTTTGGATTTGTGTCCCCACCCAAATTTCACGTTGAATTGTTAATTCCCAATGTTGGACGAGGGGCCTAGTGGGAGGTGACTGGATCATGGGAGTGGATTTCCCCCTTGTTGTTCTCAAGACAGTGAGCTCTCACGAGATCCAGTTATTGAAAAATGTGTAGCACCTCCCTCTTTGCTCTCTTCCTCCTGCTCTGGCTACATAAGACATGATTGCTTCCCCTTCACCTTCCACCAGGACTGTAAGTTTCCTGAGGCCTTCCCAGCCACACTTCCTATAGAGCCTGTGGAACCATGAGCCAATTAAACCCCTTTTCTTTATAAATCACCTAGTCTCAGGTAGTTCTTTACAGCAGTGCGAGAATGGACTAATACAAGTACCAAGGGGGATGGTGCGAAACCATTCATGAGAGACCACCCCCACGATCCAATCACCTCCCACCAGGCCCCACCTACAGCATTGGGGATTACAATTTGACGTGAGAGTTGATGGGGACACAGAACCAAACTGTACCAGGTGGTAATCAACATGTTACTTAGGTCCACAAGGAACTACATTTAAGGAGCCACGATAAAAGCACTTAATTGACTTTTGAACTTTTAGAGCTAACTTATGGACAAGGCATAGAAGGCCAAACTATGTGATTACGAAACAAGAAATGTAAATTGTATCAATCTTCAAAATGTAAACAAACAAAAAGAGAAAAGGAAGAAAGGCGGGAAAGAAAGTAAAAGAAGAGAGAGAAAAAGAAAAAAATTGACCAAAGCCAAAAGTAGAGAAGGAAAGAAAAGAGTAGAAGAGTCCCATTCCTTAATGCTCACTAAAGGCAGTCAAGAGAAACTGAACTGCCCATGCTAACTGCAGGGAGTTTTAAATATAAGTAAAAAGGTAATATAACAATTTTAAAAATGGGTATGGAGGAGAAAGTGGGTGGTATAATGGAACCAAAACCTCATCTCACCAGCAGGAAGTAAATAGTGTGTAAATAACATATGTGTATGTAAACTAGCAGTATAAACCTATTATGTAGAGAGATGGAGGTAAATCACCAGAGGAAATAAACACAGAAGGTATTAAAAAGTGTCTCCAGGGAGCAGGACTAGGAGCTGGATCAGGCTAAGTGGGCTGATACCTTTTCATTATAAACCCTTCTCCACTACCTGATTTTGAAAACCACATCCACCTATTATTTCAATTTTGTTTCTTTAAGGACAATACACAGGGTTGCTGGAGGTCTGGAAATAGGGATGCTCATCCACTGCTGCTGGAAGTACTACCTGATACAACCTTTCTTGAGGGCAATCTGGCAGTACGTATTAAAAGGCTAAAAATGTAGAAAACCTTCCTCAAAGTAAAGAAGGAATTCAGGCTGGGCACAGTGGCTTGTACCTGTAATCCCACAGTACTGAGGCGGGAGAACTGCTTGAACTCAGGAACTCAAGAATAGCCTGGGGAACATGATGAGACCCTGTCTCTACAATAAAATACAAAAATTAGCTGGGTGTGGAGGTGCACACTTGTAGTCTCAGCTACTTGGGAGGCTGAGGTGGGAGGATCTCTGGAGCCTGGGAGTTGGAGGTTGCAGTGAGCTGAGATCACGCCACTGCACTCCAGCCTGAGTGACAGAGCAAGACTCTATCTCAAAAAAAAAAAAAAAAAAGACGGTATTTGTTGACAAGAAATAATTGAGGATGGAAAAAAAAGTAATCAGAGCATTGCTCTATAAAGGTCTATGTTTGTACTTCATCTTTTGTCCCCAACCCTTCACAGACTGGAAAAATATAATGGGGGTTATTTAAATAAATTGACTTTCAATATTAAAAAGGATGGCATTTATTTGACATGTAAAGCTATTGAAGATATATTAAGTGTGAAAGGGCAGGCTATAAAACAGTATGCATAGTAAAAAAAAAAAGTTACATATATGTATATGCAGAGAAAAAATACATTAAGGTATAAGTCAAAGTGTTATTAGTTCTCTGTTCTTATTGTTTTAAATTTTTTAATTCTTCTACAATGAACATTACATACATTGTAAAATGTATTTTCAAAAGTGGTTGCCAGGGGATGAGAGAAGGGGAGTGGGGAGTTACTGTTTCATGGACACAGTTTTAGCTTCAAAGACGGAAAGAGTTGTGGAGATGGGCGGTGGCAATGGCTGCACAACAATGTAAACACACTTAACACCACTGAACTGTATACCTGAAAATGGTTAAGATGGTAAATTTTATTATGTTGTATGTATTTTTCCAGTTGTAAAAATAAAAAAAAAATTTAAAAATGACAAAATAGTGAAGATTGGAATATTTTGTATACCACATGTTATAAATTTATGAACAAACCAAGTTATAGATAGCTTATCTTAATATTGCTAATGTTAACCAAATGACTACATTTGTAAGAGGAGTTATGAAAACACAGTATATGTTTTAGATTCTCTCCAAATGTTACCTTTTCCTTCGTCCTAAAATGGGAATTTTCTTGCTCGTTCCAAAATATCTAGACATTATTTTTAAATCTCTAATCCAAATCCTATATTCTTCACTGCTCTCTGAGTCTCTCCAACAACATGAATCTTTCCCAAGGTTATTTTCGAGCCCCAGGCTTAAAACTTTCTTCTCAAAAATAAGATGTTTTAACCTCAAATGTCTTTACTTTTATTATACCAAACCCTTAAATATGTATTTCTTGTGTCCTCCAAATAATTTTATGCTCTTTTATGGTAATATATAACATATTTTTAATATATATATATGTTGGGCGCGGTGGCTCACACCTGTAATCCCAGCCTTTGGGAGGCCAAGGTGGGTGGATCACGAGGTCAGGAGTTCCAGACCAGCCTGGCCAATATGGTGAGACCCTGTCTCTACTAAAAATACAAAAACTAGCCAGGCGTGGTGGCACATGCCTGTAATCCTAGCTACTTGGGAGGCTGAGGCAGGAGAACTGCTTGAACCCGGGAGGTGGAGGTTGCAGTGAGCCAAGATCGCGCCATTGCACTCCAGCTCTAGGTGACAGAGCAAAACTCCGTCTCAGAAAAAAAATTAAAAAAATAAATAAAATATATACACATTTCATATATATATATATATATATATATATATATATATATATATAAAATGCATATATATGACTTTTTAAATGACTTTTTGGCTTTTTAGCCTCTCAGTTTATTGCACATGGATTAGGGTTGTGAAGAATGGACTTTCTCCACGATCTTGCATGTGGTTTTGGAATGTAATATAATGGATATGGTGGTTTTGGTTTTATTTGATTTCTGTAGTTGGTAAGGACTGAACTGTGTTCCCCAAAAATTTCATATTAAATTCTAATCCCAGTACTTCAGAATGTGACCGTATTTGAAGATATGGTCTTTAAAAGAGGATTCCGGTAAAATGCAGTCATTAGGGTAAGCCCTAATCCAGTATGACTGGTGTCCCTATAAGAAGAGGAAGTGACAAGGATACAGACACACACAAAAGGAAGACCATATGAAGACGCAGAGAGAAGATGGCATCTACAATATAAGGAGAGAGCCCTCAGAGGAAAACGACCCTCCGACACCTCTTTCATGGACTTCCAGCCTCCAGAAATAGGAGGAAAGAGTCTTTGTAGCACAACGCTCTCAGTCTGGTACTTTGCAATTGCAGCCCAAACAGACTCATCAGAAGCATATTCTTCACCTCCCTCATCCACCGTCTCTTTGTCACTGCAAATTCTGAGGGCTCTGGGACCTTTGTGGTTATAAGGGTTGATTATAACGTAATCATGGAGCTGTAGAATAGAGTAGGAAGCATTGCCTGCACTAACCACATCACCTCTCTACTCCCAGTTTTGGTTTCTTATACGTTAGGTGCTATTCAACAAGATTTATGTGGTTTGTCAGAGACCATGGCATAAACCTGGTCG
Organism: Homo sapiens; assembly: GCF_000001405.40. Classification (NCBI taxonomy): domain Eukaryota; kingdom Metazoa; phylum Chordata; class Mammalia; order Primates; family Hominidae; genus Homo; species Homo sapiens. Next base: position 12,867,799 of record NC_000017.11, on the reverse strand, counting down.
AATAGCATCTAATCTATAAGAAAAGTGTCCCAAGAGGGTTCTAATCACTCCTTCACATTATTTTCCTTGATATCTGTCATTGAAAAAAAGATTCCCTGGGTGGAGTTTATGTGTGACTCTGTGTAACGTGTAAGGATAGATTCCATGACTCCCAAAGTCTTTTGCCAGCCTAATGTTCTGGGTACTGTCCTTAAAGACAAACCTGTGATCAAGTCCAACAGAAAGTAGCTTGTAAATATAGGTCTCCAAGGTGCAAGTCTGTGATGCTGAAATGACAAAATATCCTGGTGCACAATTGTGACTTGCAAATTTCCCCTGGGAAGCCTGCCCCGCTTCCTGTAAGCAAGACTATGGAGACAATTCACTTTGGTGAGAGGACCAAGACAAGAAACAGGGACTTACTCTTTACATGCCTCCCACCCCTGGCATTTCTAGCAGGGCAGGGCTATGACGGACTCATAAAAAAGTTAGCTTGCTTGGAAGGCTGCTCTTCCCTGATCACCTCCGTGAGACAGGAGAAGAGTCCATGTCTAGATAAAACATTAATGTGAATGCTTTGTGGCCTCTCTTTTGGTATCCTTCCCCATCCCCCATAATCCTGCTGGAACTGTCAGTTGGTTCCTTCTTATAACTGTGACCTGTCATGTTTCCTTGTGAGTGACAGGTGAACATACTAGATCTCTCCTCTCACTTTCTGTAATTCCACATTCTTCATAAGTATGACTCAATCAATCTCCAAACCACACTGTTATAGAAGATCAGAATATGCTACCCTATAATATGCCACTTTGGATAAGGATTATTTTGAGCTGTAGGCAAATGAGAATCAACAAATGCAGAAAGAAGCCTTCTCAGAGGTCCCCTTATCTGGTCAAAAGCAGAAACTCCTGAGAAGTAAAGGCTGCCGTAAATCCCCTCTCTTGGGGAAGTTTTACGGACATGAAGAAGATGAAAAGTCAGCACCAAGACAGACCTGCACAAACACTGCTAAGATAGTATGAGTTTCCCCCACACATTTACCTTCCCAGGGTCTACAGCTCCTAGAAGACTAAAAACCTTTTCCCTTTGTCTTTTCACCTCTCTCTAAATTTATTCTTCTTTGCTAAGATGCTGTACAAGCCCAGGTTCCAATAACCCCTATGAATTACTCATCACTGAGTTTCTCTCTCCTGCATGTATACACACTGCACATGTTAATAAACTCTGTTTCTCTCTTGGTAATCTTTTGCCGGTCTAATTTCCAGGGCCCCGGCCAGAGATCTTAAGAGGGTAGATTTTTTTTTTCCTCTCTCTCTCTTACACTGTGAAGGCTTCTTAGCAGATATGCAGCCACACATGAAGTTAGGCAACTGTGGTCTAGGCTGATGCTGTGGGGTGCAAAGGCAGGGTGCTGATTATGTGTTTTGAGGTTAGAACTTACGGGTAAAACTCTTACAAGCAAAATAACCTCAATTCATTTAGGGTCAAAAATATTAAGGCAGACGATGAGATACAGATCTGTAAGTTGCCTTCTGAGGATCAGCTACCTCCCTGTTGTAGGGCAATTTACCCAGGAGATTAAAATCTCAATTCAATTCATACAGGAACTTCCAACCCCTAAAATCATAATTTAACTTCTTCTCTAATATATTAGTAAGAGATAATTCTGTCCTCCTATCCAGCTACTCTGCCTCCTCAGTCTTCTCCCCTGATCCATTAGAGGAAACATTTAGAACATGTTTACTTTTCCAGTGTCTTCCACCCCCAACTCCCACCCCACTCTTGAGTTTGGTTGAGATTTGACTTCAAGCTATTATTAGGGTTTTCACTTCCAGTTTGTCTTTGTCATTAAGTAATGACTTTGCTGCAACAGTCATTACTTTGTAATTAAGTAATGACTTCGCTGCAATAGTCATTACTTACGATACAGTATAAAGTCCTGGTAAAAATAATCTCATTTCCTTATACTAAATGACATATTCATCACAAGATTCACTGCTCACTACTGATTTCCTTTTTTTTTTTTTTTTCTTGAGATGAGTCTCGCTCTGTTGCCCAGGCTGGAGTGCAGTGGCACAATCTCGGCTCATTGCAAGCTCCGCCTCCCAGGTTCACGCCATTCTCCTGCCTCAGCCTCCCAAGTAGCTGGGACTATAGGTGCCCGCCACCACGCCCAGCTAATTTTTTGTATTTTTAGTAGAGACAGGGTTTCACCATGTTAGCCAGGATGGTCTGGATCTCCTGACCTCGTGATCCACCCTCCTCAGCCTCCCAAAGTGCTGGGATTACAGGCGTGAGCCACCGCACCCAGCCTCACTACTGATTTCTGACCTCTTACCTTTCGGCTTGTTGAGATTTCTACTGATGTTGACACTTTACCAATTGTTTTCCCCAGTGAAATTACACAAGTAATAAACTCTAGGCCATGATGCCCTTAATAAGTTACAAGAGTAATAAACTCCAAGGCCTTCATGTGTCAAACTTGCAAACAAAAAATGGTTATTGAGCTTGATGTAGAATTGTGTATTGCAATTTTTTTTTGTATAAATCATCTACAGATATTGTTCTATTGTCTTCTTCTACTTTCTAGGGCTGGTGATGAGAAATCTGGCACTAGTCTGATTCTTCTAATTCTGCCTCTCCAGATGCATAAAACTTTCTCTTTATCCATAAAATTCTAGGATTTCACCAGGAAATGTCTATACATGTAGTTTGAAATATTCATTCACCTTGCCTGACTTTTCAACTCAGAGAACTTTTCTTCTACTTTTATTTAACTATTATTCTTCTTCTCTCTAGCTCTTTTTCTCCTCGAGGCACTCTTGTTATTCATGTTAAGTCTAGTGAATCTGTCCTCCAAGTTTCGTATCTTTTTCCTCTACATGTCTCTAAGTGTCTTTATTCTATGGGAAAAAGAATTTCTTCCCCTTCATCTTTCAGAATAGTGATTATGTTCTTAGCAGTGATCTTCTTTTAGCACATCTGAAAAAAATAGTTTTTATATTGTGGAAACAATGCTTTTAGTTCCATACAGTCTTTTATTTTTTTGCATGCTAATTATCTTTCTTATTCCATTTTGTTAAAGTACTCTTCTCTCTCCTTATTCAGTTCTATTTCAATAGCTGCCATATTTTCTAGTTTAGAGTTTGTGCTCATAACTTCGTGTTACTAAGACTTCCTAAGCAAGCTGTGATGTTTCTCTGCCTAGTCACAGTCGTGTGATCCCTCAGTACTTGTACAGGTTAGATATTTGTGTTGAGTGGTAGAACAACAGCAGATGGTGGGAGATACAATTTCTTGTAGGCTGGTGTTGACGGAGTTAGGTGAGGCACTGGAAGAATACTAGATGCAAATACTCATCATGTCCTAATCACAAGGAGTAATTCAGACCTCCAGTTCAGCCTTCTCTGAATCTCTTGTGGTTGACGGTATCAAATAGCTCCTTCAAAACCAACAGTGGCTACCCTAAGCCTGAGGAGAGTAACACTCTGGCCTCTCAATTCACACCAGTTGCCAAAGAAGACAAGAAAAGAAAAATCATACACACAAATGAAAAACTAAGCTTAGCACTGTCGCATCTCTGGCCATTTTAGATGAAATCCCAGCCTCATTCACAATTGCCAGAGTAGTACTTCCAGCCCATATGACCACCAGAGTCTTGCTACCACTCCACCGAGAGGTGAAGTTTATTTCTAACCCCTTGAACCAGGGAAGGTCTTTTTGACTGCTTCATCAAATAAAATGTGACAGTAATGACATCCCAGGGTAGGTGACATGGATGCTCAGTCCTGGAACCCCACCACCATACTGTGAGGAAGTCCAAGCCACATGGCGTGGCCACATGAGGGTCTTTAGCCATCAGCTCCAGTTAAGGTCCCAGTTGATGGCCAGCACAGATGGACAGACAGGTGAGCGAACACAACTCCAAATGACACCAGCCCCAGCATTTAAGCCCATGTTGAATGCGAGAGAAATGGGTTGTTCTCTGAGCCCTGTCCAAATAGCAGATTCAAGAGGAAAACAAATATTGTTATTTTAAGCCACAAGTTTGGAGGTGGTATGTTGGAGAGCATTAGATAAGAATAGCCACCATTTTATTTGTCCCCTGTGCTATTCCCCAGAAGAAATCAGGGACATGGACTCAGACCAGCTTCTCCCTAGAATCCTTTAGGATTAATACTTGGATGCAGAATTTTCATATTGCTCAAGAATTTAGTATTGTCTCCAGGTCTCTCCTTGATCTTAGAAATGGGTTTAAAAAGATTCTAGAACTATCCACTTGTGAGAGGTAAAATGGGAGGAAATTGGCACAATAATTTTATTTTATAAAAATACACTTAGCAAAAGATGGCATGCTAAATATTATGTCAGTTCTCAGATTGAGACTCAAATATCTTGAGTTATCTCAGTGAATGACATTAGATTTTTTACACATTGTAGGGAAAAACAAACTTACATGAATTCACTAAACTAGGTCAAGGAATTTTAGAAATGTGGTATATAATAGGATTAGCAATCAGAAGTTCTTATTTCTCGTTGGGCTGTTTCCAAGCAGTCTATTCTCCAGTGAAGATGCTTAGCTTCTCCAGGTCTCAGTTCCCTCATCTGTTAAGTAAGGAAATTAGGTGCAATAACCTTTAAAAAAATTTTTTTAATTTTTTAAAATTATTTTAATTTTATTTATTTATTTATTTTCACAGAGACGAGGTCTCACTTTGTTGCCCAGGCTGGTCTCAAACTCCTGGGCCCAAGCGACCCTCCTGCCTCAGCCTCCCAAAGTGCTGGGATTATAGCCATGAGACATTGTGCTCGGCCTTTTTTTTTATTTTATTTTTTTAATAGACAGGGTCTCACTCTGTGGCCCAGGCTGGAGTGCAGTGGCACAATCATGGCTCACTGCAGCCTCAATCTCCCACCTCAGCCTTCTGAGTAGCTGGAACTACAGGTGTATACCACCACTCCCAGCTCATTTTTTTAAACTGTATTTTTATAGAGACAGGATCTCACTATGTTGTCCAGGCTGGTCTCGAACTCCTGGCTTCAAGTGATCCTGCCACCTCAGCCTCCCAAAGTACTGGGATTATAGGCCTGAGCCACTGCACCTGGCCCCAATCATCTTAAAAAGGATTCTACCAGCTCAGCCATCCCGTGCAAGTATAATGAACATTCATATGTAGATACCAAGAACACTCTGTACATCCAACCCCATCATTTCACAGATGAAAGACCTGGTAAGAACCTGAAAGATTATGATCCCTGGGAAAGAAAGAAGCAGAATTTCCAGTACTGGAACAATGTGCCACCATGACACTCTGTCTGTGGGTCATCAATGCAGATGTTTTTGATAAAAGGCTGCCCCCTATGCTCCAAAGGACAATGAAGGAGGAATTCATTTATGTTGTGCCTGCGTTACCAACTCAGGAGGAGGACACATGTAATGATGGTGGCAGTCAATTGATTGACTCAATGACTAAAACGTGCAAGGGTAGAGTTGGCCTTAGTGGCCCTAAGGACAACACTGAGACATGGTCTTGCTCCCCGTGTCTCTCAGGTCTGTTTTTCTTAAGGTTGACTCCATTCTTTGGCAGACTCTCCCCTCACAGATCCAAGGTGGCTGACAGCAGCTTCAGGTTGAAAGCCCATCTGCTCAGGAATCCCAAGGGACCCAGCCAAGGTCCCAGAGTTGAATCTCACTGACTGTAGTAGACAAAATAATGCCCCGCCTCCCAAAAGTCCACATCCTAATTCCCAGCACCCTGAATATGTTACCTTACATGGCAAAGGAGACTTTGAAGATGGTTCAGATAGACACTGAGATAAGCAGAGTCTGCAGATGATCCAGGTGGGTCCAGTGTCACCCATGGGTCCTTAATAGTGGAAGAGGAAGGCCAGCCACAGTGGCTTACTACTGTAATCCCAGCACTTTGGGAAGCTGAGGCGAGTGGATCATTTGGGGCCAGGAGTTCAAGACCAGCCTGGCCAACATGGCAAAACCCTGTCTCTACTAAAAATACAAAAACTAGCCAGGCGTGGTGGTGGGTACCTGTAGTCCCAGCTACTCGGGAGGCTGAGGCAGGAGAATCGCTTGAACCCAGGAGGCGGAGGTTGCAGTGAGCCGAGATTGCGCCACTGCACTCCAGCGACTGAGCAAGATTCCATCTCAAAAAAAAAAAAAAGTGGAAGAGGAGGCAGAAGAGGAATTCAGAGGGAGATGTGACCAAAGAAGGATCAGAGCGATGTGGTATGAGGACAGCACAACCCAGTGCTACTGGCTTTGAAGACGGCGGAAGGGGCCACAAGGCAAACAAAGTGGGCTGCCTCCAGAGAAACCTGAGAAGTCAGGGAAACTAATTCTCCCCTAGAGCCTCCAGAGAGCAGCAACATCCTGCTGCCATCTTGATTTTAGCCCAGTTAAGACCTGTGCCAGACTTCTGACCTCCAGAACTGTAAGATGATAAATTTGTGTTGTTTTAAAGTCACTAAGTTTGTGATAATTTATCATAGCAGGAATAGAAAAACAATATACCATGGCCAGGCACACGGTGGCTCACGCCTGTAACCCCACCCCTTTGGGAGGCCAAGGTAGGCAGATCGCTTGAGCTCAGGAGTTTGAGACCACCCCGGCCAACATGGCGGAACTCCACCTCTATAAACATACAAAAATTAGCCAGGTGCAGTGGCTCACGCCTGTAACCCCAACACTTTGGGAGGGCGAGGTGGGCAGATCATTTGAGTCCAGGAGTTCGAGACCAGCCTGGCCAACATGGTGAAACTCCATCTCTACAAAAATACAAAAGTTAGCTGGGCATGGTGGTGCGTACCTGTAGTCCCAGGTACTTAGGAGGCTGAGGCACAAGAATCACTTGAACCCTGGAGGTGGAGGTTGCAGTGAGTTGAGATCATACCACTGCACCAAGAGTGACAGAGCAAGACCTTGTCTCAAAAAAAAAAAAAAAAAAAAAAAGAATAGAAAAAAACCATATACCGATTGGTCCAATTTGATTCACCTGCTCTGCGTGAATCAATGATTTTGGCTAGACCCAAGTCACATCCCTTCCCTGAATCAAAGGGTGAAGTTAGTCCCACTTACACCACACGGCTCAAGAGTAGGGAAGGGATAGCTCCTTGAAGAAAACCAGGGGCTATAACCAGAGAAATGGGGAATGGAAAATAAGCAGGAAAATAAAAAAGATATCCAATCTATATGAGGACAAATGAGAGGGCCAGAAAAAACCCTGGATATATCAATAGATGTATCTGTAGATATTGTAGAGATAGAGCTTCACCATGTTGCCTAGCACTGGAAATGCTGGAGATAAAACTTAGGCTACTGATGACATTCCAACTTTGCTTCCCTCTGAAGGTCACAGCTTTTGAAGAAAGAGGAAACACCAATAAATGGAACAGCCAAAATCCATGGATAGAGGGTGCTATATAACAAGCCTGCACTTTCCAGACAGTTATCTGACAAGAGACAAGAGGGTATATCGCAAATGCTATTGTCAGGAGCCTTGTTGACCTTATAAGGAATTCTTTAAAGTATAAATTGAAGTGGGGAGGGAAGAATAGCTATATAAAACTGAACAGCTGGATAATGTCAATGTATTAATTATATTTTCCTACTTTCTATATTCTTGATGCTGTGGCATTTGGAGTCTGTGGACCAAAGAAACTGCCCCTCCCAGGATTAATTAATTCCTAGAGGTAACAAGTAACTCACTTGTGGGCATGCCTTTGATATGCCAACCAACTACTTGGAGTCCAGCCCTCCAGGAGTCTGCTTTTCTGCTAGGCAGTTCTTCTGCCCTAATCTCCACGGAGCCAGGTACAACTAGGGACCACCCCTATAGCCCAGAGCCTGCTTCATAGTAAATTTTTTTTTCATGAACCACAGAGATTTAAGCTTGACAGTGAACTTCTGCCACGTGTTGACTTTGCTTTGCCCACTCCTTTCGGTGTTAACTGCAATCAAGGCTAATGCGTGCAGCTCCCTCTTTCCGTGCCTGCTCATGTGGCTTTGGTGCTTTCCCGTGTGGCCCTGAATGGGCTCATGTGCTTACTGTTTCTTGGCGACTGCGAATGTAATAAAACACTTCTTCCTTCCTGGCAATCGTTTTTGCATCTGTGTGTATTATACCTGCTCCAAACAAGTCCTGGGTACATTTATAGAACAGCAAAAGATGGCAGATATGACTCAACAAGAATAACAATGAGACATCTCAGGAAATATTAAGAGAGAATAACAGAAGAGTCAGGAAACAATCTTTAGGCCCCAGCGCCAAACCAAAATGTGGGCAGTAAAGCAAACTCGAAATCTTAAGTGATGATGAGAAGATGGCTTTTCACACTGACTGATGGAGAAACGGGTTCATGCCAGGAAAAAGGGGGCAGATCTAGGACTTATAAAAGGCTCCTGTATTAGTTCCCTATGGCTGCCATAATGAAGTACCACATGCTAGGTGGCTTAAATAACAGAAATTTATTGCCACACAGTTTGGCAGCCCAGAAGTCTACATTCAAGGTGTCAGCAGGGTTGGTTCTTCCAAGGGCTGTGAGGGAGAATCTGTCCCAGGCCTCTCGCCTAGCTCGTGGTGGCTGCAAGCATTCCTTGGCTCGTAGATGGCATTCTCCTTATGTTGTCACGTCATCTTCTCACAGCACATGTCTGTCTCTGTGTCCAAATATCCCATTTTTATAAGGATCCACAGTCATATTGGATTAAAGCTGATATGGTCTGGCTGTGTCCCCACCCAAATCTCATCTTGAATTGTAGCTCCCATAATTCCCATTCACTGTGGGAGGGACCCAGTGGGAGAGAATTGAATCATGGGGGGCAGTTTTCCCTATACTGTTCTCGTGGTAGTAAGTCTCATGAGATCTGATGGTTTATAAGGGGTTTCCCCTTTCACTTGGCTCTCATTCTCTCTTGCCTGCCACCATGTAAGACGTGCCTTTCACCTTCCACCATGACTGTGAGGCCTCCCCAGCCATGTGGAACTGTGAGTCCACTAAACCTCTTTTTCTTTATAAATTATCCAGTCTTGGGTATGTCTTTATAAGCAGCATGAAAATGTACTAATACAAAGGCCCACTCTAATGGCCTCATCTCAATTTAGTCATCTGCACAGACCTTGTTTCCAAATAAGCTCACATCCACAGATACTGGGGGATTAGGTCCTCAACATCTTCTAGGGGAGATACAATTCAGCCCACAAACCTGTAAGAGCTTCCTATCCCTGGGAGTTATTTTTCTTTAGTTTATCCTAATTTGCCCCCTTTTGCTACTTTCAAGGTAAAACCCAAAATGCCCAGATAAGGCTGTGGACTTAAACTTTTTGAAAAGGGCCTGAGAAGGTTGATTTAGTCTGACCTCATGCTTACAGATACAAAAGAATCCTTGCACACCTGCAAGATCCAAGCCAATGTGGTCACAACTGCAGCCAGTAATCTGCAGACTTTCTTAATCATCCATCCCAGGTAACTGAGGTGACAGTGAGTAGGGGTGTGGTTGGAGGATTTTAGAGTCCACATGACTAACAGAGGGCAGGGTAGGTAAAGAAAGGGAAGGAGATGGGGTTGCTATATACACAGTTCCCATATTTGGCTGACCTGGGTGTCTTCAGAATAGCAGACGTGGTTGGAACTTTCCATTCACAGGATTTCTGTGCCCACACACTATGGACTAATACGTAGCCAAAGGCTTACTACAGACTTGGCATAAGACTTAGTCCTGTTCTTCCTTCCAACTGCGAGTAAATGCTGGTATCTCAAAATATACATATACAAGAACCTACTGGGTTCCTTGCACAAGAGTATCAGTGGTAAGGGGATGAGCAGGATTAGTGGCAGCCAATCCTCAAGCCACTAATAGTGGCTAAGGTGGTCTAGCTTATTAGTGATCCAAGTCCCCAAAAGCAGATCTTGTCCCAAATCAGACATAATCTTTAGCAACACCTAGTGATATCTGCTAACTAAATCTGCAAGTCCCCTTTGGAATGGGGCAGGATATAAATAAATAAATAAATAAATAAATAAATAAATAAATAAATAAATAACATGGGCAACCGAAGCAATAAAGTTTGTGGTGGTTGGGGTATCCTGTTATGGAAAATACGGTCACTAGTCATTTCCTATAAAAGACATCTAGCTCCAAGCTATTCTACCATAATAGAATAACTTCACCAGGACAACTGCATGGGAAGGCCATCTTTTTCTTCCCCAACTTTCATGTGCTGGAAACTTAATTCCCAAATTCATTATGTTGATTGGAGGTGGGGCCTTTGGGAGATAATTAGGACTAGATAAGGTCATCAGGATGGGGCTCCCATGATAGGACTGGTGGCTTTATAAGATGAGGAAGAGTGTCTTGAGCTGACATGCACACTCTTGCTCTCTTGCATGTAACACCCTCTGCCATGTTATGACACAGCATGAAGGGCCTCACCAGATGCTAGTTCCATGCTCTTAGACTTCCCAGCCTCCAGAACCATGAGCTAAATCAACCTCTATTCTTTATAAATTACCCTCTTTATTCTTTATAAAATACCCAGTCTGTGGTGTTCAGTTAAAGCAACAGAAAATGAACTAACGCAGACCTCATCAGCCACTTCGGCCTAAGCAGGAAGGATTTAACCAGATCCTTGCACATGAACAAGCACCCAGGAGAAGGAGATGAAAGTGGATTGCCAGGGACTTGGAACAGAGGTCTGTATGATGATTAATGGCTTTGCACTAATTAGCAACATGTCATTGAGGTTTAAAGTGCTGAGGCAATTTATATATATCTAAAATGTGGCAAGAGGTGGGAAGAGAGAAATTTTGCTTGAAAAAAGTATGTTCATTATACTTCTAATGACATATTATTTTCAGAATACAAACTACAGAAAGTAAATCTCAAAATGTGGGAAAGGACAGGGATACACAGAAAGAGCAACAAGAATGCATTATCATGATCAGGGTCTTTATTCATTAGAAAGCACCAAAACAAACATTAAGCTTTCACTAAGCATCAGATTGTTAAAGCTCGACATTCATTTAACTTTCACAACAACCCCTGAGGTCAGGACTATTAATAACATCATATTATTGATGGGGAAATTGAGGTTTTGGCAAGCTTACAAAACTTGTCCAAGGTCACAAAGCTTGGAGAAGCAGATTAGGAACCCAGTCTGACCTCAGAGGTCACTTTCATAACCCGTATGTTATAACAGCCTTTCAAAAGTTTAGAAATGCAGGCAATCCCCAAATAAAAACTTCTATGGGGAAAGATAGTGAGGACAGGCATGCAAAAATAAACTTCCCTTATTTCACAATTGCCTAGGGCCAACTTCCGATATTTTCCTACATATAGTCATACTGCTTTTAAAAAATAGTAGAAAATTATTGCTCTAAGCCTACCTGTAGGGAAGCAGAGAAGAAGGGTATTTATCTGCCATGCTCAACAGACTTGAGATTCATCTGCCCTAAAACCTCTGGAAGCAGCCACCCCAGAGACAATGTGACAACTCTCATCCCTGAAGCCAGAGTTGATTGAACAAGGTAGGATGCACAGTTTACTAGATTCCCCTGGGATTTTAAAATAGGAGAGGACAGTTAGTGGGGCTAGACCTGTAAGGGCCAGTGGCTTCAATGGACCATCTACAGAAAAATCTACAGGAATACAGGTGGTGAGGACAGAAAGACAGAAGAAAATAGGAGATGTGGCCCCTCAGCTATGGAGAAGCCTTGGCTCCCAACAGTGGTTTATCTCCCATTGCGGGGATACCGGCTATCATTAGGGTGTAGCATCACTAAGAATGTCTACTGCTGAGTCCTTTTAAGAAGCTTACTTTTTCTTAAAGCAGATTGAGGGTTTTGTGTTGTTTTGCCTTTTGCAATCCAGGGCCTTACCTGGAGCTCGACCACAAGCATGACTTTTTTATCCAGACACCCTGCCCAACGCATTTCAAAGCCTTATATCCACACTGTCTCTGTTATTTTTGTTTCTGTGTTACAATAACATCTTCCATTTAGTGCCAGAGCTCTGCTAGACACTTCATCACACAAGTGTTTCTCAAATCTTCAACATTAATCGCTCACTTAATTGGACTTCTGTAGACAGACACTCAATTTTAGACAAATTTTAATAAACAGTCCAAAGAAGTATGGGAATTGGGAATAAATATAACTGGGTCCATTGGTTATTCAATAAATAGTTTTGGGGCAATTGGATATCCATTTGGATATGTTCCATTACTCTGACCACCCACCCAGAAAAATAAATAGGAAATGAATTAAATTAGTTGTAAAAAAAAATAAAATGCTGAAAAAAACATCAGGGGAAGAAAATGAAGATAATGTAGAATCTTATGGTGAGAAAGGCCTTCCCAAGCAGGACTCCAAATTTAGAAATTGTAATGAAAAAAAGAAAGACTTCCTGACACAATTTTCTTACATTGCTACAAGATAAATGGTATTATAATAAATGACAAACAATAGACTGGAAGAAAATATTTGCAACTTACACAACAAAGGACTAATTTCTCTTTGCAAAGGTCCATTGTAGGGTTTATTTGTTTGTTTGTTTATTTATTTATTATCTTTAGAGATGGGGGTCTCACTATGTTGCCCAGGTTGGTCTTGAACTCCTGGCCCCAGAGATCTTCCTCTGGCAGGGTTTATAAAGCTCGAGGTGAAATATGAAAGAACAATGCTGAGCAGATTTCTTTTACCCACCCAGTGTGCAAGGTGGTCTTCTACTGCTGAACACCTAAAGTAATCCTAAAGCCTCCCCTTCCTGTCCTTTCTATATATATCTATATACATATACAGACATGTGTGGACATAGAGACACTGCTTCTTTTTTTTTTTTTTTTTTTTTTTTGAGACAGAGTTTTGCTCTTGTTGCCCAGGCTGGAGTACAATGGCATGATCTCGGCTCACCGCAACCTCCGCCTCCTGGGTTCAAGCGATTCTGCGGCCTCGGCCTCCCAAGTAGCTGAGATTACAGGCATGCGCCACCACGCCTGGCTAATTTTGTATTTTTAGTAGAGACGAGGTTTCTCCATGTTGGTCAGACTGGTCTCGAGCTCCCAACCTAAGGTGATCCGCCCGCCTCAGCCTTCCAAAGTGCTGGGATTACAGGCATGAGCCACCGCGCTCAGCCAAGACACTGTTTCTTTTTGGCATAACGGGTTCATATCCTCTGCACTGTTCTGTGACCTGATGTCTTCCATAGAGCATGTCTCAGAGATCTTTCTATGCATCTACTTGTAGGTCCACCTCACTTTCTTTATTAGTTGTGTCAGAAACCACTAACTGTATCATCATTCTTTTATCTTCTCCAGTGGACATTTGTTTCCAGTGGTTCACTGTTGTAAATGATGTACCCATCAACATCTTACACATTAATCTTTCTGCATACCTGTCATAATATTGTCAAAGGGGGGAAAAATGGTTAGAAACTCTCTCTATATGATATCATTCTAACTTAGTTCAGGGGTATGGTACGCTTTGGGGAAAAAAAGACCACAACAGATCAGGCCACTCTCAGTACAAGCCAACCTTATGCCATCCCTGTTCATAAGTAGCTAGCAGTGCTAATTCTCCCTGCTTGGTGTGCCTACAGAAGCTGTTTGAAACTGCAGTTTTCTTCCTGCACCCTCCTGTGCCATCTCCATCTGGACTGAGGTCATCTGGGAAGGGCTCTTGCAAGGCTACTCATCACCACCAGGAGACACGGCACTTGTTTCTAAATCCAGCCTCCTCCCCACCTGCCTTTTGTTCTGCCAAGCCACAAGGCAGCCTGCCTTGGGGAGACTGAGGCATGCCTGCTACAGCTGAGAAGGAATCAACAGGAAATAAGGTGAGAAATCAGGTCTGCGGGAACAGAATGAGCTGGGGCCAGAACACATGGAAATGGGGAATTGGGACAAGAGGCAGATTAGAAGCCAGGCAGAGGTAAATGAAGAGTCCACTAGGAAGAAGGGAAAAGGAAGGGCAGGAGACAGAATGCTCCAGAAGCTGAAGTGGAAATCAGAAATTGTCAGGAAGTGAAGGTGGCAAAGCAGGTGTGTAGAACAGGTTTGCAACCATGTAACAAAAGCCGCCCTGATAACAGAGAAAATGCGAGTTAACTCTGTCATGTCTTGAAGAATTTTATCTACAGTGGATTTGGGTAGTTGAGAACATCTAGCTGACATGAAGGACTGAACAGTCAGTGATAAAAACAGTTTCTGATAGGACGCCTCGCTCCTGCCCCAGTGCCTCCAGCTCCCTCATTCTTGCTGTCCTCACATTTACCTTTCTGTCCTCTGTGACTGCCAAACCTTTCTTGCAAACGATTCACCTCTGCCTTCTCGATGTTCATTCATTCTATTTTTTGTTTTCTCCACTCTACTCTAGCAGTACATGTTTTGTCCCCACCTCCTTCTGTAGATCAGGGGCTCTGGGACGTGGGCATTTCATGACACGTTTCGGTCCTTCAGTGTCTAATATGCTATAAATGTAGATGATGCCTCAAAATACTTCCTAAGTGAAGTACTGTGATGGTTAATATTGAGTGATATTTGCTGAGTCTTCTGGCCTCCATCCTTCTCCCGTGCTGGAGGCTTCCTGCCCTCGAACATCAGACTCCAAGTTCTTCAGCTTTTGGACTGCTGGACCTAGACCAGTGGTTTGCCAGGGGCTCTCAGGCCTTTGGCCACAGAGTGAAGGCTGTATTCGGGACTCAGACTGGCTTCCTTGCTCCTTAGCTTGCAGACAGCCTATTGTGGGACTTCACCTTGTGATCACGTGAGTTGATACTCCCTAATAAACTTCCTTTCATATATACATCTATCCTATCAGTCCTGTCCCTCTAGAGAACCCTGTCACAAATACCGTTCCTCACACTTCGAATATCTTGCTCTTATGTTCCTCTTTAAAAAATCCACCTGACCATGCAATCTATACTAATTTCTCCCTCAAAAAACAAAACAACTTTTTTTAAACACAGCAAACAAGCCAGGCACAGTGGCTCACGCCTGTAATCCCAGCACTTTGGGAAGCCGAGGTGGGCGGATCACAAGGTCAGGAGATCAAGACCATTCTGGCTAACATGGTGAAACCCCGTCTCTACTAAAAATACGAAAAATTAGCCGGGCGTGGTGGCAGGCACCTGTAGTCCCAGCTACTCAGGAGGCTGAGGCAGGAGAACGGCGTGAACCCAGGAGGTGGAGCTTGCAGTGAGCCGAGATTGCACCACTGCACTCCAGCCTGGGCAACAGAGCAAGATGCCATCAAAAAAAAAAAAACACAGCAAACAAACCAAAGAGAATAGAAAACAAGAAATATATGTATATTTTCATATAAATACAAAAGATATAAGCAATAGAGGGATTTAATGAAAACTAATAGAGGTTCTTCAAAAAAACATAAAATAGACAAGCCCCTGGGAAAACTAATCAAGAAAAACCAAACAAAGGCACAAATGACAAGTACTGGAAACGAAAACGAAGAGTTTTTTGGTTTAAATCTCCAGAAACATAAAAATTGCTCAAACTGACCAAAAAAAAAAAAAAAAAAGCTTCAAAAGTGAAGATTTAGTGGTGAAATGTGTTTAATCAGCATTTAAAATCTATCCCACACAAAACCACCCTCCCTATCGTTTTGCCTAATCTTAGGGGAGGGTGGTTTTGTGTGGGATAGACTTTAACCTTATTTGAACCTTATCTGATAAGGTTCAGATAGCCTTGCAGGCAAGCTTTGCACCCAGACAAGGAACAAATGGGTCATTTCAGCCTCATCCACTCAAATGACTCCAAGAACCCTTGAGGTGGAGCTCAATTCATTCCTAAACCCTTCAAACCAGAGCGAAATAAAGACAGCACAAGGAAATCAATAGGACAAGCTCATTTTTATACCAACTGATTTTCAGCAGAGCACACTAACATTCCACCAAACGATTATATTCCCTGGCCTCCTTTCGACTCAGATGCGGCCATCGTCTCTATTTTGGGCCGATGAGATGAACACAAAAGCGTTCATGACTTGATTTCTGGAAAGTCTTCCTCAGTTAGGGGAGTGGAGACACAGCCTCTTCCTTCTCCTATTTAGAAAGTAAAGACAGGCCAGGCGCAGTGGCTCACGCCTGTAATCCCAGCACTTTGGGAGGCCGAGGCAGGTGGATCACCTGAGGTCAGGAGTTCGAGACCAGCCATGACTAACATGGTGAAACCGTTTCTCTACTAAAAATACCAACTTAGCTGGGCGTGGTGGCGCATGCCTGTAATCCCAGCTACAACCGGACGGAGGTTGTGGTGAGCCGAGATCACGCCATTGTACTCCAGCCTGGGCAACAAGAGCAAAACTCCATCTCAAGAGAAAAAAAAAAGAAGAGAAAGTAAAGATAATGGCCCATGTGTCATGGAGCAGTGAGGGAGAAGGAGGGTGTGATGACAGTGGGTCCTCGACGGCAAGCACAGCTTTCCTACCTTTTAGACTTCTCTGTAAATGAAAAATAAGCCTCTGATTTTTTTCAAGACTTCTATTTGGTTTACAGCTGTACAGTTTGGGATGTTCCTATTATAACCAACTCAAGCTAATTCCAACGGACAGAGACTGGGCCAACTGCACGTGGGAGATGCAGGGAGAGGCCACAGCGGAGGTGCCAGCCTTTACGTGGGCAGGCCACATGGCTGACAGGCAGGACCCGGGGAATAAACACTGCTACGTCTGATGCTGACAAAGCTGTTCCAAGTCACATTCTGCTGATGCTTGAGGAGCACAGAACCACAAATTTAAAGCTGAAACGGACTCTACAGATCATAGCATCTTATTCTCATTTTACCAATGAGGACAGCAGAAATGACTCCCAAAAGTTGACCCACTGTTCAAAGTCAACGTGGGAAGTACAGTCCAGGTCTGTGATGTTCTTGTGGGTCCTAGCCTGCCTGTTATATGCATGACACTCAGTGATTCCAAGAGGCTTCTATCCTCAGCCAGGTCCTCATTCATTCATTCACCAAATACTTACTGAGCACCTGCTACGTACCAGGAACTGACCTAGGCCCTAGAGGCACAGCAGTGAACACAAAATACCTGTGCTTGTTAAGGTTTTGGGGCACGAGTCTTGGCAGTCTATGTGGACCCAGGTAGACGAGGATCAATCCTGGTGACTCCAGGTGGACATCAGCGGGAGATCAGGCTGTGAGTGCTGGTGCCAAGGGAATGGAAAAAGGAGGGTGAGACTCTCTTTCTGGAGCCCCTGGGCCCTCTCTCCACTCCACCCCATGGTGATGTGGAGGCCAATGGAGAGGTGAACTTTGCCAGAGCAAGAGAAAGCCCTTGACATCCCCATGACCCCTGCCCATGGACATGTGGGCTCAGGGACTACCCAGTCTTGGTCACTGCACCCAAGAAGGCAAAGGATCCCTTATGAGCCAATGAAACTGAGTAAGGCAATCGCAATTTCTTAAAAAATGGTGCTCTGCTCTTTGTCCTCTTGTTGATTGTAAAGTGAGGTCCCATTAATGCGTAAAGAAAGGCAGTGGAAAGCAACTGGCTATACACCATTTTGTGACTATGAAAGTCTGACTTGGCCCCAGGTCCTTATCAGCCAGCTGTGGGTTGAATCCTGAGCAACTTCCTTCATCAGTCTACACTTTCACATCCTTGTCTATTAAATGGAGCTGGTTGGAAAATGTTCTCTGAGTTTCCTCGGCTCTAATATTTGATCATTTTCTAGGTATACTTGAGCTATCCTTTGACAAGTCTTTATATGTCAGTGACATTCAACTTCAGCAATGCTTATCATCTTCCAACCTAGCAGGCCAAAGAGAACCTGCTGCCCTTAAAGTGAAGCATAAGGGAAATCTGAATGCTCTTTTATGGGCTATTTTTCGGTCTTGGATGAAATGAACATTTCAATGACAAACAAACTGAATCATCCCAGCATCACAGAATCGCTCACTCGAACAAACACTTCCTGGACAACCATGCCACACTCAGTCATCCAGCATTAAATGTGGCCTGAAAAAAGAAAGCAAAGTTATAAATAAGAAAATGCTACCTATTTTTTTATGACACATGCCATCCTATTTTCGGACCCAAAAGGAATTAGGATTTTAGAAAGCCAATAATTTGCGGATGCTGTTCAACTTTATTATCAGAATCTGTTAAGAACTAAGTTTGGGCAATTCCTACTGTTGAGCAACAGCAGGATGCTTTGGGATCAGACACATCCAAGGTGAAAACGCTGAAGCCAAGCAAAAAAAAAAAAAAAAAAAAAAAAAAGGACAAAAGTAGGAAGGAAAGACTAGGTTGCTGCACTAATGTCAGAAGCAGAGAGATTTGGTTCCAGGGAACAACCACAATTCAAACCAGAAACAGAAAATCGGATTCAGGTGAACAAGCCCAGCCACAAGGTTACAAACACATGTTAAGGAGTGTCAAGCATTCAAAATACCAGGCACAAACTCACAGATTGGTACGGGTCAGGCTGGAAAGTTGGGTGATGAATAGAACAGATGAAGAGGAACAGGGATAGGTTAAATGTTGGCTTCACCCAGCGCTTTTCATAGAATCTGAAAACAGCCTTATACAGAATATGAAAAATCTGTGTGTGTGCGCACACACACACACACACACGCCCACCTCAGTTTAAGATCTCTGGCGTGCAGACCCTAGAAAAAACTCATTCTCATTATAACATAATGGATACATTTTGAATGGTCTCTGCGACTAGAAATTTGAATGCTCTTTTGTGGGCTAGGATCTGAATGCTAGAATCTAGTCAACTTTTTTTTTTTTTTTTGAGATGGAGTTTTGCTCTTGTTGCCCAGGCTGGAGTGCAATGGCACCATCTCAGCTCACTGCAACCTCCACCTCCCAAGTTCAAGCAATTCTCCTGCCTCAGCCTCCCGAGTAGCTGGGATTACAGGCATGCGCCACCACGCCTGGCTAATTTTGTATTTTTTTAGTAGAGACGGGGTTTCTCCATGTTGGTCAGGCTGGTCTCGAACTCCTGACTTCTGGTGATCCGCCCACCTTGGCCTCCCAAAGTGCTGGATTACAGGCATGAGCCACCGTGCCCAGCCTCAACATTTCTTTTGATTAACATGTATTTAGTTCCTTCCAGGAATGTATGATACTGTCCAAAAAGAAAGAGTCCCTGCACTCAAGGAGCTGAGTCTAGTAAAGAAGATGAAGCCAATGAGGGATTTCAGAGGTGTACAAGCACCCTGGCAGAGGGCTATAAAATTATTAACAGAGAATTTGGTAAGCCATTTCCAGAAGTATTTTCTGACTTTAAAAAAAATCACGGGTTTTGGCATGAATTAGAGGAAAAACATATTAGCAGGAATACTTCAAAGGATACTCATATTTCATACCCAATCAACAAATTTAATAAAAAGTGAGAAATGAGTGGGTCGATGCTGACAATGTGGCTTGAGGTGGCACATGGTGTTATCATGCAGAATTAACAAATCGTTTTAAAGTCTGAATATCTATCTACACCCGAAAAGGCAGTAAAGGAGATCCCAGGAGAGATGGCATTTTTTCGGGAAAAAAAATGGCACTTCTACCCTTTGAGTCAAAGATATTATTAATATTTAAGACAAAGATTCTATGCTATACTTCATCAAGTAAGTTGAACACGAGTTCTCACATTTTCCATTCTATTCTTATGGAAAGTAGCAAGTCATAAGAAACAGTCTGATATCTGTCTCTATTCAACATCGCATTCTAAGTAACACTTGTCCAGTTGTTTGAGCACCTCAATGCTATCTATATCTATAGAACAGAAACACCTCTGCTCCAAAGAGAAATGTGTTTTCCTGAAAAACGACACATTAGGCAAAAGTGCACACTAATAATAACAAGGCTCATGAGAAAGACAGGGTTGGGGCAAGCCTATACAATACTGTTAGGACAGCATTAACACAAGCAATAGCAATTCTAACAAAGACACGGGCACAGCTGCAAAGCCACAGAAAACCTAATTTACTTTTTGAAAAATAGAGTTAAACTGGGTCTCTACCTTTAAAAAGAGTGATGGGCCGGGCGCGGTGGCTCACGCCTGTAATCCCAGCACTTTGGGAGGCCGAGGCGGGCGGATCACGAGGTCAGAAGATCGAGACCACGGTGAAACCCCGTCTCTACTAAAAATACAAAAAAAAAATTAGCCGGGCGCAGTGGCAGGCACCTGTAGTCCCAGCTACTGGGGAGGCTGAGGCAGGAGAATGGCGTGAACCCAGGAGGCGGAGCTTGCAGTGAGCCGAGATCGCACCACTGCACTCCAGCCTGGGCGACAGAGGGAGACTCCGTCTCAAAAAAAAAAAAAAAAAAAGAGTGATGGTAGCTTGAAGGAAGGTGTAGGGGAGGGCTGAGGCTACGAAGTTACGGAGGTAAGAACAAAATGCACAAAGATCAAAGAGAACCCTCTCCCCGAATCTCTCCCACCCCAAGAACCTCCAAGACAAAGCATCATAAATGGTAGCTTATTCCTCCACACCTCATGAGTTCAGCTATATTAGTTTCATTTTCCTGCAGCTCCAGTTACTTGGTAAAATAAAGCATTAACATACTGGGGAAACTGTTTGAAACAATGTAACCTCCACTTTGTAGAGACATAGTTCCTCCATTTGCCAATCATGTGTGGCCCAATCAGCAACGCAAAACACATTTTGTAGCAAATCAGCCTATACTGCTATGCCTAATTATTATTTTAAAGAACTTAACCTATCAAATTAGGAAAATCAATTTGTGCTACATTATGCTGAGTTAATGACAGGTAAAAATGATGTAATTCAGAAGAGGTGGAAACACAGTTAACCCAAGCTGCCACTTCAACGACGCTGTCTGCACTGCGTTACTTAGTGGGTTAACCTTAAATGACCTAAAAATGCCATAATAGAGAATTCTAAGCTCCACTCCAGCACCACAAAAGTTTTCCTCTGTATAAGAGATTATTTAAAACTATTTTGCAGCATAAGTCAATATGATTGCTGTGCACGCAAAATGAAATTCAACTGCCTAAAGGAACTAAATAAACAATAAAAGGATTCCACAGTTGAAGTAACTGTCAATAGTCTGTGGTCCTGTTTTTCATTCATTCTGTTTTTTGCTCATATATTTACGTCATGAATGACAGCATGAGAGATGTCCTGGCATTTGAAGATGTCTCAGGTTTTCAAGATAACCAAAAACACTGTGAAAGTAATTTTCATTCCTACTTCTTTGACAGATGTTTATCTAGTCTCAAATTATTATGTATTCAGTATAAAATGTTTTTCCATAGGGGACTAGTTAAATACATTACAATGTATCAGTGTAATGAAATACGACACAATCATTTTAAAAAGCACAACACACCTACATGGGCTAATAAATGTATTTATGTACAGAAGTATAAGTATGTACAGCATGTGTCTATGTTTTTCAAAAGGAAGAGGGTACACACACACAAACAGATGCGTGCACAGCTGTGCATCCATTGTAACTGTTAATAGATGGGGGCTGCCTATGGCACAGGGGGCCTGGGAGATCCAGGGTTGGGGAAATGCTTATACTTTAAATTTACACTGTTAAAAAAAAAGTTAACATGTTTATGAATTTGTTTTCCAACTTAAAATAGTTGATAAATTATTGACAGAAATCTTTAGTAGATTTTAATTCCTAAGTGGATCACAGTCTGCATTACATTACTGAAGCCCTCGAATATACTTAAATTTATCCATTTGCCAGCTGTATTTTTTTTTTTTCCTGGAAACCACCCTCCTCACTATATCACCTTCCTCATAACGGTGAAAAACAGAGTTTAAAAACAAGGTCAAAGTTCTCACTCACCTATTTTTAGATATGTTTTCCTAAATAGATTTTTTAATACCGGAACCCTGTCTTATGTGTACTTCCTACCACCAATGGAACCTCAGATCTTACACAATATACAGAGATGGGCTTCATAGCTTACCCAGAATAGGTATTCCACTGAAATTTGCTCAACTGAAGGGAGAGCTTCTGTGGATTTCTTGAGTTACAGTGCACGTGTGTGTGTTGTAAATATCTGGCAAAGGCAGTTGTTAGTACAGTTACATTATAAATTAAAATGTCACAAATGGTGGGATACTCAACCAATTCCAGCCTTCCCAGGTATGGATAAATGTCCTACAACTCAGTAAGATAGTTAGATGAAGCATGAACCAATTTAGTTAATAGAAACCAAGAGCCTACTATGCGCAAAGATTTACAGGTACAGAGAATAAAATGAGAAGCAAGACAGATAAGGTCCTTGTCTTTATGGGTTTAGGTTCTAAAAGAAAGAAAGAGTTGTTTTTTTGTTTTTTTTTTTTTTTTGAGACGGAGTCTTGCTTTGTCACCAGGCTGGAGTGCAATGGCGCGATCTCGGCTCACTGCAACCTCCGCCTCCCGATTTCAAGCAATTCTCCTGCCTCAGCCTCCCGAGTAGCTGAGATTACAGGCACCTGCCACCACTCCCAGCTAATTTTTGTATTTTTAGTAGAGATGGGGTTTCACCATGTTGGCCAGGCTGGTCTCGATCTCTTGATCTTGTGATCCACCCACCTCAGCCTCCCAAAGTGCTGGGATTATAAACGTGAGCCACCGCACCCAGCCGAGATGATTTTTTTTAAAGTAAATGAACACACAGAATGTCATAAAGTGACAAATACTATGAAGACCAGAACACTAGGTCATAGGATAGAGTAACTCAGAGAAGTGGAGGATGGGGAATAGGAGGGTGTTCAGGAAGGTTTCTTTAGTTGGCAATCTTCTATAAACCCTCCAAGATTCAGAATTGAACAGAGGCTCCCAATACTGATGACAGAGTCAGACTAGAATGAAGGGACTAAATCTGAGCCTAACTCTCGGCAAATGTGGCCATCAATTTAGTTTTGTTTGATTCTTGGCAAATGCTATAAAAGTACACGTCAGTTCTGCTTCCGATAACAGCATAGTATCTCTTATCAGACCAATCTTCGACAGATAACCATAAAGCCTGGCCCAAATACACAAAAAACTGCTTGCAGACATTGGAGAATATACAAATGCAGGCAAAAAATAAATAAATAAAAATAAAAATAAATAAAAACATGAAAAATTCAACACTTGGAAGAAGAAAATGAAAATGAGTGAGTTTTTCATTATCCAGCTTTTTGCTTAAGGACAAGACATATTCTACACCATGAAGGGGAGCTAAAACTTAGTATGTATGTATCATCAGTGTTACTGTCTTAAAGAACCAGAGAACAGAGTTTGAAGCTACCCTAGAAGCTGAAAGGTGAGTGCTATGATTTGAATGTGTCCCCCATAGTTAATGCATTGGAAACTTAATCCCCAAGACAACAGTGTTGAAAGGTGGGGCCTAGTAAGAGGTGACTGGGTCATGAGGGCAGAGTTCTCGTGAACGAATTAACGTTGTTATTGCGGTAGCAGGTTAGTTATCACAAGAGTCTGTTGCTATATTGTGAGTGCAGCCCCTGGTGCCTGTGTCTCATGTGCTTACTTCCCCTTCCGCCATGTTATGATGCAGCAAGAAGGCTCTCACTGAAGCTGGTGCCAGGCTCTCAGACTTGCCAGCCTCCAGAAACACGAGCCAAATAATCATCTGTTCTTTATAAGTTACCCGGTCTCTGGTATTCTGTCACAGCAACAGAAAACAGCCTAAGAGAAAAAGATGAGTGAGCTCTACGGCATAGCGGCCCCCAATCTACACGTAAACTTTCCAGATTTCTTGCTGACTCCTGAACTATGCATGCACAGAGCAGACTCCAAAGAGTCCACGTAAGGCTAAAAAACTAAACAGAAATTTTCAGCTGCTACCCACTGAGGGAAGACAGAGTTTTGAGTTTGAGCTCAGTCAAGACTTACTACTAAAACAAAAAGTAGGCCAGGCATGGTGGCTCATGCCTGTAATCCCAGTACTTTGGAAGGTCAAGGTGGGTGGATCACTTGAGGTCAAGAGATTGAGAGCATCCTGGCCAACACGGTGAAACCCCCGAATCTACTAAAAACACAAAAATTAGCCAGGCATGGTGGCACGTGCCTGTAATCCCAGCTACTTGGGAGGCTGAGCCGGGAGAATCACTTGAACCTGGGTGGTGGTGGTTGCAGTGAGCAGAGATCACGCCATTGCACTCCAGCCTGGGTGACAGACGAAACTCCATCTCAAAAAAAAAAAAAAAAAAAAAAAGTAACCAATACTTATGGGAGAATGTAATAGCATCCACAGTTTCTAGAATGGGTCATTCCCAACAGTCAGGATATAAACCAAAATTACTAGACATAAGAAACAGGAAAACACGATGCAAATCAAGAGAAAAGTTAATCAATTGAGATCAACCAAAAGATGAACGAGGTGCCAAAATCAGCAGATAAGAATTTTAGGGCAGCTGTCTAAAACCATGCTTAAAGATACAAAGGGAAAAAAAAATGCTTACAATGAATGAACAGATAGCAACTCTCAACAGACAACAGGGCCTATGGCAGATGATACCATAGATCTGAAGAGAACCGTGGTGAGATCCACTGAGGTCAATTAAGGTAGCTAGGTACAGATGGTTTCCTGAGATGGGGAGGTGGGGGGAGAAACAGAGGGAGGCAGGGAGAAGGTTTAGCATTAGAAAGAGTTCAGGACGCCTTAAGGCCAGCCAACTGCCAGCATAACCTCTCTTAAGCAGCTGCAATAATAGGGCAGAAGGGACATTTGGATGTTCTCTGTCACAGGCACAGCATTTATTTACACAAGGCTTCCACCATAGGCCGTTGCTGACAATGTGGGGGCTAAGGTCAGAGAGGAGAGCTATATGAATGGGATTAATAGAAAACTACCCTCTCCCAGCCTCAGCATATAAGGATGGCCGCTTCAGCAAAGCCTTGGAGTTAGGAGAATATACTGACCTTCTGCACCTAGAGGTGACAGGAGTGACCAGGAGCCTGCGTGGCTTGAGGGATGATGTGTGTTACCCAGAGTGTTAAATGGGCTATTTCCACATACCACCTGACTCTGTACCATCACATGCTAACAGTTTAATACACATTAATTCCCACTTCCTGCTACTCTTGGGACAATTATTTTTCTAAACCTGTTCTAAGGGTTTTCCCTGTTTTTCTGTCTTCAGGATACACAGTCGGGGTTTAGTCAACATCACATGCTAGCAGCTAGGCAAGTTGTTCTCAAAGTATAGTCCCCAACCTCCAGCATTAGAACACCTGGAAATTTATTAGGAATGCAATTTACTGGGCCACACTCCAGACCTACTGAATCACAAACTCTAGGGGTGGAGTCCTCCAGGTGGTTCTGATGCAAATGAAAGTTGGAGAACCACGGTTTCACATCAGCCTTCTCAACCTCAGCAGGATGCTTGGATAACCTGGGATGATTTTTTTCTTTTCTTTTCTTTTTTCTTTCTTTTTTTTTTTTTTTTTTTGAGATGGTCTCGCTCTGTCACCCAGGCTGGAGTGCAGTGGCATGATCATGGCTCACCACAGCCTCGACCTCCTGGTCTCAAGCAATCCTGCCATCTTAGCCTCCTGAGTAGCTAGGACTACAGGTGTGTGCCACCACATCCAGCTAATTGTTTGATACATATATTTTTTATAGATGGGGTCTCACTATGTTGCTCAGGCTAGTCTTAAACTCCTGGCCTCAAGTGATCCTCCTGTCTCAGCCCTGGAAAGACTTTTTTTTTTTTTTAAACCCAGTGGCCAGGTGTGTCGCAGACCAATGACATCAAATCTTTGGGAGCGGGGTCCAAGCGATTCTCATGTTCGGCCAAGGCTGAGATTCATGGCTGCATAACACTGCTGTCTGTATTCTCCTTACCTCAGAGGTCATGCAGAATTACTTTCCTTTCCCTAAACCGGTATTGCTGTTTTGAATTTCCTTGGCTTTGTATATACTATTCCTTCTACCAGAAAGCTCTTTTTCAACGTGTTTGCATAACTATATGTGCCTGAAAAATTTGCAAACCCCGAACAATTTTTAAAAATTCTTTTATTTTAAGAGGGCCTCCCAAATCACATAAGCTTCATACCTACAAACAAATGAATCTGCCTCAATTATCTCCATTTTAACAATGAAGAAATTGTAGCTCAGAGAGGTTAAGTAGCATGCCCAGGGTCACAAGTGGAGAAAGTAAGAATGGAGCCCCTGCGTGTCCCTCCAAAGACTGTTTTGGTTGTGTGGTTTTTGTTTGTTTGTTTGTGTGTGTGTGTGTGTGTGTGTGTGTGTGTGTGTGTGTGTGTGTGAGAGAGAGACAGAGAGACAGGGTCTCACTCTGTTGCCCAGGCTGGAGTGCAGTGGTTCAATCTCAGCTCAACTTCCGGCTCCCAGGCTCTCAAGCAATTCTCCTGCCTTAGCCTCCCAAGTAACTGAGTCTACAGCACACACCACCACACCTAATTTTTGTAGAGATGGGGTTTTACTATGTTGCCCAGGCTGGTCTCGGACTCCTGAGCTCAAGCAATCTGCCTGCCTTGGCCTCCCAAAATGTTAGAATTACAAGCATGAGCCACCATGCCTGGCCCCTCCAAAGACTAGGTATTGAGGAAGAACTTAAAAGGCATTGGTAATCCATTTCCTAGTTCTGGGCCCTCACTCTCGAGGTGAATTTCCTCCATAGCATATTTACACCAAGTTGTGCTTTCCTGTGTACAGGTTGCTGTTGGCCCAGGATGTGCCTCTGTGCAAACTGGAAAAGGCGCCTTCCTCAAGTAAAACTCTTCTAAGGTTATTATATATTTGCACAGTGTGAAGAGTTCCACCTGGAGGGGCTTTCCCATCCTTGCTGCTTTCACCTGCTCAGACGTCCCTCGGGCACGGAAGACGGTGCACGTTAATCACCCACACACACACTATGAGGGTACCAGGCCAAGGTCAGAGTCCTGCAGGATGGGGAACCGACCCCTAAGAACTCCTGAGCTGGGTCAGGTCAGGGTACCACTGTGCACAAACAGGATGGTGTGTTCACATCGCGGTCATCAGTGGGGTTTGTGGAGCTGGGGTTCTCTCCTGCAGCTTCAAGATCCTCAACCAGGACACCAGAATTTGCTTGTCTACTTGTGCCGTCTCAGGTTAATTTATGTCTATGACATGAATCTCCGCTCTTTACATGGGGCACCTTGAGCAGGTGAAACCTGCAGGCCCCCTCGTGGTGATGATGAGTGGGAGCCCTAAGCTGCTCCCCCAGGAACTGCACCTCTTCTCTACCTCCTCAGCCCAGATGAACCATCCCAATACCTCTCCTCAGTCACCCTACTTTGCTCTCCCAGGCCAGACATTGGGTGCTCCTATTAGAAGAGGGAGAGGTGACCTAGGATACAAGTTGAATCCCAAGGAATTGGGGGACAAAGAAAGCAACTAAAAGACTGATGAGATGAGGAGAATGGCCAACTAGTGGCAAACAAGAGTGGCTTATTTGACTGTGGCTCCCTAGGTCAGCATCCTGGGTACTAATATGTCATTCCTTTTAAATCTAAGATTACAGTACAACCAAGACATGGCAGAAGCATTATGACCAAGCCAGAAGCATAGTCCTAAGGATGTTTTGACCTCAATAAACTAACCACATACATGCTTCCAGACTGAAACAATGGAGGGATATTTGCATCAGATTGCACAGAGGTTATTAAAACAGATCAATACATAATAATGGGGATCTAGAATTAAATATATTTATTATTAAACTCCCTGATGACACACAAAAAAAAATCTCTGCTGAAAATCTAAACCATAAAGAATTAATTAAGAAATCAAGTGTTAATACATATATCCACAGCAAATGGCAATAGGTAAAATGTACACTGGTGTTTCACTAAAAAAACAATAAAGGTTGAGGGATGTGCTGAGAGCTGAAGGGGGCTGTATCTGAAATTTATACAACTGAGAAAATAACTAAGTGTGAATGGCGGTTATTTCTTTCTCTTTTTAGGTCAGTCTTTGGGTGGCAGAACAAAACTAACACGATTTTCCTGTAAGTATCAGTGCTTGACTTGTTTTATTCCTGGGTTAATCCCTTAACTGTATTTGAAAATAAATATGATCCACATGAAGATGAGGTATAATGTGAAAAGAGAAGAGGAGCCTAAAGGACAGTAAAAATGAATATCCACGCAACTTAAAGTACTGAATTCTTCACATTTTAACAACAACAACAAAAGCACTCGAAGCCTAGGGTCATTGGTGAAATACCTCTACTAAATCTTTGCAGATTTCCACTCATCTGGTTTGCAAAACTCTGAAGCAGAATATAATCCAGCCAAGAATCTACAAATAATTCCCAGCAAGTTCAGACGTGGAAATCATAAAAGGTATCTGAGACCAAGTCTCATCAGTTTAAAGAATGTACTACACTACGGTACAGTGTTTTCTTAAGAATGAACTGCCGTTTGTAGTAATTCAAGAAGAGATCATTTTAAACAAATTAGAGTTCATTTCTACTAATAAAGCTCACAGGATATGGTAAAGGACCCACAGGGTGACCGAGGAGATAGCAAGGCCCAGGTTAAAGAAGTTTCCCTTGGAAGAGCGAGGGACACTAAGGGACACATACCTCAAAGGGGCAGGCCCACAGTCCTTGATGTTAAGATAGGAAGATTATCACCTTCTAAAGATAAACCCCTGGGAAGAAATAAGATACTCTGGGAACAGACCATGACAAATGGCCAATCTTCCTTTCACTTGTGTGCCAGTTTTAACTTTGAATAAACAGTCTAGCAGTGGATCTTTTTCCTGCTGTTACTCCAGTAAGTAAAATTCTCAGAGGACACAAAGAGGGTTTGGTGGACATGAAATCAGGTAACAAACTTGGTATAAATAAAACCAGTTTTTAAAATTGGGCCGGGCACAGTGCCTCACGTCTGTAATCCCAGCACTCTGTGAGGCTGAGGTGGGCAGATCACCTGGGGTCAGGAGTTCCAGACTAGCCTGGCCAACATGGTGAAACCCCATCTCTATTTAAATATATATATATACATATATATACACACACATACACACACAAAAATTAGCCACGCATGGTGGTGGGTGTCTGTAATCCCAGCTACTCGGAAGACTGAGGCAGGAGAATCGCTTGAACCCAGGAGGCGGAGTTTGCTGTAAGCCAAGGTCGCTCCACTGCACTCCAATCTGGGGCAGCAAGAGTGAAACTCCCTCTCAAAATAAATAAACAAAATTGGAGATGGGTGGGGGGTGAATAAGGTTTTCAAATCTTCCTGCACTCAAACTACAAATTCAGAGGGAATTTTCCAGCAAGTCAACGTCACCCCTGATTCCCTCCACTGCCACCGCACTTAAGACCGATTCACTTTAAAATGGTGAGCACTAGGGCACTTTTTAAAGTTGGAGCCACTGATTTCTAGTGTGGAAAATCAGTCAGTCAGAGGCTAATACGGGTACTGGCAAAAGAAAGTTGACCATTTGGAAAATGCAGGAAATTACTAAAGAAAAAACATCTGAAATAGTCAAAACCTTTCCCAACTTTTGTATGTGTTTTCTTTTTGATATTTTATAGGCAAACATAGGCATTTTTAACAAAACTGTAAATATGTGAACATACACAAATGTAAATGTATATGTATCCTACTTTTTTTTCTTACTATATTTTCTGGGAAACAAATCGTTTCAGGTCTTGGGAAATTCTGTAAACACACCATTTTTAGTGACAAGGATAGTGTTAGCAATTACTCTTAAATAAGATGTATAAAATGACCAAATTGTTTTTGTAAAATGTTATTTAAATATTTACAACGATGAAGAAATGAACAATAGTAAAGTAACCCACTGGTTATCTATTATCAAAGAGAGATGGGAGGGGAGGGAAACTGGCTAAGAGCAGCCAAATGCAGGCAGCACAGGGTGATGGGAAAGCGGAGGGGTCCATGAGAGGGAGGATGCTGGAGAAGTCAAAGGATGGGTTCTCAATGGAGCACATTGATCATCTTCAAATATGAGATTATAATGCTGATTATTACTCAAACCATCAGTAAACAAGGCAGGGCCCACCTAGCACAATATCATAAACCATTTCCCACCCCTACCCAGAAAGGAGCCCCCAATGTATAATAACGTTATTTACCCAGGTTCACTCATTCTAATGATACATCCCCATGATACCTCCCACACTTCTCCATGTATCTCCCAGAAAGTCATTGTTAACCCTCGTCAAAGCCTTGCGCATTCACCAGTTCTACTACCTGCCCTGATCTATGGGTTTAGTGGCCTGATTTAAAAAAAAAAAAACAACATGCAGTTACCCTCCCCATGACTTACTCTTACTCCTCTCAGGCTAATTCCTAGTGACCACTGCTTCCTTTCCTAAATTTCCTCAGGTCAACTCATTAGTCATTTGTCCTAGCATCTTGCTTGGGATTTGAGTCCAGCATGCCAATCAACTATATGTTAAAAATCAACCCTCTTTTCTTTTGCTTTTTTTTGTGGGTACATAGCAAGTGCATATACTTATGGGTTACATAAGATGTTCTCATACAGGCATACAATGTGTAATAATCACATTAGGGTAAATGGGGTACCCATTCTTCTTTTCTAATGTAAGAATTTAATGCTATTCAATTCCCTCCAACATTAGCTGTACCCCACAAATTTTGATACATTGTATTTTCATTTTCATTCAGTTCAAAACATGTTTTTAATTTCCCATAAAATTTCCTCTTTGACCTATGGATTATTTACTTATATTACTTAACCTTTAGTGTTTCCTAGTTATCTTTCTGTTACAGATTTCTAGTTGATCTCCATTAGAGTCAGAGAGCACACTTTGTATCATTTCAAATTTGTAAATCTGTTAAAATGACTGAGAATATGGTCAACCTTGGTGAATGTTTTATGAGCACTAGAAAAGAATATGTATCCTCTGTATACCTTATTGTTGAGTGAAGTATTCTATAATTGCCAATTAGATCCAATTGGTTTACAGCATTGTTCAGTTCTCCTTTGTCCTTGCTAATTTTCTGTGAACTGATTCTATCAATAACTAAGAGAGCAGTGGTGAAGTCCTCACCTATAACTATGGATTTTTCTGCCTGATCCTTCAGTTCTATCACTTTTTTCTTCATGTATTTTGAGCCTCTGTTCTCAGGTGCGTAGACACATAGGATTATTGTGTGTTTCTGATAAACTGAGTCTTTTATTAGTGTGTAGTGTCTTTCTTTTTTTTCTTTTCTTTTTTTGAGACAGAGTCTCACTCTGTCACCCAGGCTGGAGTGCAGTGGCGTGATCTCGGTGATCTCAGCTCAGTGCAATCTCTGTCTCCTGGGTTCAAGCAATTGTCCTGCCTCAGCCTCCCGAGTAGCTGGGATTACAGGCATGTGCCACCATGCCCGGCCAATTTTTGTATTTTTAGTAGAGACAGTGTTCCGCCATGTTGGCCAGGATGGTATCGAACTCCTGA
The DNA here is from genome assembly GCF_000001405.40 of Homo sapiens. Taxonomy (NCBI): domain Eukaryota; kingdom Metazoa; phylum Chordata; class Mammalia; order Primates; family Hominidae; genus Homo; species Homo sapiens. The sequence goes on along the minus strand of NC_000017.11, from coordinate 12,836,435 downwards.
CATCAGGTGATCCGCCCGCCTCAGCCTCCCAAAGTGCTGGGATTACAGGTATGAGCCACCGCATGCAGCCATGTCTCTCTTTATCTCTGTAATTTTCCTTGGTCTGGAGTCCACTGTATCTGATATATTAATAAATACACTCCACCTTTCTTTTGAATTGAGCACACTTGCTAAACTCTTTTTTTAAAAAAGATTGGCATAACTTTGCTCCGTTCTGCTCTTCAAGCATTTCTGTCCTTATCTACAAGTTCTTAAGTTGCCAGTCATTCCCACTTCTGGGAATATATAATTCTAAAAGAATTTAAAGCAGGATCTGGAAGAGAGATTTGCACACCCATATTCATAGCAGCATTATTCACAATAGACAAAAGATGGAAGCAACCCAAATGTACATGGATGGAGAAACAAAATGTGGATATACATACAATGGAATACTATTCCGCCTTTACAAAGAAGGAAATCCTGCCACATGCTACAACATAGATAAAACTTGAGGATATTATGCTAAATGAAATGATACGCCAGACACAAAAAGGCAAATATTGTATGATTCCAACTATATGGGGTAACTAAAGTAGTCAAATTCACAGAGACAGAAAGTAAAATAGTGATTACTGGCGCCTGGAGGGAGAGAAAAATGGGAAGTTATTGTTTAATGAGTGCCGAGTTCCAGTGTTGCAAGATGAAAAAGTTCTGGAGATCTATCACACAACAATGTGAATATACTTAACAAGATTGAACTGTACACTTAAAAATGGTTAAGATGGTAAATTGTATGTCATATGTTTTTCACAATTTTTTTTAATTAAATAAAATTACCAGCAATTGTGACCATGCCACGTAACCACGGTAAAAACACGATAATGCTTTCTTATGAAATCTGAGTATTAACTCCAAATCACAAATACTCATTTTATCTTTTTAAGTCAGAAGATTACTGTTCTCAGAAGACAAACAGCAACTGAGGAGTCTAATTTTCTCCTTTTTATTTACCAACTTTTATCATCATGCCTACGGTATTGATTTATCTCTTCTGCCTTTTATCAATGCCCAGAACCTGATATTTCTTATTAGTCATCTTGTTTGAACATGACTAAAAAAGTACCTACATACACATCTGCACACATCTGTGCACACGTTTTTCTTATTCTTGAGGGTGTTGGCAAGCCTCAACTCAACTGGATTATTTCAATTAAAATTCACACTAACTGACACCATTTGATCATTTACACCTTAGTTGAAAACCTTTCCCCAAGATTTGATACGAACATTCTAAATTAAATTTGTCAAAAGGCCAGGCCCTGCAGCCAAAAGGGTTTCTATGGGATGTTCTTTCTCGACATCACACACAATCTCTATTTCTCTAATGCAAGATTATTCGGATGAATTAAAAATGCATTTGGTTTTTCAGACCTTTACAACCCTCATAGCAAGTTTCCCTTTCAGTCTCCTTAGCAACCAAAAACTCAAAATAATTACAGGCAATTAAACTTGCAATGATTAGAGTAAGCTGTACTTTTATAATCTAACATGGTAGATATAATTATAGGATAAAACAAAATTATATATCATGTATTTACATTATTAATAATAAGGAGATGCTAGCATCATAAAGAAAACAAAAAATGTGTTGTTTATCCAAATTTTCTATTTCCCACTGATTTCTTAACCTTATTCTCCAACACCCTAATATTATGCCTCTTCTGAGAACATCACTATTACTAGAAAATAAACTTCATGGGGGAAGGGACTTTGTTTGTGTATGTTTTTGGTTTATGTTGTTTTATCCAAGAGTACATTTTAGTAACGGAACTATGTTTTATCCCCACTGCCAACACAGTGTGGAAGATATAACAAACACTTACTAGTAGAATGAATAAGCAACATACACAATTTTTGTTTATTTATTTTTGTGCAGGATTTTTCTTCTTTGAGACAGGGTCTTGCTCTGTTGCCCAGGCTGGAATGCAGTGATGCCATCATAGCTCACTGCTGGATTTTAGTGTCACTAAATGTTAAAATGTTGAGTGTTATGGCTAGCTTTCCAATATTTAAAAAATTCATAACAGATATATTCCTTATGCAGAGAATGTAAACCCAATGTATACTTTTAGCAGAGTAAGGAGCATATTGTCAGTTAGACATATGGAAGAAGACTCAAGAATGAAATAAATGCAAGGACTTGGCGGCTTAGAGCCAGGAGCAAGAAGAGTGGACGGTGGAGAGGGGAGAGAGGAGCAGCTCCTGAGAGTTAAAATGCTTAAAATTCTAAAAAGCAACGCATAAACCAAAAATAAAATTCTGAAGCACCCCCAACCATCTAATTGGACCCGTACTCTTGGCCAAGGGCATTCCAACCTTAACCTGGAAAACTAAATCAGGCCCTGATGGGAAGGGGGAGCTGGACATGCCTTATTATACCCTCCTCCCTTTTGGCGCTACTGATAGAACAGCCTCTTTAAGTCTGAAAAAAAAAAAAAAATTCACAATCTATTCTCTCTGAAGCCTGCTACCCTGGAGGTTTCACCCGCATGATAAAACCTTGGTCTCCACAACCCCTTACATTAACCCAGACATTTTTTCCTATTGATAAGAACTTTTTCAAACAGTTACCAATCAGAAAATCTCTGAATCCACCTATGGCGTGGAAGCGCCTGCTTCCAGATGTCCCACCTTTCCAGACCAGACCAATGTATACCTTACATGTGTTGATTGATGCCTTATGTCTCCCTAAAATGTATAAAACCAAGTTGTGGCCTGATCACCTTAGGGACACATTCTCAGGATCTCCTGAGGGCTGCATCACTCATATTTCACTCAGAATAAATCTCTTCAAATATTTTATAGAGTGTGACTCATTTCATCACCAAGGGGTTAGAAAAAGTGAAAACTGAAAGAAGAGGAAGAGCAGGACCAGGTGGTAATCCAAGGGGCCCATCAAGCATCACAGAAACATCCTTGGGGAAATGTGAATTCTATAAAGTACGAAAGGAAAAAACAAAAACAAAACACACGGAAAAGAGTCAAGAGAGTCAGGGAGGCACCGACTTTAAGCTAGTTGGGTATCAGCTTCCCAACCATAAAATGGGGGTTATTATGTCATCAGGACTATGATGAATACAGACAGACACGTACGAAAAAGTCCATCAATATGAAACACATATGCAGTGCTAAAGCCTTACACAGACACAGGACACTATTCAAGGATACTCAGAGTCATGCTCAGTAATTCTTACTTGGTCCCCTTTCTTCCCCAAACTTTACTCCTATCCAGTGGCACTGCCCTCTCCGACAAAACAGAGAAACAGAACGAAGACTACCCTAAGCTGTTCTAGCTAGGATAGTCTCCCTAGCTTTGCCAGAGCCTGGGAATGGAGCAGGGACACAGGGGAGCTCTCAAATAGTACTGTGCCCAGGCACAGAAACTGTGATGCTCATGAGTGAAACAGAGAATAGCTATCGTCGGGGAAGGAAAAGGTTAGGCCATGCCAGGTTGGGCTTCTAGCAGAACAAGGGAGATCTGTGATTTTATGAGCTGGAACAAAATTAACTCCAGAAACCAACCATGGACAATCCAGAATGATCTTTACAGACTTCCAATGTTTCCCTTTTACAAACAAGAGCAGTGACAAAGATTTTCTCCTTGACCAAACTCTAGCTAGGCTCCTTTTGAAACTGACTTTGCAAAAATTATAATAGAGAAAATTATGGCAATAAAAGACATCTGACCTAACCAACTTCATCTTGCTTCTAACCTCCAAGTTGACTCTTGTTCATTCCTGGGCATAGGCTGAACTAACTGTGGGAGGAATTTAGTTTAAAGTTTAACTTTGAAACAAAGATGAGAACAGCCCTTTCCTAAAACAAAGCCCCTTCTTGCCTAGGGACCAGACTGCCTTTGTAAAACTAACAAATTAGCCAGAAGGTTAGAAGTTATGGCTCAGGAGTCATGAAGCTAAGAGGCCACAGGATCACTACTCTCCCCAGTTGCTCCTACAGATAATACTAGTATTATAAAACCTAAGATTGGTGTTTAAGGTATTTTTCAGACCCTGCACTCAGTGGATCAGCTGGCACCACCCAGATCAATAAATTGGCTCATCTGGCCTTGTGTCCCCAATCCAGGAAACAACTTGGTGCAAGAGGACAGCTTCAATCCCCTATTATTTCATCTCTGACCTGACCAATCAACACTCCTGACTCCCTGGCCCCCTATCCATCAAATTATCCTTTAAAAACCCCAGTCTCTGAATAAATTTTGAAGAGACTGATTTGAGTAATAATAAAACTCCAGTCTCCCATTCAGCTGGCTCTGCAGGAATTAAACTCTTTCTCTACTGAAGTTCCCCTGTCTTGGTAAATTGGCTCTTTCTGGGCAGTGGGCAAAGAGAACCTACTGGGCAGTTACAATCAGAGCACTCTTCTGGCCTAGGCTTCAGTCTTGGCCTATAAGAACTAAAGACTCTCAACACAAATGGCATCATCCAAACTCCTCTCTGAGTTTGTTAGATTTAACAAACATTAACAGTTTCTAACAGGTCACGGTCTCATCCCTAGAATGACTCTACCTCCTGTTAACATGCTTGCCTGAGAACACTCAAAAGAATTTACTGTTTTTCTAGCCAACATCTGACTGTAGGCCCCTGACCATTGTTTCTTACACTCTTTAGTAAAAAGGGCTTACAATGGTGAATCCTTCCTGTGTCCCTGTGAGATGCATATACATCTCCTACAATTCAGGAGTGTCTTTCTCAAGGACCTGAAAGCTATCCATCCCTCTGAAATGCACTCATCAGAAAGAACAGGGCCTCGATGGGAGGGTTGAATCCTGACTTCTTGGATCATTGCCAGCAAACAGACACAGTTGGTCTAATCAGCATCTACACTGACCAAGCCTTTGTAATTTTTTTCACTTCCCTGACTCTACGGAGCCTCTGCTCATTCCCCTATTCTCCCTTTAAAGCACCAGTAACCTCTGTACAAACGAAGCTGAGTCCAGTTCATGCTGAAACATCCTCCCTACTGCCATAGTATGTTACCCATTAAACTGCCCCTACCACTTTAACAAGCGTCCGGCTTTGCTGGTTGTTGACAGAGGTAAACAGGAGATTTTGGTAAAATAACAGGAGAAAGCACAGCACAGGTGAACAGCATGGTGTCTGGAGTCCGGCAGCCAAGTCTCACTGCTGGACTCTTCACTGACTAGCTGTGCAGGCTTAAGATGTTTTCTTGAATCTGTAAAAGGTAACCACCCTCCTGACCTCACAAGAGTTGTTGAAGAATTCAATGAGATAAGGTATGGCATGAACTTAGGACCATGTTCTGGAGCATAGTAAACACTCAATACTTAATTCCTTTGAAAGCGAGCCAGAATAAACTTCTGTTAGGGTTCATAAAAACTGTGCAAGTGGACAAAAACCGAACAGGAAAATGTAATAAAGAAAAATTACTGCAAAGTCAGAAGGGGACGTGTCCCCAGACAAAGTCAACTTTATTTTCACTTCTGCTTTGATATATGGGATAATGTCCCTTTAAACAACCTTAACTGAACTACTTTCTGAAAGCAGGCAGTTGCTAAGTGTTGCTAAGGGATACAAGCTAAGCTTGTGTGTAAATTAATCATTGTGTGTAAATTAAGCAAAACACCAGATGAGAGCTGTCAGGAATAGCTCCCTATCAAAAGGAAAAAAAATAATAACATATTTCTTCGGTTTTTGTTTAGCTGCTGGAAAAAAAGACCTTACAGGGCACCTAATCTGATTCCCTCATTTTACAGTGGGGGAGGTCTTAACTCTCCAGGATAAAATGACTTGCCTAAGGTCGCAAGGCAAATGGTGACTAGACTGGACCTAGAAACTAATCCCACCACATCTTCCTGATTCCTCATATTACCAGGTAAAGGAGAGCATAAGAGCGACTTAGGAAATATCTCCTATGATAAGAAGTTTGAGCCATGAGACACTGAATTTAAAACAATCTGAGAAGTGAAGATGTAACAATCTGAGGAATCAATACTCTCCTCCCAGCCACATCTTACTGTAAGAGGGACAGGACTGGAGGCAGACCCCAAGAGTAGTCAAAGAACCAGGAAGAAAAAAAAAGACCTCTCTTACAACTAGCCCCAAAGAGCAATTATCCAAAAATTATCCAAAAGTACCCAAAAAGATAATTTTCTCAACGGAGCATCTTAAAAGAAAAAAATGAGTTCTTTGGCTTAAGATAATTTAGCAATCATAGGAAAAAGACTCATAGTTCTTTTTGGCAAAGATGGGGAAGCATTTGAATAAATATTTACTAAAAAGGCTTCAATCCCCTTGCAATCCCAAAACCCCAGGACTTAAATAACCAGTTCTCCTTTGCTGTTGCTTAGTGGTAGGAGGACTAAATTGCAGGACAAGTTCTTAACTGAAGGCTAACATATTTGGTTTCATTCATTTATTCTAATATTTACTGAGTATTAAATAGGTCCCAGGCACTCTTGTAGGTACCAAGATACATCAGTAAACAATGCAGATTAAAATCTCTGACCCTGATGACCTTGTATTACAATAGGCAGAGAAAGAAAATAAACAACAAAATATAATTAAAATAAAGCAGAGGATGGGGGTTGGATCATGAATGTGGGGCAGTAGGACTACGATTTTAAATAGAGTGGTCAAGGAAGGCCACATGAAGAAAATGACATTTGAGCAGAGACTCAATAAAACTAGGAATCATGCATGCAGGTATGATGCAAAAGAAGAAAAGAGTAGTGAAAAAGCCTTAAGGTGGAATATGTTGGTGTGATTATGTCAATACGAACAGGTCAGGTTGATCAAAGCTGAGTGTGATATAATCAAATGATCACCACTAACAAATAGAACTTCCAAGAGAGGCTGGGTTCTATGTACAATTGAGACTTAAAATCCAGGTTTAAATGAGGAGGTGCAGAGAGGTCCCAGATATATACTAATATGGGGATAAATATTTATGCAGTGTTGCTCATGCCAAGGGTCAAAAGAGTGAAAGAGACAATATATACTATAAGAAGCCAAAAATAGGAGGGCTGCTGAAGGCCCAGGGCATCAGAAAGGGTTTCAAGAGTGATTTGGGCTGCACCCTGGCCTTAAATGGTAAGGTTTAGACAAACAGAGGAAAGGAAAGTTGTTACATCAAGTAGAACAGCAAGCAGAAACATGCTGAAATAGAAATAGGAATGACGGACCAGCTCAATTAGGTAAGAGGGTGATATAGGAACACAGTTAAGGTTAGGAAGAACAGGTAGTTTGGACCCCCCAAGACACAATAGTTTTAAGGTGAGTTCTACCTTTCAATAGGAGTTAATCCCTACCTTATACAAATTGTTCCAGAAGATAGAAATGAAAGTTGCGTGACTTGTTTAATGCAACTAAACTTTGCAATCTTGATTCCTAAGCCATATAAGGATTGTAAAAAAATAAAGTTATAGGTCAATTTTTATGAATGTGATATAAAAATCCAAAATAAAGGCCAGGCTCAGTGGCTCATGCCTGTAATCCCTGTAATCCCAGCACTTTGGGAGGCCGAGGTGGGCGGATCACGAGGTCAGGAGATCGAGACCATCCTGGCTAACACAGTGAAACCCCGTCTCCACTAAAAATACAAAAAATTAGCCGGGCATGGTGGCGGACGCCTGTAGTCCCAGCTACTCAGCAGGCTGAGGCAGGAGAATGGCATGAACCCGGGAGGTGGAGCTTGCAGTGAGCCAAGATGGCGCCACTGCACTGCAGCCTGAGTGACAGAGAGAGACTCTGTCTTTAAAAAAAAAAAAAAAAAAAAAAGAAAGAAAAAAAAATCCAAAAGAAAATATTAGCTAAACAAACCCAACTTTATATTTTTAAAATATATCATAATTAAGTAGTACATATCCCAGTAATGCCCAGATGATTCAATGTAACAGCCTATCAATTTCATTTACTTCATGTATATATAAAAAAGAAAACCTACATGATTATCTCAATGGATGCAGAAAGAGCATTTGCTATAATTCAACTTCTATTGTGATTAGGAAAAAAATGAAAATACCTCATTGCAAACTGGGATAAGAAGGATTTTCTTAGGCTTGATAAAGTATCTCTACATGAACCCAAAACCTAGAAGAAATGTGGTTAACAGGAAAACTGTAGGATATTCATTATCAGTGCTACTTAACACAGTCTAGAAGTTCTGAAAAATCTAGGGAAACAAAAAATATAAGGTATAAAGAAAGAGAAAAAAACTACCATTATTTGTAGACAATATAATCATCTATTAGGTTGAAATATTTAAAATTACAGACATTATAGGCAAAAATACGGTCAAATATCAGCATTGCCATATGATTCAATGTAATATTTTAAAATGTTAATAGATAAGTAACTATTAGACTTTTTTTTTTTTTTTTTTTTTTGAGATGGCCAGTCACCCAGGCTGGAGAGCAGTGGCACGATCTCAGCTCTGCAACCTCCACCTCCCAGGTTCAAGTGATTCTCCTGCCTCAGCCTCCTGAGTAGCTGGGACTACAGGCGTGCACCACCACACCTGGCTGATTTTCGTATTTTTAGTAGAGATGGGGTTTCACCATGTTGGCCAGGCTGGTCTTGAACTCCTGACCTCAAGAGATCCACCCATCTTGGCAGTAAGAGACTTCATCAAGGTTGTTACTAATTTTTTTAAAAATCAATCTCATGACTCTCCAGCAGTCAAACCCAACTATAAAATATAGCATAACTGTATATCATTCATAATGGCAATATAAACCATGAAATATAGAAAAATTAACCTAACCAGTACATTAGACCTCTAGGGAGTAAAGTATTAAATTCTAATAAACATACATAGATATACATGAAGTAAATAAAATTGAAAGGTTATTGTTATATTGAATATATTACTATTCCATCATTATATTATTATGTGGGCATTACTGGAAATAAATACTACTTAATTGTGATATATTTTAAAAATATAAAGTTGGGTTTGTTTAGCTAATATTTTATTTTGGATTTTTTTATTTGACATTCATAAAAAATTGACTTATAACTTTATTTTCTTATCATCCTTATAATGATGTGAATAAAAAGAGAAACAGCAATTAGACGCATTAGACTGCATGTTTACATGGCATCACAGAAGGATGTGAAAAGCAGTGAAATATATAAAACAAAATAAAATGAGATCTAGAGTACAAGTCATATAAATTAAAATAACCAAAACAACAATACATATTTTATAAGAACACAGACAAAAAACAATATATTCAAATTGTCACTAAAAGAGAATAAAGGAATTAAATAAATAAGAGAACAGGGTTACAGAGACCAAAAATGATAGTATGTCATGGCCTGAGAAGTAAAATTAACTTAATCCTCTGTACTGAAGGTCCAGTAGGAAAAGGAAATCAAGTTTGAATCTTAATCAAACTTAAGCTTTGGTGGTGATTAGGTATTGGGAGGTAGGGAGAAGCTTAAGGTGGTGATTGGGTATTGGGAGGTAGGGAGAAGAAAGCACACTCAAGCTGATGCTTAGGAAGATTCATCTGAGGTTGCTGGCTACAAAAACTTGAAGCTGGGAGGGAACAGTCGTAAAGACACCAAGAAGAAATCAGTTATCTGGCATGAGCCCATAAAGGCTTGTTGTAAGAAATGGACAAATAAAAAGGATCAATGTTGAAGAATCATAAGAAGAATCAAGAGAATCTTGTAACAGACTAGGAATGGTGAGGGTGGGAAAAGTTAAGGATAAATCCAAGCATTCTTGTCTTGGTGTCTGGCACCAGTGACAGAAATAGACAACTCTGGACACAGGGCCAGGATGAGAAGTTTGGTTTTAGAAATAGAATATTCAACACAATGTGCTGCTGTCGCCAAAATGGCCAATAAAATTGAAGAGCATTAGGAAATAAAAATGCAATTATCTCCTTAAATAAAGTCATGGTCCAATTACACTGAAAACAAAGTTGGCTCTGGCTACTGCATCCAAGAAAATACAGGAAAAATACACAAGAGGAATGTAAGAAAAGAGCCAATCCAATGGTTAAGTCAAATGGCTGACAAGGCTTTTTTATGGGATGAGAATAAAAGAGTCTGCAAAGAAACAGGCTAAGAGGGTCTATAAATGAATTACAAGAAAACAAATTTGTCTGGTGAGAACACATGGACACATAGAGGGGATCAACACACACTGGGGCCAATCAGAGAGTGAAGGGTGGGAGGATGGAGAGGATCAAGAAAAATACCTAACGAGTACTGGGCTTAATAGCTAAGTGATAAAATAATCTGTACAAACCACCCCAGGACACAAGTTTACCTATGTAACAAACAAACCTGTACACGTACCCCTGACTTAAAAGTTTAAAATTATTTTTTAAAAAAACCCAAACTTGTCAAAAATTAGAGATCTCTCTTAAATCACAAAACTGTTTATCAACAAAATATTTTAGAACGAACACAAAGGACTACTCCAAAGAACAGTCCTTATAGCCATGAAATGTACAACACTCACTGGCATTGGCTACAGGTGGAAAGTAGAAAGTTAACGCTCTCAAATCCATACAATCAATGTTTACTGACTGCCTTCTACATGTCATACATTGTGGCAGACACTGAGGATATAATAATGGGCTAACACAGACATGGTCCCTGTGATGTTTAATTTTTTTGTGTCAACTTGGCTAGCTATAGTACCCAGTAACTGGTAAAATACCAGTCTAGATCTCACTGTGAATTATTTTTTAGATGTAAGTAACATTTAAATCAGTAGACTTTGAGTAACTTGATTACCCTCAATAATGTGGGTGGGCCTCATCAAATCAGTTGGAAACCCTAAGAGAAAAGACTGAGGTCCCCCAGAAAAAGAGACTTCAGATTTGAGACAGCAACGTCAACTCTCCCTTGGGTCTCCAGCCTGCCACTCGCCCGGCAGATTTCAAGCTTAACAATCCCCACAACCACATGAGCCAACTCCTTAAAATCAATCAATCTCTCTCTCTCTATAATGCACACACACACACACACACACACAAACACACTCCTTATTGGTTCTGTTTCTCTAAAGAACCCTAATACAGTCCCTCATGTCATTTTAAAAAATTAGTAATCAAGGGCTGGGAGCAGTGGCTCATGCTGTAATCCCAGCACTTTGGGAGGCCAAGGTGGGAAGATGGCTTGAGTCCAGGAGATCGAGACCAGCCTGGGCAACATGACAAAACCCCATCTCTACAAAATAATACAAAATTTAGCTGGGCATGGTAGCATGTGCCTGTAGTCCCAGTTACTCGGGAGGCTGAAGTAGGAGGATCACTTTAGCCTAGGGAGGTCAAGGCTATAGAGAGCTGTGATCATGCCACTGAACTCCAGCCTGGGTGACAGAGTGAGACACCATCTCAAAAAAGATAGTAATCAAATAATCATATAAATGAGCATGTAGTTAGAAACTAAGATAAGCCTACAAAAGGAAAGAAATCCAGTTCCACAAGAACATAAAATAAGAGAATTTGACCTAAACTGGGGTAGTCAAGCACTACGGAAAATCTTCCCCAAAAGTGATACTTCAGTCAGAATTCTGGAAGACTAGGAAATGAGTAGATAAAAGTGGTCAGAGTGGCAGAGAACAACACAAGCAGAAGGTAGAGAAGTGCAGAAGCAAAAGGAAGGACGTACGAGGGGAGGCTAGCGAGGTACATTAAGGCCAGGCTGTGTAGAACCTTAGATGGACATATTCAGATTTTCTAGTCTTTTTCCTCTGAGTGATGGGAAACACCGAAAATAATTATTATCCTGGGGATGGCATCAGACTTGTATTGAAGACAACTCTGGCTACTGTGTTAGAAGCAAAGTGGAAGAGGGCCAGAGTATCAAATGATGAATTAGAAAAAGAAAGTAGGGTCGAGGTTTCCAACTCAATCAGATGGGGCAGGTGACAACAGGAAGTCTGGCAGAAATCATGAATTAGGTCATGACATGGGGAGTGTGAGGTCATTTTGAACATCCAGCTGGATACAACACCCTAGACCCAGCCCCTAGAACTTCTTTCCTGGACATTAACCTCCTAAGAGGTTTCCCTGCTTCCACTTTTGCCTCTCCATTGTTTACTCTGCACCCAGCAGGAAGAGTGATCTTTTCAAAAATGTAAGCAAAATCATATCACTCCTCTGCTCAAAATTCAAACTCTTTTCCATGGTGTTTTAGGCCCTGTGGATTGACCATGTGCAGCTCAAAGAAGGCTCAGGAGAATTAAGTTTGAGAGTCATCCACACAGAATGGTCCCTGAAGCCAAGGGCATGAAGAAAATTGCACAGGGAGACACTGTAGAGTGATCCACGAGGAAATCCATTATTTCCTGCACTGGAGACCAATAAGGAGTGGCCAGAGAAACAAGAAGAAACCCAGAAGAATGTGGTATCATTCAAGCCAAGGGGAAGACAAAGGCAGTTCAAGAAAAAGTGATCCACAATGCCAAATTCTGTTAAAAGGTCAAATAAGAAAGACTCACAGGATGTACCACTGGATTCAGCAAGATGGAGTTCGGTGACTTTGATACTTTACTGAGGTTGGGCAGAGTGGTTTGGTAGAGCAACAGGGTCAGAAGCCAGATAGGGTAATATATACCATGAATGTGAGACAAAGAAATGGAGACAGTGAATACAGACAAGTCTTTCCAAAAGTCTGGCAACATAGAAGGGAGGAAAGCTAGATGGAGTTAAGGAGAAGTATCAAGAGATCTTCTGCTGTTGAGATGGAAGAAATCAAACATGTTCAAATGTTGATGGAGGAAACTATTTGAGAGATCAGTTGAATATACGAGAGAGAAGAGATACTTGATAATATAACACAGCAAAGTTTGGGAAAAGATGAGAACCAGATGGAAGGATAGAGAAAGAATAGCTTCTCTATTAGAACAGGTGGGGCAGAGGAGAGAGATGGTAATAGAAATAGTGAGTCTTAACTTCTTAGCAAAAAGTTAAGATCGTTCCATCCATCTGACAGAGCTTCAATTTTCTCTAGGAAGGAGAAAGTGAGGTTGGCCATAAGAGAAAGGACTGGAGAAGTTTGAGGAAAGTAAAAAAGGAAAGAAATACTATCGTTCTGGAGAATGAAGAACAAGCTGATCTGACAAAAGGATGTGAGGCAAGAATTGGGGCTCACTTAAGTTGAGTGGTCAAGAAGTCACAGTGGTACCAACCTGCGTTAGAGTCACCTCCTCCAACTCAGCTGCAGGCAGAAACATCACGGGAAGTATTTCAAGAGAGTTTGATGGTTACCAAGTTGATTAGAAGTATTAAGGGAAACTGAGACTCTGAAGATTCATTTTATCATAAGGACAATCATGTCCTCCCAAAAAACAAGCTGCTATGGCATCTGCTGTCAAGAGGGATTGCCAGATACAATATACCCTATATTACAGAGTCGACACGAAGTTGCACATTTTACCCAGGCCGATTTCTGAGTTACGGGCCTCTGCAGATGAAAGAAGATAGAAAGAAAGCAAAATCTATCTTCACAGTGCAGTAGACAAGGAGAGAGCTCTGCCTAGGACCACCACCATCTGGATACTTGAACAGAACGCAAGCTGTGCAACACTTCTTTTAGGCTTTAAGATCAACTGCCCCTTTTACAGACTTCACACTGAATTACCTAAGTCCAGCCTCAGAGTCAGACATGTGCATTGGGAAGGGGAGGACAGTGGAGTAGCCAGGCAAGGAGGGCAGCCAGGAGAACCAACATTTCACTATTGAACATATGTTCTTCCTTGCTCTGTGGCTGCATAATTGTTTCTGTTGAGCTCTCATCACTTCCACTCAAGGCCTAAAGTGATGAAACAATTCTATCCTGGTTTGCCAATGGCTTGCATTCTAGACTTGGTTTCTTTCCATAAATAATTAACAGTAATGCTTTATTAAATAGAGTATGGCCTTACTTATGCTTCATAGACCTCTTGGCATTGAACTCCCTGAGGTATCAGAGCTTTAACCCAGAAAAAGAGCAGGAATGCTATCACTCTTCCTCCCAAGCCAAGGGCAACCAGTGACAATCCATTGCAGGGGGCAGCAAACTATAACCTACACACCAAATTCTGCCCATCATCTGGATTTTTATGGTCCACAAGAATAATTTTTACATTTCCAAATGACTGGAAAAATATTCTGTGACAAATGAAAATTACATGAAATTCAAATATCCATGATTATAACTCGATCTACTAGAACACAGCAATGCTCAGTCATTTATATATTGTCTATGACTGTTTATTCACTATAATAGCAGAGTAGTTTCCCACAAAGCCTAAAATATTTACTGCCTGGCCCTGTACAGGAAAGTTTGCCAACCCTTTATATATTGTAGCCCTCCTTGACCAAATCCAGGCTCAGACTCTCAATACTTTTAAGTTAGTGCCTCAACAAAGTATCAATCAACTAGAATTGGCACCTAGAGCTAATGAAATCCCAAGCCCATCCAACACTAGGACTATAGGTCTTTATATGTAAGTTGGTAAAGTAGTGTATAAATCTTCTAATGGTAGTGTCAGAATAATCCTAGGAGATGCCAATCAAAATCAAAGCAATAACTAGACTACTTACCTTTCCCTATAGGAAGTCGGTTGATCTATAATACAAAGCTGAGATGTTGTTTTTTTAATAAGCAACATTGTGAAAGTAAAGATTTTAAAAACCGTGATTCACATTGTTTGGAAAACATCCAAAAGGAAAGGAACATAACGCTCTGCTTCCTTTTGGAAGAAAGAAACATAATGCTCTGTTTTGATTTTTTGCTTTTCTATTTTCTCTAGTTGGTGTTTTAGGATCAAAGTTTGAGATTAATGCTCAGGCACTGCAATGGCTCTCTAGCTCACGGTAGGCCAGGGAAAGCTATCTGCCCCACCTATGCTGTCTGTCCAACTTCTGTAACTCATACAGTAACAAGACTGGTTTTCTAACATTGTGCAATGTATAATAAAATGACTCTTGTTTGCCTTAAGGATATCACAGCTGAAAGAGCTGCATATATGAAGCCATGCAAATTCCAAGGCCCAAGGCACATTTAGAACTTTTTTATTTTGTGAATAACCTTCTGACCCAGGTTATAAACAAAAACCACAATAATCTAATCTCAAAACTTCAGTTTTACTGATAACATTGTTTTCTATCAATTGATAACCAGGTAAATGGAAACACCTGAAGACAACACATCCCTTACTCATCCCCATGCCCACGTTTTTGTTTTTGTCTTTAATCCTTGCTGAGTTGCACAACTGTCCTGTTTTGATTTCAGTCAGATTTGGCCAGTGCCTTCTGCTAGTCTATAATGTCACCTCTTCTGACTTAGCTGTTTGTTCAAATAGATGATAAATTCGCCAAATCAGTGAGATTGTCATCAGTGCCAAATATCTTCCCATATGCCAAACTAAAATCTAATGGGCATATTTGGAAAAGCATAAAGATTAGGGCAGTTAACTACAGTTAAAACCTTTATAACTTCTTTCTCTTCCAAAAAGCCAGGAGACATCTATCCATTCTTCAGGGTTTTAGATATGGTCTTCAAAGCCTCTGCCTGCCCGAACAAGTGAAAGAAACAAAGGTTGTTCTTCCGAGACTCACATATTCTCAGGTCTTCTATAACTATCACACTGGAATAACATAAAATCACACTGGGATAACATAAAATCTCTATCATTCAATCTTCTTTTCCAAGGTCTGTCTTTTAAATCTGCCTGTTTGGTAGCCATGTCTTCTTGAGAAACCTTCAATCACATGATTCAACACACTGTAGGGCCTCAGTGAAGGTATCCATGTGGTGTTGAGGGAACACAGACTTACTATATGGTCTATCTCTCACTCACCCACATGTTCCTCAAGGACAAGATCCATCTTCTTCATTTTTGTATTCCCACGATAGTGCCAGGAACACAGTACAGACACCACAACAGCTTATCAACTCCATTTTCCAGGTCATGACCTAGAAATACATCTTAACCTTAATTTTACTTAAACCTGGAATTTAATACTCTCCACCTATCATAACTGGTAATTTTTTTTCTTTTTCACTTTTTTAGTTGAAGTTTTAAAAATTGTGTTATTAAATCCTGAGTAGTTACAAAATAATATTTAAAACATTTAAAATATGGGTATTATATGTATCAAAACATCACAACGTACCCCATGAATATGTACAATTATTATTTATCAATTCAGAAAAAATTTTAAAGATGAATAAACTACAAATACAGTCCAGAAACAGACCTAAATATACTATACTATCAACTGATTTGTGACAGAGTCAACTGCAATACAATGGGGAATAAATGCTGCTGGATAAATTGGATATTCAACTGGAAAAAAAATGAAATTAACTCCTATGTTACAACACACTCAAATACTTATTTGAACTGGATTACGGATCTAAATGTAAACTAATAAAGCCTCCAAATGAAAATGCAGAATATCTCCTTCTATGGCATAGGCAATGATTTCTTCAATAGGACACAAAAACTATTAACCATAAAAGAAATGATGATAACTTGAACTTGGTCAAAATTAAAAACTCTGTTCATAAAGACATCAAGAAAACGAAAAGGCAAGCAACAATGAGGGGGCAGCATTGGTAATAACACAATCAGCAAATGACTTACATGCAAAATAGATAAAGAACTCCTACAAATCAAAACAGAAGAGATGAAGAATCCATTTTTGGCATAAGCAAAGGATTGAACAGGATTTCACAAAAGGAGACACCTGAATGTCCAATAAACTCATGAAAAGGTGTTTCACATCATTACCTGTTAAGGAAGTACAAATTAAAGCCATGATAAACTACTACAACACAGCTACTGAAGTGGCAAAAATTAAAAAAAAAAAAAAACTTGACAGTATCAAATACTGACAAGGGTATGGAGCAACTGGACATAACTGGTGGGAGTACAGATGATATAAATACCTTGGGAAACTGTTTGGTGATTTCTTACAAAATTGATCCATCAATTTTACTCCCAGGTACTTATCCAAAGAAACAAAAACACAATTCACAAAGAGATTTGTTCCATAATGTTGATAGCATATGTTTCTCAAAAAAGCCAAAAACTGGAAATAATTCAAATGTCCACCAATAGGTGAATGGATAAACAAATTATGGCATATTTGAGCAACAAAATACTTAAAAAGACCAAAAAAAAATACTGATATATGCAACACGTATGAATCTCAAAAATAATACATTGAGAAAGAAGTCAGGCACAAAAGAACACATGCCATATGATCTAATTTATGTGAGATCCATTCTCCATTAATTGCCCTGGCATCTTTGTTCAAAATCAATTGATCGTATTTGTGTAGGTTTCATTTTGGACTCTCTAGTCTGCTGAGTTGGATCTAAATGTACATGTCTTTATCAATACCACACTGCCTTGTTCATAGTAGCTTTACTGTAATTAAAATTGGATAGTGTGATCCTTCCAACTCTGTTCTTCTTTCTAGATTGTCTTGGCTACTCTAGTTCCTTTGCCTATCCATGCAAATTTTAGAGTCGGCTTGTCTGTATCTACAAAAATACGCTGCTGAAATTCTGATGGGAATTGCACGAAACCTATAGATCAATATGGGGAGAAATGACATCATAAACAGATTGAATCCAACAATCTCGAATATGCTATGTCTGCACTTAAAAGTCTTTTAAAATGTCTTTCAACAGTGTTTTATAGCCTTTGGCACATGGATCCTGCACATAATTTTGCTACTTCTCTAAATACTGTTTTCTAAATTGTTCACTGCAGGTATACAGAAATATAAGTGGCGTTTAGACGTTTCTGTGTCTTGAGACTTTCATAAATTGTTATTAGTTCTAGGAGATTTTTCATAGAGTTCTCAGTATTTTATACATAGGTGATCACATCGTCTACAAATAGTGGCAGTTTTATTTATTCTTTTTCAATATGTATGTCTTTTATTTATTTTTCTTGCCTTATTGCACTGATTAGGATCACCACTACAAGGTTAAGTAGAAGAAATGAAAGCGAACATCCCTGCCTCAATTTCAGTCTTAGGGGAAAAGCGTTCACTCTTCTACCATTAAATATGATGTGAGTTGTAGGGTTGTTTTTTTTTTTTTTTTTTCTTTTCCAGATGCACCTTACCAGTTTAAAATTCCTAATAATTCTAGTTTGGTAAAATGTCTTATCATGAATGGATTTTGAATTTTGTCATTTGCTTTGGCTGTACCAGTTGAGTCATTTAAAATGAGAAATTACAGTGATTTGTGAATGTTGGCCCAACCATACATTACTGGGGTAAATAAACCTCACTTGGTCATAATGTTTTATATTTTTTACATATTGCTGCATTTGATTTGTGAAGATTTTTTACATCTGTGTTCATGAGGACTGTTCGTCTATAATTCTCTTTTTCTGTAATATCTTTGATTTTACTATCAGTGTAATAAAGACCTCACAAAATAGATATGAAGTGTTCTCTCTCCTTCTGTTTTCTGAAAGAGACTGTGTTATTCCCTCAAATGTTTGGTACAACTGTCAGTGAAAATACCTGGTCCCAGAGTTTTGTTTTCAAAAAGAACTCTATTTATAGTAATAAAAGTATTCCAATTATCTCCACTTTTCAAGATACATTATTTCTTCTTTGGTGAATTTCAGTAATTTGCGGTTTTCAAGGAGTTGGTATATTTTACTCAAATTGTCCAATTTATGTGCAAAATGGTGTGTGATACTTTTTAATCCTTTAAACAACTTTCCAGGTCTGCAGTGATATCCCGTTGTTTATTCCTGATATTAGTAATTTGTGTTTTCACTTACATTTTTCCTTAGTCGGTCTGGCCAGATCAACTTTATCGATCTTTTCAAAACATCAGCTTTTGTTTTCATTTATTCTAATTTTTTTCTGTTTTCTATTTCAGTGATTTCTACTCATCTCTTTATTACTTCTTTCATTCTGCCTGATTTGGGGTTTATTTTGTTCCTCCTTTTCTATTTTCTTAAGGTAGAACCTTATATTACTGATTTGAGACCATTCTTCTTTTACTTCTTAATTTTTGTGGGTATATAGTAGGTATATATACTTATGTGCTACATGAGGTTTATTGACACAGGCGTGCAATGCATAATAATCACAGGGTAAATGGGGTATCCATTCCTCTTTTCTAATTAAGCATTTAATGCTATTACATTCCCTCCAATCATTAGATGCACCCCACAAATTTTGATATGTTGTGTTTTCATTTTCATTCAGTTCTAAATACTTTTTAATTTCCCATGAAATTTCCTCTTTTCACCTATGGATTATTTACTTAACTATATTACCAGACATTTGGGGTTTCCTAGTTATCTTTCTGTTACAGATTTCTAGTTGAACTCCATTATGGTCAGAGAACATACTCTGTATGGTTTCACATTTTAAAATCAGTTAAAAATTTACTTTATGGATGAGGATATAGTCAACCTTGGTGAATGTTTCACGAGCACTAGAAAAGAATATGTATCCTCTGTATATCTTATTGTTGAGTGAAGTATTCTATAAATGCCAATTAGATCCAGTTGGTTTACAGTGTTGTTCAGTTCTTCTATGTCCTTGCTAATTTTCTGTGAACTAATTCTATCAATAACTAAGACAGGAGTGTCAAAGTCCTCACCTATAACTGTGGATTTGTCTACTTGTCCTTTTGGTTCTATCACTTTTTTCTTCATGTATTTTGAGCCTCTATTCTCAGATGCATACACACGTAGAATTATTTTGTCTTTCTGGTAAACTGACTCTTTTATCAGTATGTAATGTCTTCCTTTATCTCTGTAATTTTCCTTGAAGTCCACTGTATCTGATATATTAATAAATACACCCCACCTTTCTTTTGAATTGAGCAAGCTTGCTAAACTCTTAATAATTCTAATTATTCATTTGCAGTAATTTTTTAGTTTACATAAACAATCATATCTGAAAATAATGACAGCTTAAAGCTCCTTTCCAATTTTCATCCTTTTTATCATATTTAAGATTTATGACTTTCCCTACCCTAATATAATTCCTCATCATATTCCACTCAAATTAATTTAAGTGTCCACTGATTTTGTCCTAAAAGCTTGTGTGGCAGTTTTAGCAGGGGTGTGTATGGTTAGTTTTATACCTTCTCAACTGGAGAAGGTCACCTTCTTTGCTCAAGTTTATAGCTTCAAGATGAATAAAAGAAGAGTGCTGAGGAGCAGAGAAAACCATTTCTCACCACCCAAATATGCCTAAAAACCAAGAGGCTCAAACAGATCTGCCTTCTACTTGACATTTTCTTTGTTGGCTTCCTTCATGGCAGGCTCCCCTTTTTCAATCCACCCTGCATACTGCAACTAAGGTACTGTTCCAAATCAACCATGCCTATAATCTCACTTCCCCTTTCAACTGCGTTCAGTAACTCCCACTGCCTCACAGACCATATCTCAACTACTGTGCTCAGCTTCCACAGCCCCACTAAAAGCCCAGTCTCCCCAGCATTTGACCTTCCACCAACCTCCACAATACCCACTTCCTTCTAAATAGTTCCATCTGTCCAGTGACTGTGAAACACAACATCTATTCCCAACTCTCTGTACTTGGTTCTCTTCCTACAGACTGCCTGCTCATCTCCTTATTTAACTCTGAACTATTCTTAACGGCTCACTTTCAAGTTCCACCTCCCCCATGAAGCTTCTCAAGCAATAAAAGGAGAGGAAAGAGAGTTTTCAATTCTTGTCATGTTGTTGGTATCTGACCTATGTACATACCACCCAACGGCCAATTTGGGACCTGGGCAGTTCCTGGATTCCACTAGGTTCTAGTCTGCCACTTACTTGCTTTGATTTGGAGCCAATTTCTTATCTTCTCCTGACTGGTATACTCTCCTGTAAAATGGAGTCATGGGGGCTCTAATTTCATAATAGTTTAAAAATCTATCATTTTCCTCAGGGATCATAACATTCTCCCACTCAAAATCCTTTCTGATCTTTTAGTCTTTACCTCTTTGTTATGTGCTATATTCTATTATTCACGCTTCCAGCCTTTTCTACCCCACCAAGGCTATTTCTGTATTTCTCCTAGTATTGAACACAATACACTTTTATTGGCTATGTGGGGAAACTGCTTATTTCCCTCACAGAATAAGTGCGAGGCGGAATGTTTGCAAGGAAATACAGTAGACAGCCGTGTATGAGATTGTACATTCTAAATGCCTACAGGATAACCTTTAGGGGAACCCTGCTTCTCCTCCCTCTTCTATTTTGTTCTACAAAATCCCAGGAGACTCTGGAGAATCAGGAAAGCCAGGACAAGAATCTTTTAAAAAAAAAAAATCAAAAGAACAACCTGCAGCAGAGTCCTTTTGTCCTCACTTCTCTAAAGCCAGGAGAGAGGAGAAGTAAAAGCAGGTGGTGGGGGAGGTTCAAGGAAAATCAAACCAGGGTTTCTAATGCCCTGGGTAGGGGTGGGAGAAGGTGAGGAGAGTCGGGAAGAAAACTGAACAGTTTCCTCACAACAATCTGACCCTATCAGTCAACCATGATTCAGCAATATTTACCACTTTAAGATGTGTGAAAAGTAAAGGAGGGTTTTTGCTTTTTTGGGGGTTTTTTGGGGTTTTTTTCAGAAAGATAAATCAAAAGTAAAAATAAGGAGGGAGCAGGAGATAAGAAGGAAGAGAGGAAAACAAGAGGAGTACACCCAGTGGAGGAGTGTGCCAGGTAGACGTGAAAAATTAAAACCACTAACAGCATTTGCTATATGTAATATGAGGGTGCAATATAGGTATGCTTGCATATATGCATATAAACATATATTCCCATCAATATATGAACTTGCTTGTCTTTCACGGTGGCCTCTATTCAAGTAAAGAATTAATCTATATCTGCTCCGGGTACAGAAAAGTTACACAAACAAGCTTGGGGCCAGATGCGGTGGCTCACCCATGTAATCCCAGCACTTCGGGAGGCCGAGGCGGGCAGATCACCTGAGGTCAGGAGTTCGAGACCAGCCTGGCCAACATGGTGAAACCCCGTCTCTACTAAAAATACAAAAATTAGCCGGGTGTGGTGGCAGGCGCCTGTAATCCCAGCTACTCGGGAGGCTGAGGCAGGAGAATTGCTTGAACTCAGGAGGCGGAGGGTGCAGTGAGCCGAGATCACGCCACTGCACTCCAGCCTGGGTGAAAGTGCAAGACTCCATCTCAAAAAAAAAAAAAAAAAAAAAAACACCAGTTTGGGAGGTGGCTGCACAGTAACAGGGAAGGGTGTGTGACCTGGCAGGCCCCCCACCACCCAAGGAGAGTGTATCAGAGTCTGAAAAACCCCAAAGAGAAGAGCATACACATTTCAGGCTTATCAAAAAGGGAGATGAATTAAGAAAGCCTGATAAACACCGCTGTAGACAATTAAGCTTTTGGTCAGCACTAAGAAGATAAAACATAATCGATAACCCCGAAGGAAAGGAAGAGATTGCCCTTCTGAATATTTAGATGAAATCTCGAAATATAACACCAAGAAGGTGAGGTCGAAGGGGGCAATGAGTCACGACGGCAGACAGTTGGACTACGTGTGTCCCAGTTCCACACTGGTACTCACCGTGAGCCAGGAGAAATGCCAGCCTGCAGCAGCCTGGGAATAATTTGCCCACATGGTTATATGTGATGTGGGGTGCAATATATGTATCCTTGTATATATGCACATAAACATGCCTCCCACCACCCAAGGAGAGTGTATCAGAATCTGAAAGATACACTCTCTTTGTGTGGTGGGGGACGTGCCAAGTCACACATCCATTCCTGTTACTGAGCATCCATCTCTCAAGCTGGTTTTTTGTAACTTTTCTGTACCTGGAGCAGATACAGATTAATTCTTTACTTGAATAGAAGTCACAGTGAAAGACAAGGAAGCTCATATGCAGATAGAAATGTATGTATTTGTATGCATATATATGCATGTTTATGTGCATACAGACAAGCATACATATATTGCACCCTACATTACATATAACAAACACTGTTAGTGGTTTTAACTTTTCATGTCTATCTGGCACACTCCTCCACTGAGGTACTCCTCTTGTTTTTCTCTCTTCCTTCTTATCTCCTGCTGTCTCCTTATTTTTACTTTTGATTTGCTCTTTATCTTTCTAAAAAAAAAAAACAAAAAACCTCCTTTAACTTTTCACATATCTTAAAGTGTAAATATTCTTGAATCGTGGTTGACTGATAGGGTCAGACTGTTGTGAGAAAACCGTTCAATTTCCTTCCCGACTCTCCTCACCCTCTTCCACTCCCACCCAGGGCAGGAGATTAGAAACAGAACATGCAAAGCAAATTCAAAACATAAAACATAGCGTGGGCAGGACGGTGCAAAGCAGCTCTAAGGAGACTGGCCTGACTGCAGCATTGGCCAACAGTGAGAAGTAATGGAGCTGAGTAAACCAAGGTCCAATTACTCCAAGGCCCTTGCATGTGTGCATGGGACCTGCCATTGCTGAGTGGGTGGATCAATAAAGGCAATACTCCAGATAAGTAGAGACTTTTATAGAACACCATATGACTGTGATTTTTTAAGTTGTTAAGGGAAATAAGGTATTTCAAAATGCCAAAGTAAGGTCAGTTCAAAGAGTAGCTTGTTTAAAAAAAGAGTTGAAAGTAGCTCATGCATTCAGTAAGAAATGCAGTCTGCTTCTCTTCCCTGTTCCCCAGTTGAGAAGCACTGTTCACAACTTTTTATATTCTTCCAGAGATCTTCTATGCACTTGTGAGCATGTTAACCACGTGTGTTTGTGAACCTATTTATCCACCATACAGAAATTATTTCTCTTTACAGAAATTAGGTCAAATACATATAACATGTTGAGCATCTTGCTCTGTTCCCCTGTCAGCGTGTCTTGGAGGTGGCTGCATATTGCTGCATTTGGATCTGATTCAGGTAAAATTCATCTATAGATGTCTCACAATCTATTTAATGCGTTAGTAATGTTTCGAGGAGTAAATTCTATACACATCTAGATCCAGGTCTTAGATTTGCATGTCCCCTTTGCTTTAGTGTACTTTGCTAGCTTAAATCTTCCCTTGTATTTTTCCCTCATCTCCATCTGTCGAAATCCCATGCGTCCTTCCGAAGTCCAACCGAAATCACCTTTTGTTCCTTGAATTCTGGCTGATTACTCAAGCCATACGTGATATTTCTGGCCTCCCAATTATTCTAGCATCTCATACTATCTTAGGGCATAAGTAAAAACCAGCCTCAAATATCAGCAGTGTGTTTATAAATCTTATTTTTCCTACTGGAATATAAGCCCCTCGAGGGTAAGATTATTAGACTTACTCATGTTTGTTTGCCTCATGTTCCCCACCCCTGACCTTGGCACAAAGCAGGCAGAAAAAAATACTCTTTGTTGAATGAGAAATGTGTGCTTCGTGGGCCCTGTGGGTTCAATTGTGTCCCCCAGAAGTTATGGTGTCCTGACCACAGGAACCTGAGAATGTGAATACAGTTGGAAACAGCATTGTTATCACAGATATAATTAGTTAAGAGAAGGTTGTAGTGGAAGTAGGGTAGACCCTTAATCCAATATATGCCCTTTTAAGAGGAGGAGAAGGGACGCAGAGATACAGAGGGAGAACACGCATGATGACAGGGGCAGATACTGGAGGAATGTGCCTATAAGCCAAACAAAACTAAGGATTGCTGCTGACACCGGAAACTAAAAGAAAGGTATGCCTGTTCCAATACTGTTCTCTGACATCAACTGGGTGTCCTAAAATTCAACTCAATGCTGACACTAATTACCTAGACTTAATACAGACCCAACAAGGAAAGAATATTTCACAAAACTGCCCCATTTCAGACGTATATACAGTTGGCCTTTGAACAACACAGGCTGGAACTGTGCAGGTCCACTTATACACAGACTTTTTCCAATAAAAGTTACACCAAATATGCCTGCCTGTCCTGCCTCCTCTTCCACCTCCACACCTCTTCTGCCTCTGCCACCCTTGAGACAGCAAGACCAACCCATCCTCTTCCTTCTCCCTCTCAGCCTACTCAATGTGAAGACCAGGATGAAGACCTTAACGATGATCCACTTCCACTTAGTGAATGGTAAATACATTTTCTCTTTCTTACGATTTTTTTTTTTTTTTTTGAGAAGGAGTCTCACTCTGTCACCCAGGCTGGAGTGCAGTGGTGCGATCTCGGCTCACTGCAAGCTCCGCCTCCCAGGCTCACACCATTCTCCTGCCTCAGCCTCCCAAGTAGCTGGGACTACAGGCGCCCGCCACCACGCCTGGCTAATTTTTTTGTATTTTTAGTAGAGATGGGGTTTCACCGTGTTAGCCAGGATGGTCTCGATCTCCTGACCTCGTGATCCGCCCGTCTCAGCCTCCTAAAGTGCTGGGATTACAGGCTTGAGCCACCGCACCCGGCCATGATTTTCTTAATCACATTTTCTTTCCTCTAGATTACTTTATTGTAAAAATACAGTATATAATACATACAATATATAAAATATGTGCTAACTGATTGTTTGTGTTATGGTAACACTTCCAGTCAACCGGAGGCTATTGGTAGTTAAGTTTTGGGGTGGTCAAAAGTTACACCTGGATTTTCGACTGCACAAGGGGTTGGTCTCCCTAAATCCCTCCTTGTTCAAGGGTCAACTGTATATGATACAAGTGAGAAACAACCAAGTGAAAGAGATACATAGACAGGGAAAGGTCTGGGGTGGAGAGCAGGGGATTCCTCGTGGAATTGCAGGTGCATCACCCTCCTAGCACATCAATGTGCTCTCACCAACTGGAAAGCCCTACTGAGCTTCAATGTCCAGAGATCTCATCCCATATGCATGATTGATTAAGTCAGTGGCCACAGGACTGAGCTCGATCTCCACTTCTCCCCTCCCCAGAAGTTGGGGTGACTCAAAGTTCTAACCCATTTGTCACATGGTTGTCCTTTCTGGTGACCAGCCCTCATCCTCAAGCTTTCTATCGCCCCATTATGAGTCACCATATTAGCATAATAAAGAGACTCCTATCACTGAAGATATTCCAAAGATGTTTGAAGCTTTGTGCCAGAAACTGGGAACCAAGATAAGATATTCCTTATCCTAAACCAGCATGGAAGAGATTCTCCCCTAGATTCTTCAGAGAGCACAGCCTTGGTGACACCTTGATTTCAAACTTATATCCTGCAGAACTGTGCAAGAATAAACTTCTGTTTGTTTTAAGCCACCCAGTTTGTGGTGATTTGTTATGGCAGCTCTGGGAAACTAACACAGTGGGTCAAACAAGGATTTCCCTTATGGGTGACACTCTAAGCTAAATGGGAGCTACCAGTATTTTCCCTTTACTTCCACAACATCTAGTACTTTCTAATGCCCCACAGGCCATTCCTCAGCCCTCCTCTCTGCTCAGCACTGCCCTGATTAAATGCTTCAGTTCCACCCCCCTGCTGATGATTCCTCACCACCATCCCCTAGATCTCCCTCCCAGGCTCCAGCCCCTCATCCCACCTGCCTGTTGGGTTTCTCTCCTTGCATTTCTCACAGGCTCCTTCTCAGTGACTGGCACAAGCACCCTTTGCCCAAGCACCAACCCCAGCAGCAGCTTTATCTCCCACTGCTCCCGCAAGTTCCACCATGGCCTTTATCTCTGAAACCCTTCCATGGCTCCTTTCCTCATGGCCACAAATCTGATCTAGATGACCATTATCTCACTTTGACTGCGTAATTAGTCTCCTGGTTGAGTGTATCACATCCTACCTAGTCACTCTGGCACCAGTCTTCTCCCCTGATATGGTTTGGCTGTGTCCCCACCCAAATCTCATCTTGGATTGTAGCTCCCATAATTCCCAAGTGTCAAGGGAGAAACCTGATGGGAGGTAATTGAATCATGGGGCAGGTCTTTCCCATGTTGTTCTTGTCATAGTGAATAAGTTTCATGAGGTCTGAAGAAATTATTTTATAAAGGGGAGTTCCCTGCACAAGCTCTCTTGTCTGCTGCCGTGTAAGACACGCTTTTGCTTCTCCTTTACCTTCCACAATGATTGTGAGGCCTCCCCAGTCATGTGGAACTGTGAGTCAATTAAACCTCTTTCCTTTGGGTATGTCTTTATTAGCAGTGTGAGAACAGATTAATATAGTAAATTGGTACCGGGAGTGGGGCTCTGCTGTAAAGATACCTGAAAATGTGGAAGTGACTTTGGAACTGGGTAACAGGCAGAACTGGAACAGTCTGGAGGACTCAGAAGAGGACAGAAAGATGTGGGAAAGTTTGGAACTTCCTAGAGACTTGTTGAATGGCTTTGACCAAATGCTGTTCATCTCAGATGGAGATGAAGAACCTGTTGGGAACTGGAATAAAGGTGACTCGTGCTGTGTTTTAGCAAAGAGACTCATAGCATTTTGCCCCTGCCCTAGAGATCTGTGAAACTTTAAACTTGATAGAGATGATTTAGTGCATCTGACAGAATAAATTTCTAAGCAGCAAAGCATTCAAGAGGTAACCTGGGTGCTGTTAAAAGCATTCAGTTTTATGTATTCACAAAGACATGGTTTGGAATTGAAACTTACGTTTAAAAGAGAAGCAGAGCATAAAAGTTCAGAAAATTTGCAGCCTCATGATGCAAGAGAAAAGAAAAACACATCTTCTGAGGAGAAATTCAAGCTGCCTGCAGAAATTAGCATAAGTAACGAGGAGCCAAATCTTAATCACCAAGACAATGGAGAAAATGTCCCCAGGGCATATCAGAGGTCTTCATGACAGTCCCTCCTATCATGGGCATGGAAGCCTAGGAGGAAAAAATGATTTTGTGAGGCAGACTCAGGTTCGTACTCCTTTGCGCAGTCTCAGGACTTGGTTCCCTGCATCCCAGCCATGGCTAAAAGAGACCAATGTACAGCTTGGGCTGTGACTTCAGAGGATGCAAGCCCTATGCCTTGGCAGCCTCCACATGGTATTGAGCCCGTGGGTGCACAGAAGTCAAGAACTGACGTTTGAAAACCTCCTCCTAGATTTCAGAGGATGTATGGAAATGCTTGGATGTCCAGGCAGAAGTCTGCTGCAGTGACAGGGCATTCACAGAGAACCTCTGCTAGGGCAGTATGGAAGGGAAATGTGGGGTTCGAGCCCCACACAGAGTGCCCACTGGGGCACTGTCTAGTGGATCTGTGAGAAGAGGGCCACCGTCATCCAGAACCCAGAATGGAAGATCCACTGACCGCTTGTACCATGCGTCTGGAAAAGCTGCACTCAATGCTAGCCCATGAAAGCAGCCAGAAGTGGGACTGTAGCCTGCAAATCCACAAGGGCGGAGCTGCCCCAGGTTGTGGGAGCCCACCTGTTGCATCAGTGTCCCCTGAATGTGAGACATGGAGTCAAAGGAAATCATTTTGGAACTTTAAGGTTTAATAACTGCCCTACTGGATTTCAGACTTGCATGAGGCCTGTAGCCTTTTTGTCTTGGTCAATTTCTCCCATTTGGAATGGGTGTATTTACCCAATGCCTGTATCCACATTGTAACCATTGTATCTGGGAAGTAACTAACTTGATTTTGGTTTTACAGGCTCATAGGCAGAAGAGACTTGCCTTGTCTCAGATGAGACTTTAGACTGTGGACTTCTGAGTTAATGCTGAAATGAGTTAAGACTTTGGGGGACTGTTGGGAAGGCATGGTTGGTTTTGAAATGTGAGGACATGAGATTTGGGAGGGGTCAGGGGTGGAATAATATGGCTTGGCTGTGTCCCCACCCAAATCTCATCTTGAATTGTAGCTCCCATAATTCTCACATGTTGCGAGAGGGACCCAGTGTAGCAGGTAACTGAATTATGGGGATGGGTCTTTCCCATGCTGTGCTTGTGATAGTGACTAAGTCTCACAAGATCTGATAGTTTTATAAAGAGGAATTCCCCTATACGTACTCCCTTGCCTGCCACCATGTAAGACATGCCTTTGCTTCTCCTTTGCCTTCCGCCATGATTGTGAGGCCTCCCCAGCCATGTGGAACTGTGAGTCAATTAAATCTCTTTCCTTTATAAATTATCCAGTCTTGGGTGTGTGTTTAGTAACAGTGTGAGAACAGACAAATACATCCTCTACATCTGGTTCTCCCCTCTGGATGCTGGGTGATCACCTTAAAACCCAAGCCTGACCTTGCTATTCCCATTTAAAATAATAACAATGGCAATTCACAGTCACTGAGGACTTACTCTGTCCCAGGAACTATTCCTCAGCCCTCCTCTCTGCTCAGCACTGCTCCGATTCAATGCTTCAATTCCACTTTATGTGTATTAATGCACATAAGTGTCAATAAAATTAATTAGGAGGCCATTAGGCTGAGACGACATGGTTCCTGTGCCTTGGGTTCCTATGTAAGCAAACTGAAACTCAACCCAATATAAGCTGCAAAATGAAACTTAAGCTCAACCAATCTGAAATCACCAACAAATCTCTAACTAGAGACTACTTTACCAAGCAAGAAACAGAAACTTACCTCTAACCAGACTTTCCACTTCAATCAATCAAATATTTTTTGTTTTGCTTCCACGACACCTTATAAAAGTTTCCCTCTTACCCCCTATCAACAGAGCCCTGAACCACTGGTGGTCTGGTGCTGCCCAATTCATGAATCCCTAAATGCTCAAATAAAGTCATGAAAATGTAAATGTGTCTAAGTTTATCTTTGAACATAAGATAGATTTATTGCTATCTGCATTTTGCAGATAAGAAAATTGAGGCTGACAAAACCTAAATGGGCTTGTCCATGGTTTTACAACTAGCAAGTGATAGAGCCAAAATATGCACCTATGGGAATCTGACATCAGAATCCATGCTCATAACCAAAAACTATGGGGAGATGTCAAGTGGCCACTCAGTAATTTACCATTGGTTCTCAGATGGAATCCAAATCTGCACAACCATGTCTTATAAGTAGGGTGACCATACAATTCACCCAGGTTTTCACTTGCTGTCCCCAGCATTATTAATTACATGATCACTCTCAGAAATGGCCCCAGTTTGTATAATACATTAGATGGTCATCCTATTTGCAAGCCTCACCCCAACTCCCAATGATATTCCCAACATGAAGAATTTATTTTACTTTCTTAAAAGAGACATACTCTATATCCCTTGGCAATCACACCTGCCATTCCCACTTTCCTTAGCCTGCTAACATGCTTTCCCCTTCAGGTCTCAGTTCTAGGACTTTCTTCCAAGCCCCCACTACAACCAAACTCAACTATTTTCTCATCACGCCATGAGCACCTCATTTACCATCAAAGATACCACCTCAATTGTAAAGGCGTATATAATTGCTTTCTAACCACCCTCATACTTCTAGCAGAGGACTTAGAACACAGCAGATATAGTGTACGCCAGATTTCCCTTCAGGAATAAAGGACTTATACCCCCTCTGCTAGGTAGAAATGCTGTCAGATGGCCACCCTTGGTCATCTGTCCGTTGCCACTGCCTCTGCTGAAGGTCACACCACCTTTCAAGGGAAGCCCACATGCAATGGCTAATCAATGAAGAGGTGAAAAGGCTCAGTTCCCCTCTTCCCAACTCAGAATAACTCTGAACTCACCCCTAACATGGAACCAGCTGAAGCCTTTGTGGAGACTGCATCACAGCTCAACTCCCTCTGCCTAGTCCTGCTTCTTTTCACTCCCTTCCACAGGTACTGATGCTAAGAGCACTCCCTAGTAAACATGCTGCATGCTATTCTCAGTATCCGCTTTGCAGAGACCCAAGCTATGCCAGTTAAGTGGTCGGTAAATATCTGTTTAACGAAGGACCATCTGTACTCAATAAGCTGCCATGTCTTACATACTCCTCTTAGCATATATGACTATGCAATTCATAGGTATGGCTTGAGAATGCTTTGGAGATAAAGACAATACACTAGGAACTACTAATAATTCTAACGCCAAAGTCAGATTCTTGTTAGTACAGAAAAATCTTGGAGATTATGAAGGCATGAATATAAGCCAACAGACACATATTTAGCATGGAAAAAACTCAATTTAGGGGCCATAAAAATATCTATCTTTGAGACTTTTTAGAGGAGCACATACAGTGTCTTCTTCACACTCTTGATAAAGACCTGCTTATGCTATTTGCAAAGCACTGTGGACACCAGTCAGGACACAGAGATGAAGAAACCCCAATCCCTGCAAAGACACACAGCTTCTAGTAGAGTCAGGAAAACAGAACCAACAGCAACTAAAAATCAAGGCAGGAAAAAATAAGTGGTGTGAGAAAATGAGCAGAGTGCTGTGGAAGCACCAAGAAAGAAACAGTGCTTCCCCCTTCAGGTCTCAGTTCTAGGATCCTCTTCCAACCCCCCACTACAGCCAAACTCAATTATATTCTCATCATGCCATGAACACCTCATCTACCATCAAAGATACCACCTCTATTTCAGTGGCATATTTAATTGCTTTCTAACCACCCTCATACTTCTAGCAGAGAACTTAGAACATAGCAGATATAGTGGACACCAGATTCCCATTCAAGAATGATGGAGGAAGCTAGGAAGGGGGGATGTCTGAATTGCACTCTAGGAATGAATTTGACAAACAGTTCTTGAGTCTATTCTATGTCTACATTCCAGACACTGTGCTAGGGATTTATAGATTAGTACCAGAGACAGATGTGTGCAGAAGTATAACTAGAATACAATACACCAAGTTTTATACCTCAGTGTGAACCAGCACTCTTGAATCTGAAAGAACAGTTTCGATAAATGGAAAGGAGAGGCAATAGCTTAATCAAAGGTCAAAGTGTTGAATGCTAAAGGGGAATACTTGAACTTCATTGAAGAACAATCTCCATGACACATCCTACAAACTCTAGTTTGAAGAATGGGTATCCCATGAAAAACAGTATTCACACTCAAAATGCTGGCTTAAACCAAGTCACAGTGGATAGTGTTGGCTGTTTACTTGAATACTTTCCTCCTCCTTCCTTCCCATGAAAACTCTGATTTGCCCAGGTACCCATCCCTTCGCCATGAAGGTCTCCTGACTTAGGCGAGGCTATCCCCACGTCCAACTCCAGATGGGGTCTTGATGGATCTAAGCCAGTCATCATAATCCTACTTTCTGGCTTCAAAGACAGAAGCATGGGCACCATCAGCCCTCTGCAACCCCTCCCTCCAGCATGTGTTAATGGTCAATAGTAAACGTGTGAAATAAATTGGCCTAGACTAGAGGAAAGCGCTCTTATTCCATGATCAGGACCACTTGGGCTGCTTCTTTGTCTCCTCTTTGGTTTGTGAACGTGGAGGCAAATCACCCTAATTGCTGCAAACACCTGTATTTTGACAGGGAAACAAGCCAAGACACAGATGAAGGCAAAGCGAAGAAAAATGGAGAGAAAGACAGCAAGTGACTTAATCACAAGACACCTGGACTCCTCCTACCTTTGGATGCCCTATCATCCTGGAATAAAAGTTCCCTTATTGTTTAAGCCACTCTGAATTATGACATCTGTTATTATAACCGAAAGCAATCCAAGAGATACAAATGATCACGAGTTTTCTTAACTGCAGAACTTCTTAGAGCCGTAAATACAAATATAGATTGTAAATTTCTAAGATAAATTTATAGTATGCAGTATTTCCAACAGTGCTAGGATTTTTTTCCCCACAGAACAAAACTTGAAAAAAAGGAAAATTACATTCTTCAGTCCATGTATTCAAAAATATGGTCTGGGCTGTGTTGCGGGAAGTCAGAGGAAGAAGAGGCTAAGGGCAAGAATACAAAGAAAGGAGTCCCTGCAAAAGTCGAGGCTAGAGAAGCAGACTATAATTAAGATACAGAAATTTAAAAAGCAAGAGGCCTAGATGGGTGGATCATTTGAGCCCAGGAAGTTGAGCATACAGTGAGCTACGACCCACGCCACTGCACTCCAGCCTGGGCAACAGAGTAAGACACTGTCTCTTAAATCAAGTTTAAATAAATTAAAAAGGAGAAACAGATAAAATATAATTCAGGGATGGATTCATAGGAGCCAACTGGATAGGTAAGAGATAAAAATGGACTTCTCTGGGGCTAGGCATGGTGGCTCACGCCTGCAATTCCAGCATTTAGGGAGGCAGAGGCAGGCAGATCGCTTGAGGTCAAGAGTTCAAGACCAGTCTGGCCAACACAGTGAAACCCCATCTCTAGTAAAAATACAAAAATTGGCTGGGCGCGGTAGCTCACGCTTGTAATCCCAGCACTTTGGGAGGCCGAGGCGGGTGGATCACCTGAGGTCAGGAGTTCGAGACCAGCCTGGCCAACACAGTGAAATCCTGTCTCTACTAAAAATACAAAAATACAGGCGCCTGGTGGTGGGCGCCTGTAATCCCAGCTACTCGGGAGGCTGAGGCAGGAGAATTGCTTGAACCCAGGAGGCAGAGGTTGCAGTGAGCCAAGATCGCGCCACTGTACTTCAGCCTGGGTGACAGAGCTAGACTCTGCCTCAAAAAAAAAAAAAAAAAAAAATATATATATATATATATATATATATATATATATATATATATAAATTAGCCAGGTATGGTGGTACATGCCAGTAGTCCCAACTATTTAGGATGCTAAGGCACAAGAATCACTTGAACCCGGGAGGCGGAGGTTGCAGTGGACCGAGCTCACGCCACTGCACTCCAGCCTGGGCGACAGAGGGAGACTTCGTATCAAAAAAAAAAAAAAAAAAAAAAAGAAATAAAAAAGAATGGACTACTTTGAATGCCAGGAAACACACTAAATCAGTAAGTAGAACCCTGGCAAATCGATCAAGGTGGGGTCTTTGATGTCACTGATTAAAGAGCCTGGTCAACAACTGGGTATGTTAAACAGCATCATCCCTTCCCTGTCCTCGGGCCAAGAGTCTGATTTTCCTTTTGCACTCTGCCTCTCCTCACTGCTGTCATTGTAGACTGTCAATCGAAAGAATTCCTATTCTCCCCCTGTTTCCAAGTGAAGATCGGACTTAACGAACTAGACTGTCATATGTGAATCACCTGAGTGACCCAATGACAGAAAAGAATTTTGAAGCAACTCCTTTGCCAGTGGCCTCTGACGACACTGTCCTTTGCCCTGCAGCAGGGACACTCTGTGGTCACTCCCAGGCCGCACTGTCCAGCTCTTCCCTTTGATTTTTCAACCATCCCCACCCTTCCCAAAACTCCTTTTTTGCTAAAATTAGCTAGAGTCTATTTCTGCTGCTGCATCCAGAGAACCCTAACTGATTATGGGGGAACCAGCAAATTTCAGCTATGTGTCATACAGACCAAGTCTCAAAATGTTATGTCTTTAAAATTAGTAGCAATGGCCTAAAAGGCTA
The DNA here is from genome assembly GCF_000001405.40 of Homo sapiens. Classification (NCBI taxonomy): domain Eukaryota; kingdom Metazoa; phylum Chordata; class Mammalia; order Primates; family Hominidae; genus Homo; species Homo sapiens. The sequence goes on along the minus strand of NC_000017.11, from coordinate 12,802,128 downwards.
TTAGCATATCATTTTCCAATGGCAGACTAGTTTATCCTAGAAAATGAGATCTGACATCACGTCCCTTCCAGAACATTAAAGATAAGAGATTTCTCACATTTAAAACCAGGAGTCAAGGCAACTGGAAACATATTTGTACTTAGACTTTTTAGGGCCCCAAAGTTAAAATAAAATACCATTCTAAGAAATTCTGACTACAGTTGTCTACTTTGAGCCCTGGAAGCTTTTTTTTTCTCTCTCTCTTCAATAAAATACACGTTTATTTTAAGAAATTTGGAAGTTAAAAAAAAGCATAAGCAGCAGAAATCAAATCACTCATAATCCTGCCCAGAGATAACATTTTATGCTTAATCTTCTAGTCTTTCCTGATTTCCTTCCAGACTTTTCTATGCATTTTTTAAAATACTGTACAATCTTAACCCTGTATGCACTCATATATCCTGTTCCCTATCATAAACATGTCTCTCGGCCCTTAGACATTTTTTGAATGTCATAAAAACACTAATAGTTACAATTGTGCAAATGTACCAGAATTTACTTAATCATTCCATTAATATTAGACATTTCATTGTTTATGCTTCTTTCCCTACTGCAGAGTCATTAAAGTACAGTGATGAAAAATATCAATGTCAGAGCCAGCATTTCTGGAAGCAAATCTCAAACCACTTCCCTCACCAGCTATGCAACCAGCAGCAACAAGGCACTCACCTGCTCTGAGACTTGTGTAGAAAATGGGGGAGACACCAGAACCTACTCTTAAGAGTTGTTGGGAGGATAAAACAGGAAGGTCTGTGCCGTTACTGCACAAGTGTCCGTCAGAGGACACACTTAAACAGCATCTAGGAAAACCAAGCCAGTGTGCACACACATCTGCAAAGGCAACAGTGTGCATGAGATTCCTAGTGCTAAAAGCTCTGTCCACTTTTCATATTCCTTTCTCAGACTCTATGTTTTCAGGTCCTTGTTTGGTTAATGTGTTACATAGGAGTCTGTAGAGGCTTTTGCAGATAAACTGCTGTCTCTCAGCATAGAGCTACAAAGAACTTTCTCTTACCTTTTCTGCTGAAATTGCAATAAAAAAAACAAAGTGAAAGAATCTTCTATTGGCAGAAATTTCACTTTATGCTCCTTGTGGTTAAGGGTACATACAAGACACTCAATTATCTTAAATGAACGTGACATTTTTATTTTTATTCAAGTCAGGAGCAGTTAATTAGCATTTCTAAAACCACCTAAACTGAAGTAACTTTGAGGGACTCTGAGGCAGCAGAAATAACAAGATTAGGGGGAGAGAAGCAGGAGAGGCATTTGCCTACGACTGACCTACTTAGGCCCTGGTTCAAATCTGGCTCTGCCGCTTTTAGCCTCTATTTCCCCATCTGTGAAATGGGGCTGTAAATAGCCCCATTCACAGAGACGTTGCAATGAGTGAATTAAAATAATGCTTATAAACTACATAGCCTAGTTCCTGACAACAGATGACACAGATGTGGCTTCTGTGGCTCTATGACTTTTGGCCGGTATCAGGATTGCCTTCTACTTTGAGAGTAGAAGTGGCACGCGTCACTTCCAGAATATTCAGAGCCAGGATATAACTTCTCACATCCTCATTTACTGCCTCTGCCATCACTGCACCATGTGTGGAACCGAGCCCACTGCAGCCTGGGTCTCAGAAGAGCTGCCTCCAACCCTCCACTGGCCAGTGCTATAAGCAGCTGAGACTTGGGGGCTTTTGTTACAGCTGCTTAACCTAGACTTAAATTGAGTGATACAATAACTATTAGTCACCATGGGGATTCAATGAGTGAAGCCATTACAATTACTGATACCTCAAGGTGCTGCCTTCAGGCATGCTCTTGGCTAAATACAGAAAAACTGGGCTTGATTTGGGAAAAGGAGACAAATGGGTATCAATTTCAAGTTGTAATTTTCAGGTAACGAGGAATATAAATAACAAAATAAATGCTTCATGTCAAAGACACTTTCAGCACGGCAAGGAATATTGGTAATAACTGTCATTTATTGAGTGCTTATTACAACCAGGGGTTATTCTAAGGATATGATATTTACTATCTTACTTAACCTTGACAATAACCCCATAAAGTAGGTGCCATTCCAGTACAGTAGGATAGTTTCTGTTCTCTTCATTATTCCTCTCCCTATTGTAGAAAGGGCTCAAAACAAAAAATTAATTTTCTCTGGCCGGGCATGGTGGCTCACACCTGTAATCCTAGCACTTTGGGAGGCCAAGGCAGATGGATCTCCTGAGGTCAGGAGTTCCAGACCAGCCTGGCCAACATGGTGAACTCTGTCTTTACTAAAAATACAAAAATTAGCCTGGTGTGGTGGCAGCTGCCTGTAATCTCAGCTACTCAGGAGGCTGAGGCAGAAGAATCACTTGAACCCGGGAGGCAGAGTTTGCAGTGAGCATACCTGAACGTCGGAGGGTAGGGCGGGGCAGAGAAGACTGTAGATTCAAAAGACAGTCATGAGCAGTGGAAGCGGAGAGAAAGAAGACTGCTGGAGATTCAACAGGGGTGGAGGCTCCCTGTCTCCAGTCATATCCAGGGAACTAGTACTGGCCCATGAAAAGTGAACATAAGTGACGTTTGTGAATTCCAGGCCCAGGCATCTAAGAGCCAGTATACCACTTCTATTTTCTCTTTTACCTTTAGCACTGACTGAAAACCACATACTGAGATTTTGAGGTGGAGGGGAAGATGGATAGACTAGGTTCCAGAATCACACACGGAGGAGAGCTGTCCATGGGAGTCCTCCTGACTCACATCACATTCACATGAGCTTAAAGGAAGCTTTTGCTATGTTAAGCCCCTGAAATTCCAGAGCTCATGTGTTATCACAGCAGAGCTTAACCTATCCTAACACAACATGGAAGACTAAAGACCAGGAAAAGAACAAAGTAAACTCAGGGAAATCAGGAGGAAAGGATCTGAGAAAAGCAGAATTTACTAGAAAACATATGTGCTGATCAAAAGCTAATGAGAAAGAAATCCAAATGAAAATAGCTTAAATCTAATTACTGACCGGGGTAGGGAGAGACTTCCTCTGGGGCAAAACTTGTCAAAGGGAAAAACAGAATTGTAAATTAGGAATGACAATAGAAATACAATGATATACTCAAAAACTTTCTATTAAATTTTAAAATCATAGTATAATGAATGCTTTTCTATCAAATATGTTATTCAAACTGACTCAAGAAAAAATAGACAACATGAATAGTCCAATAACCATTCAAGAAATCCAGAAAACTGTCAAAGAACTACATCCAGAAAACACCCTTGGAAAGTTGTTTTTATCTTCAAAGAATGAGTACTTCTCCATCTTACCATTCTATAGGAACAAAAAGAACATTGAACAACTCATTTTACACAATTAACAAAACATGACAGATATGGGGGAAAAAAATCAAATGCTTTCATTTATGAATGTTGAATGCCAACATCCTAAATAACAAATTAAATCAAGCAGTATTGAAAAATATGAACACACCATAGTCAAGATTAACTGCAGGAAGGCAAGGAGAGCTCAATATTAGAAAATCTATTGAGGTTCAAACATCCAAAACACAAGCTCCTCATGGGTACTGACTCTATCATTGATGTATCAATGATGCCTGGAACATAAAAGTGTCCAATAAATATATACGGAATAAATTATTGAGTGATGTCAAAATCAAAGAAAAAAACACATTGTGATTATCTGCAAATGCCATGATAAATCAAATTTAACTTTGATGTCAAAGAAAACCTCAAAGTAAAATAAAATTATGCAATATGTAACATAATTAAAAAACAAAATATCTCAAACCAATCATCATGCATTTTAATTGAGGTTAATAAGACATGAATGCCCACATATTGCCATGATATTTTAACATTGTTCTATAAGTCCTAGACAATGCAATTAGGTGAGAAAATAAAACAAGTATAAACCACCAGAGAGGAAAATACAAAATTATTATTTGCAGAAGACCTAATTGTCTCCCTGGAAAATCCCACAGACTCAATTTTTTTAAAAAAAGTATTTAAAAATAATGAGATAGTTCATGAAGGCGGCTGTTAAGATAATTACATAAAAATCAACAACTTCGCTACATTCCAGCAACAAAGAGTAAGAAAAAATATATAATTTAATAAAAGATTCAAATCACTGAAGCTACAGTAACAACACTGACAAATTACCTATAAGTAAAAGCAAAATTGTACAGGAGCAAAATGGACAAAAACTACTTTATAGGATTATAAATAGATTGGAATAAACATGCCCTATTCCCAGATGAGAAGAATTCGCATTATACTCAATATTGTAAAAATGCCCATTTTTTTCCATCTTAATATACACTTTTAAAAAGTAATACTGAGAGACAATAAACAAATGAGCACAGTCAAGAAAACTGATCAACTTTCTTTCATAATGGAGCAATTTGGAGGTTAACTGTGGTTAAGACACAGCATGATCCTTAGGCAAAGGCTGTTGTGCTCTAAAGACCCAGGAATGGCCCGGGTTGAAGCTGAGCTGAGAAGTTCAGCCTGACTCCACTCCCACCCAATGGACGGGGTCTCATGATAAGGATTAACCCACCACTGCTTATCTGGGTAGCTGAGCCCGTCTTAAATTCCTGCCAGAACCAACAGACAATAAAAAACAAACTAGAAATCACAGAAAAAGATAAAAGTAGATGAAATTTTTTAGTACACAATGATGATGATACTTCAATATGGTGGGTATGAATTACACTAATCAATAGCAGGGTAATCAATTTTAAAAAGCGTAAGTATTATACCTAAGCCATGTCATACATCAAAATCAATGACTGACACACTAGAGATCTGAAGGTAAAATGAAATTATTATAAATAGTAATAAAAATGCATGCATATTTATATAATCTGCATCTGGGCAAAGTATCCCCAGACATAACACTGAAGAACAAACCACAAATAGATAGACTTAAGATCACAAAATGTTAAATTTATACACGGCCAAAAGAAAAAAGAGACATACAACAAAAATTTTTAAAACCTCTAGGGAGATGTGTGTGGCATATGACAAAGCATACATATGCTTAATATATTAAAAATTACCTTAACATCAATAAGAAAACAATTGTGAACATGACTTTAGAAAAATGGGGCAAAGACAAATGCAGGCAATTTAGAAAAGGCAACTAATGTCAAGAGAACTTTAAAAATGTTCAGCCTCAAGGCCAGGCGCAGTGGCTTACACCTGTAATCCCAGCACTTTGGGAGGCTGAGGCGGGCAGATCACGAGGTCAGGAGACCGAGACCATCCTGGCTAACACGGTGAAACCCTGTCTCCACTAAAAATTCAAAAAAAAAAAAAAATTAGCCAGGTGTGGTGGCAGGTGCCTGTAGTCCCAGCTACTTGGGAGGCTGAGGCAGGAGAATGGCATGAATCCGGGAGGCAGAGCTTGCAGTAAGCCGAGATCATGCCACCGCACTCCAGGCTGGGTGACAGAGTGAGACTCCATCTCAAAAAAAAAAAACAAAGAAAAGTTCAGCCTCACTAGAAAATAAAAGAGGTGGGGTCAGGTATGGTGTTGCACACCTGTAATCCCAGCACTTAGGGAGACTGAGGATGGAGGATCGCTTGAGCACAGAAGTTCAAGGCTGCAGTGAAAGTAGTGTGTATGTATGTGTGTATAATATACACATTCAAAGTCTTAAAAATTCACATATTCTTTGACCCAGCAATTACATTTCTAAGACTTCATCCTAAGAAGCTAAATTCATGAGAAATATTTGCTAAGTGAGTAGCAAAAGAAAATGAGTTAACTACAGTGGAATACTGTATAGCCTTCAAAAATTATGCTGGGGATTAACAGTTATTGACATGGGATCATATCCAAGATGTAATATAAAGGAAAAAAAAACAGGTTACAAAACAGTATACAGAGTATGGTCTGTACTCTTTTTAAAGAATAGATAGATAGATAGATAGATAGATAGATATACTTCTCAAAAACTGAAAGACTATATCCAAAATATTAACTATGGTCTCTGGGTAATGAGATTATAGGTGATTTTTTTTTCCTTTTAGCCCATCCATAAGTTTATGATTTTTCTACCATAAACAAATATTACTTATATAACCAAAATGAAGGTTAAAAAAAGTAAATTGAATTCTGTGGGAAAATAAACATTTATTCTAAAAATAAGCTCTAAAGTTGGAAAATGAAAGCAAAACATCTGCTTCCTGGACAGAAAGAAGAGTTTGAAATTGCTAGACAGCCACAAGCTTCCCAAAGGCGGTGGAGTTCCAGGTGCCAGCTCAATTGGATGCCCCACGCCCGAGGGAAGAGGCCTGACTCTCTGACTCTCCCCCCAACCTCCTGCCTGACCTACAACTACATCCACACAGATGTAGCATAATTTTATTATTTGCTGTCTTTATCAAATAGCATTTGAAATAAACTGCTTTTGATTATTAATAAAAGGGATACTTACTAATCCCCTCTAAAAGGAATGACCATAAATTACCAGTATATTTGTATGGCTACTGATCCACTTTCTCTAGAGAAAAAAAAAATGGTCCTTATTGCCCATCATTAAAAAAAAAAAATCATTGATAAATTACTTTGATGGAGACAAACTGGGAAGGAAAATGATTAATTGCTATTTAAGAGCATGGCTTCCTCACGATGACTTGCAGGTCTGGGATAACAGAATTCTGCAGGAAATCTAGACAGCTTCAGGCTGACTGCTGACAGCAGCTCAGCAGAAGGTGAAACCCAGCAGACCCACACAGTGAGGATCTTAGAAGATAAGAGCAAAGAATATTCTCTCCAGATTTGCTAACCCAGTAATCGGTGGGTTAGTACACTCTGTTATCTCTCACATATATACAGCAGAACAGGCAGTAAGGCCTGGGCTTCCATAAAACTCTAATGAAAAACTTTGCTCTGAGACCCATTCAATGTGCACAGCGCTCTTTGGGGGACGAGTTTGGGTCCGCCCAGCCCTGCTGGGCTAACAGGAAGCCCATGGCAGGGCCTGTGTTGGTCTGGCAGGTCTAACTCACAGTAAGGGAAATAGAAGGGAAGGAACAAAGCAGTCCAAAGCCAAATTTGGAATTGGTTCTGATTTTCCTCTAATGTCCTATTGATTGGGTCACGGCTCTTAGAAGGCCTACTACAAGGCAGGGCAATGTCTCAGAGATACCTTCAAGGAAAAGATCCTCACTGACTTTGGCAGCTTTGGCCCAGACAAAAATGTCTGCAGCACCAGTGCTCCTAGAGGCTGCTGCAGCCTCAGCCTCCAGTTCCCAGGCTCCCCACCACTGGCTAATGCCTAGGCCTCTGCAGCTGAATTCCAAGAGCTGCACAGCAGCAATGATACCTGCAAAGCTGTGCACCAGAAACCAAGCCTGCTTTGCAATGTATGCAAAGCAGTCAAGGAATAGAAAACAAGGCTCCAGAGACAAAACTTTGTCTTCACTCCCCAACTCATAGCCTCTAAATCCACACAATTCAACCCGACCCAACCAGCCTTCTCCTTCCCGCACACCCACAGTTCCTCACCTACTCCCAGACACTTTGAACATCACTCATTTTAAACAAGAGGACAAGCCCCACTTGGACCATCACTGGGCAGTAGCTGTTGAAATCGTTTCTAAGAATCCTTTTCTACTTAGGAGGCCAACATTATTTTTGGAAGACTTGAATGGGTGTTCAGTGACAACGAACCACCTCAACCATTTGTTGAGGACTTCAGTGGACCAGGCTCCCTCCAACCTCATGACAGCCCTCTGAGGATGGGGCCGCTGTGAACCCACTGTGCAGACTGGAAAAAAAAGTCCTCCCCACCAAATCAAGGTACCATTACTTCTTCCATTTGCTTTATCTTAGTGGGTCTCGTGGGTGCCAAATTTTAGCTCAGGGCTTTGCTCCACCCAACATCAAGCAAATGTCACTTCCAAGAAAAATACTCTATGCCTTTCGGTATGCTTCTCACTCCAGCAACTGCTAGACTCTCTTGAAGGTAAAAAGAAAAATGCTGCCATCAATCAGGCAAGAACCAAATTCTCCCGTAAATCTTGCTCTGCCCTTCCAATGCCCAGAAGTGCAGCTGTTCCTCTCTCCTCTGACCACCATCACAACGTTAAAGAAACATGGTATCAGGAGCTTTCCCCATCTTTGAACTACTTCAAAAGACTCCCCTATCTATAGCGCATGGATCTTTTGTTCACTTACTCATTCCATTGCCAAAGAATGACAGAGGACCTTCTATACAGGGCAGCGTTAGGGCAGCTGTCCCTGCCTCCAAAGAGTTTAAAGTCTAGTGGGGAAAGTAAATGACAAAAGATAAAAATTATAACACAAGTGAGCCATTATTACCATAGCATGCTTTTAGAATGCAGGTTCCTTTTTTTTTTTTTGTGTGAGATGGAGTCTCACTCTGTCGCCCAGGCTGGAGTACAGTGGTGCAAGCTTGGCTCACTGCAACCTCCACCTCCCGGGTTCAAGCGATTCTCCCGCCTCAGACTCCCCAGTAGCTGGGATTACAGGCGCCCGCCACCATGCCCAGCTAATTTTTGTATTTTTAGTAGAGACGGGGTTTCGCCATGTTGGCCAGGCTGGTCTCGAACTCCTGACCTCAGGTGATCCACCCTCCTTGGCCTCCCAAAGTGCTGGGACTACAGGCGTGAGCCACCACGCCCGGCCTAGAATGCAGGTTCCAGGCAAACAGGAATTTTGTTTGCCCTGTACTGCAATACTCCCTGAACCAGAGCAGTGTCTGGGACACAGTAGACATCTAATAAAGGTACATATGCCATAGTGCATATAATTCAATAACAGTCATAACATTTGCCCAGAGATACTTGTAGCTACCATTTATTAAGCATTTCCTAGTGCTGAGCACTGCTAGGTACTTTTCACAGGTTATCTATGTTATCACTGTGGTTACCACATTACCACAGTGCAATCCTTAACTACTCCCATTTTGCAAGTAAGAAAATTAATGTGCAGAGAATTAAGCTCTGGATTCCATAGTCAGCAACAAACTAAACCTGTCCCAGTGGAAAGCCTGTGCTCCTAACCATGAGGCACACAGTGGCCAGGGAGTGCTTCCCAAAGGACGGATTGAAGTGAAGGGACAGAAAGGGGAAAGTTCAAAGCAGAAGGAACACGTGCAGACTAAGGAAACAGACCAAGGAGGGGCTGAAACTTTTGTCAGTTAAATACAATGGGTTTTATCAAATCTTTTCATAGTCGCTGACGCCCTTAATATGACTTGGATGTGAGCACTTCGAGAGAAAGTACTAGTAACCCAGCAGAGTATGTTTAAGTAGGGCAACTCCTACATTGTTAAAATGACTTTAAGTTTTATATTCAGAACTCCAGAACCTGCAACTTAGGGAAGGCGAGCCATGAGGAAGGACTTTCAAGTCCTCTTAGTCCTCCCTCGGAAAGAGGAAAACTTTAGAAAAATATAAGGATAAAAATCAAGTGCTTTATAACTGCACACCTAAAGTCCAAATTCCAATCCTATGTGCTTCTACTGATTTAAGAAATTAACAGGCAACCGCGGGCTCTTTTACTCCAATACTCATAGGATCATGACCCAAAACATTCTCAATAATAGAGGAGATACTGCCCCTCTCGCTGACCCTCACGGACCCTGGGGTAAACCGTTTTAATCTCGGCAATCAACACCGATTGAGAGTCAGTAGTCTAAACGGCATTGCACTATCTACACAGGCATACAACAGCAATCAATAGATTCTGCTGGAAGCAGACAGACAAGAAAATAAAAAATAAAAGCGTTTCAATCAGTGATGAGTGCTGTCCAGAAATGAAAAAATGATGAGCTGGAGGTAAATAGGGGAGGAAGGGCCTCTTGAAGGCCTTGGAACCAAGACTGAAATGATGAGAAAAAGCTACTTGGAAGGAGCACATTCTCAGCCAAGCAAAAAACAAAAAAAATGGGAAAACAGTAAAAACGAAATCCTCAAGGTGGATATGAGCTCAGTGTGTTTGGGGCAAGAAAGGCCACACGGCTAGAGCTCCATGAATGTGAAGAGATGAGAATGGGGAGAAAAAGAGTTAAGAAAAAAGGCCAACCAAGGATGGTCCTGTAGAACCCTGGCAAGATATGAGATGCTAAGCACAATCAGATGTCGCTGGAAGCTTTTCAGCAGCAAGGTAACATGAACTGGTTTTTGCTTTAAAAGGCTTGCTCTGGATTTCATCAAAAGCGATACAGGCTGGCCCTCACCTGGCCCAGTGCACAACACAATGGCTACCAACGGAGAAAGGCAGAATTCATCCATAGGCCAACATCCACCAGAGCCCCAACAAAGAAGAGGAAAGAACCTCTTGGTAACCAGCTGCTTGGACTTCCAAGAACGTGCTCTCAATACCTAAGACCACTTTTTCTGAAATCCAACCTCCCCTCACCATTTTGCATTCCCCCCATGGATGAGGCTGAAAAATAAGATATGATGCCATGGCGCAAAAATCTCCCCCATTTAAAAACAGGTCCTGAAAAAAAGAAGAATTGTGTTTCAGGAAGGCCAGGGAGGAGGCATAAACATGTTCTGAACATTTAGATTCTAGCACGGCACTGAAACCCCAAGACCAAGAGAAACCAGCAACCCAAGTCTAGTGTCAGGGGCCTCCTGGTCACTTGGCTGGTCTGAGGTGATGGCCAATGCCCGCCTGCAGGGTGACGAAGAAGCCAAGACATTAAAGACGGGTCGGCTTGACTGTCATCTGCTAAACAACGAATACCAGGAAACACTATCTCGGCATCCAACACATCAAAAGGCAGTCCACGTGAGGCTATATCTGTGGCAATACCATGCCAGAAATCTGGGCTAATCTGACTCTGCTATTCATAAATTCCCCCTCATGTTAAAGCACATGTGTTTGGGAAGGAAAAATGAATCCAAGTCAATTTTAGACATTGTTACTTGGAAACCATCTGGAGTCCCTGGAAGCATAAGAAGCCACCGCATCCCCTGCCCTCAAATGCCCACTGTAACTAGGGCAGTATGCTCAGACGGGAGTTCAGATGTCCCCTATTCCCCAGGGATGTCCCCACCCCCATCCTACCAGATGCCAGTTCAGGCTCCACTTCCCACCCAAGAAAGGTATTCGGTTTCTCCGTAAACCTAGTGGAGAGCCCTCGAGGTGTTGAGCTTGCATTTGAACTGCACCCAAGGCTGGATTCTTTGCTTTCTGATTGCTTTAGAACAGCACACCTGAATTCCTTTGCCACAGCAGCAACGGAAATCCCTCCCCAGGAGTAGGGGTTCCAGGAAAAATCCCTTCTACCTAACGCTCCTGTGTTCAAAGAATGTCTAGTCTTGGGAGCGACCCACCAGGATTTTTATGTAACCTTAATAGATGTTGGCACCCTGCAGAGCCGCTCCTGGAGTCCAGATGTAGCCCATTTTCACCGTGATGGCAGCAGGCGGGGTCTTGCAGCTTCCCGGGGCCTGACTCTTCTGACTGTGGGGCCTCTGTCCCCCTCCCCTACCTGGCTGCGATTCTCTGCTTATCTCATCTTCCCGAGGACTTGGGCCTCCTTTTTGCAGCCTCCCTCCCTCCACTGAAATCAGTCCTAACATCAAGCAGGCAGCAACGCCATTCCACCAGCACCTTCCTTCCTCTCCCACCCCTCACCCTTTCCCCCCACCAAACGCCTTAAGAAACCCGGCCAGGAAAGTGATCCAGAATCTCGTACAGTCATAGTCCCTGAAAACAAACACGGCGGGAGGGGCAGGCCGACCAGGCCCAGCACTTTCCCTGGACCCGGGAGCAGCCCTGAACTCGGCGCAGGGGAGGGGAGGGAAGAGATCTCCGGAGACCGACTGCGGTTCGGCTGCCTCCAGCACAATCAGAGCAAACACCTGTTTCCAGGAAGACAGGCGGCCAGAGGGAGAAGGGAGTCCCGGGGAAAGGCAGGGAGGACGAAGCGAAGGGGCAGCCGGGGACGCAGGTAAAGGATGCGTCACACTTTGCGCTTGGCAACCGGAGCCCGGAGCAGAAGGCGGCGAGTGAGAAGAGCTCCGGGGTCTGGGAAGTTAGGGAGGAGGGGTCGCGCCTGCGAGCGGCGCCTGGAGGGAGCTGGTGCAGGGGAAAGGACTGAGGCAAGGAGGACTGGAGGCTGGGCGGGCTCCATCACCTGCGCGCCCCTGCGGATGCAGCCTCGCGGGCGCGCACCGACAGCGGTGCCCGCGGGTGACCTACCTGCCCACCGTCTGGTTGGCCAGCTGGCGCATGCGATTGAACTGCTTCTTCATCGTGGCCCCGCTGCCGCGCTAGCCCGGGAGCTGGGGAAGGACGGAGCAGCCCGGAGCCCGCCGCAGGGTTACATGGCTCCCGCGCGGAGCCTCCCGGGCGACGGCGGCGGCACTGCGGAGCCTCCGGGCGCCGTCTGGCCCGCGCGCAGCTCCCTCCCGAGGGCGCCGCCGCCTACTCCTCCCGCCGCGCCGCCTCCTGCCGCATCCCCCTCACGCGCGCCGCGCAATGCCCGGGGCAGAGCAATGCCTGGGGCCGTCCTCGGCACCGGCCCGCTCCGCCCGGGCTGCCTGCTCCCAGTCCCAGTCCGGCGCGGGGACCCGGGAGTCTCCGCAGGCTGGCTGGCCGGCTGGCCCGGCGGTCCCCGTGCGCCTGTGCGGAGAACGCCGTGCATGCCGGGACTTGTAGTTTCGCGCCCCGTGCCCACCTTTCCTCTGTCCAAAGTTTGCAAGGACAGTGGAGTGCGGAGGTGGGAGAAGGCAGCGTCACCAGCAGCTTTGCACTTTAGCGTTCGAGTAAGGGAAACGTTTTCCTGTTTTAAAAATGGCAAAGTGGGACCAAGAATACAACAGCAAATAAAGAAAGTGAGCATCTGTCTCTCATTGTATTTTTAGTGAATGTGAGGTATCAGTGTTCTGAATTCACAGAAGGGAGATTTATGCTAGCAGATACGTGGCTGATAAAACGGTCTAAGGTCACCTGATTAATGATGAGGTTCAAGGTTAAGCTTGAAACACAGGGGCTGACAGCAGATTTTGAACAGGCATAGCTTGCATCCCAGAAGTCTGATTCTTAATTTTTACCAAACCAAACCCATTAGGTAACCAGAAGCCAATATAGATAAGTGACGTTGTGCTTACTGGCCCAACCTGTCTGAGACAGCTTTTTTGTATGGCTTAGATGCCAATCTCGTATCTAGTCCCATTTCCCTTCCACCACCAGGAGACCAAGGGGCATCAGCTGCAGCACCCCCCAAGTGTCCTGCACCACAGCATCCCATTGGCGTCAGTTGACTCCTTGGAAGGGGTTGTGGCTTCTTTGGTCTCTATCCTTAGAAAAAGATAGGTGAGCCGGGCGCGGTGGCTCACGCTTGTAATCCCAACAGTTTGGGAGGCCAAGGAGGGTGGATCACGAGGTCAGGAGTTCGACACCAGCCTGGCCAACACAGTGAAACCCTGTCTCTGCTAAAAATACAAAAATTAGCTGGGCGTGGTGGCGGGCACCTGTAATCCCAGCTACTTGGGAGGCTGAGGCAGGAGAATAGCTTGAACCTGGGAGGTGGAGGTTGCAGTGAGTGGAGATCGCGCCATTGCACGCCAGCCTGGGTGACAGAGCTAGACTCCATCTCAAAAAACAAAAAAAAAAGAAAAGAAAAAAAAGAAAAAGATTGGTGATTGCAGTTAGGTTTTATCATTATATATCAAGGTTTTATCATTATATATCAAGTAAAAGCAGTATTGTTGGGTGTGAGGCACTTTGGATTAAACAGATAGGAGTTCCTGCATCAGAATTCCACATACCTGTTATATAACCTTAGGAAAACAGCTTAACCTCTCCAAACCTCTGTTTCCTCATCCCTAAATAGAAAAATATGCTGCCTGATCTTCAGTAAGAGAACTATTTGTTAAATTACAATAATCAAATTACATATAAATTTTCATATAGTACATTGCCGTATTCATTTACTACAAAATGATTATATTTAGCATAATAGAGAAAAATCCTGTTCATACAACAGAATTACTAATCTTATAAAGGAAGGATCTTCTTTGAAATAGGATATTTTGCATATGTTGATTATAGTTGCAAGATGTCCTAAATATGGCTCTAAGTATCTTGCTGGCTAGCTGAACAAAAAGTGGTTTGAGGCATGTCTTGGCTGAATGAACATGAAATCTTTAATTAATTGTGAATTTAGCCTCTGCTTATTAGGTCAGACAACTCCAGCCAGTGAATAAATGAAGGCATTATTTGCTTTTAACCAACTATGCTGTACCTATAATGTCAATATGATGTCTATATTAAGTGAAATTATTTCCATTTTGAGATTTTTTAAAAAGCAAAGTACAACATGCTTTTTATGTGTATAAACGGTAAGACATTAAGGTCACTGTATGACTTTTAGCAACACTATCTCTGGTAACTTCCAGAACTGCACTGTTGAATATAGTATCCCCTAGCCACATGTGGTTGTTGCAATTTAAGTTAATTAAAGTTCAAAATTTGGTTCCTCACTTTTGCACTGTTGGTGGGATTGTAAATTACTTCAACCATTGTGGAAAACAGTGTGGCAATTCTTCAAGGATCTAGAACTAGAAATACCATTTGACCCAGCAATCCCATTACTGGGTATATACCCAAAGGATTATAAATCATTCTGCTATAAAGACACATGCACATGTATGTTTATTGTGGCACTGTTCACAATAGCAAAGACTTGGAAACAATCCTAATGCCCATCAATGATAGACTGGATAAAAAAAAATGTGGCACATTTTCACCATGGAATACCATGCAGCCATAAAAAAGGGTGAGTTCATGTCCTTTGCAGGGACATGGATACAGCCATTAAAAAGGATGAGTTCATGTCCTTTGCAGGGACATGGATGAAGCTGTAAACCATCATTCTCAGCAAACTAACACAGGAACAGAAAACCAAACACCGCATGTTCTCACTCATAAGTGGGGGTTGAACAAAGAGAAAACATGGACACAGGGAGGGGAACATCACACACCGGGGCCTGTCGCGGGTAGGGGCAAGGGGAGGGATAGCATTAGGAGAAATACCTAATATAGATGATGGGTTAATGGGTGCAGCAAACCACCATGGCACGTGTATACCTATGTAACAAACCTGCACGTTCTGCACACATATCCCAGAACTTAAAGTTTAATAAAAAATAAAATAAAATAAAAACAGAATTTAGTTCCTCGGTCACCCAAGTCACATTCGAAGTACTTAAGAGCCACATGTGGCTAAAGGCTACTGTACTGGACAGCACAGATAAAGAACATTACTATCCTCTCAGAAAGTTCTACTTGTTAGCACTAATCCTCAAGAACTCTGGTAGCCAACTCCAATATCATGCCAGCCCCTGCCTTCAATCCCAAGATTTTTCCGTTCCAAAGGGAAATCCCTTTGGCAGCCTCCCCTGCCAGAGTGTGGTCCAATAATGTTTTATTAACTGGTGGCTTCTCCACAGATTTTCTGTCTTCCTTTGAATGCTTCCTTCACTCAGGAAGCAGCTAGTACATTTTCTGCTTTCTACCCCGGGGAAGGGATAATAGTGCAGAAACAAGAGCTTCAGAAACACATGTGACAGAATAGAGTTCTTCAAGAAAAGAGTTTTGAGTTTCCAGAATACAGGCTTTGGAGCTTTAATAGTCTATGTCAGAAATAGTAGATTATAAAGCATATATCATCCTGCTTAGTCTAAATAAAGAACCTACAGGCTGTGAGATGTTGAAGATGGTGATGGGGACTGGAAAGCGGGAGAGAAAGAGAGAAGAAAAGTAGATGATGCTTGTGCAGATACTATTAATGCCCAAAAAATTTCACTGCCAATCCCTATGGGAAGGACTCTATTTTACCTTACTGTTGAGGTAAAGATCGGTCATGTGATTTTCTTTGAACAATGAATATGCACAGAGGTGACTTTTACGCTTCTTCTGAGGGCAGAAGTTTCAGGAGTCATTTTGTGATCCTGCCCTCTTCTTCTTAACGCTGCCAATGAACCAGTTAGGGGATGCTGTGGAACAGTGATGTGGCCCCCCAGCAAAAGGTATCTTTGCTGTTTTAAATCAGAGGTTTGTTGCTGTAACATAATTGAGTCTAAGCTGACTGCTACAGTGGGTTTCTCTGAGAAAGTAGCATGCACCTTGCTTTTACCCATGGTCAACAATTAGGTTGGGGGCAGGCAGACTGAAGACAGATATATCATATCGTTTTGGGGCATCTGAGCACAGTGGAGAAGCTGTACACCACTCCTGGAGTGAAGGCTAGGCATGGCCAAGCTTGTGGAGATCCTCTGCCTTCTAAGACAGAGGACCAGTAAGACATCTATATGAAGTGCCTCAGGTACCCATACCACAGGCTAGTGGCAGCCCCAGAGCTCCCTGCACCCAAGCCATGTGCGATGATTTGGTGTCTGCATGTGTGCTGTGAGGATACACAAATGTACCTGAAACAGCTGGATGTGAAAGCTATTGAGATCAAAGATGATGATCAGGAGGAGGAGGCAGCATTGGCCAAGATGGAGATGGAATTGCCTAAAACTTAATTTTTGCCACCTAGAAGAATAGACTTAATATAAAATTTAAATGTATTTGCAAAAGAAGAGGAGGAGGTGAGGAAGGACGGTGGGAAGGGGAAAGAAGAGGAGAAAAGAAGAAAGAAATTTCTATGTCTTATATACCTAGCTTTGACCTATGGGAAGATTACACTTCCCTGCTCCTGTTGACCTTGACTTTGACCTTGTCACTTGCTTTGGTCAACAATATATGGGCTTCTTACTTGCTTCAGCAACATTGTAGTACTATTTGTCTGAGATATGTTCCCTTAGAAATCTGATACTCCATTTAGAATCCCCTGAATTAGAATGGTTTTAACCTCTACTCTGAGAGCAAGCATTCACTAGAGCCACCTGGCCAACATGGGAATCATTAGCTACATGTGGTTACTTAAATATTATTTTAAATTAGGTTAAATAAAACAAAAATTTCAGTTTTTCATTTCAAGTGCCCAATAACTACATGTGGCTAGTGGCTGCCGTAGTAGAGAATGTAAAATAACATTTTCATCATCATAGAAAGCTCCATTGGACAGGGCTGGTCTACAGAACAGAATTCAGAATAACCTCATGTGTCACTTAATGACAGGGATATGTTCTGAGAAATACATTATTAGGTGATTTTGTTGTTGCAAAAACATCATAGAAAGTACTTACACAGCCAGGCGTGGTGGCTCACGCCTGTAATTCCAGCACTTTGGGAGGCCAAGGCAGGTGGATCACCTGAGGCCAGGAGTTCGAAACCAGCCTGGCCAATGTGGTGAAAACCCGTCTCTACTAGAAATACAAAATTTAGCTAGGTGTGGTGGTGGGCATCTGTAATCCCAGCTACTCGGGAGGCTGAGGTAGGAGAATCACTTGAACCCAGGAGGCGGAGTTTGCAGTGAGCCGAGATCGTGCCACTGCACTCCAGCCTAGGTGACAGAGCGAGACTCCGTTTCAAAAAAAAAAAGAAAGTACTTACACAGACCTAGATTGTATAGCCTACTGCATGCCTAGGTTATAGGGTATAGCCTACTGCTCCTAGGCTACAAACCTGTATAGCATGTCACTGTACTGAATAGTGTAGGCAATTGTAACACAATGGTAAGGGTTTGTGTTATCTGAACACATCTAAACATAGAAAAAGTACAGTAAAAATACAGTGTTATAACCTTATGGGACCACTGTTGTATATGCGGTTCTTTGTTGACTGAAACATCCTATACATCATATGACTGTGTAGGGTCCACAGAAGAGAGAAAGCAGAACAGGAAGCTCGAGCTCATTATAATTATGGCCAATCATCTTGCTGGACTTCTCCAGGACACTCTTTTCTTATCTACTATATGGGGGTTTATAGTAAAAAATCTCTAAGTAATATGTTTTGGGGAATTAACTGGCCAGTCTATTTGCTCAATAAATTGCTGTTGGAGAAGATACACCTATGCCTTACAGTATTTGATATGTCAAAACAACATTCAGTGCTACAATACAACTGAAGGATATTACAGATTCCAATCACCTTTATACTTGCAGGTATCAAACTTGACTTGCACCATTAAAGTATATCTGTTAGTCCAAAATATTTTTTAAATAGGATGATAGATGTTCCCATCTTTGGGCATGGTATTAATAGATGCCATTAACTCCAATTTTCAGCCTTCCCTTAATATACCTTTGCATCGTCTCATCATAGGCAGAGTGTATTTTCCCACTTAATAACTTAGGACTTGACCAAGAGACTTCTTTGGCTAACGGCCTGTGGGTGGAAGTGATGTATGCCACTTCCAAGCTGTGCATTAAGAGGCTTTGTACATTTTCCTCTGGTCTTCTGGCACATTTACCACTGCCATAAGAAAAAACTTTCCCCCGATAGTTGCTTGTCTTCTCTCCTGGGTTCCAGAGGAACACTTGTACAGCAGACCCAATGCAGACCTTAGAATAAATTAAGGGTGTAATTGATCCATTAATTTCAGGACTGGGTGTTTCAAAGAGATAGATAAAATGAATAGATAGAAAGGCAAAAAGAAGAAAAACACACAACTTTAGAAACAAGAAAAAGGATTTAATCACAGAAGCAAAAAAAAGTGTAAGAATACTTTTGCAACCTTATGTTTACTTATTTTAAAGGAAGCTCTTAATTTGCTTGGAGAATATGAACTGCTACAAGTGTTTCTCTTCTTTTTCTTTTTTTTTTTTTTGTTTTTTGTTTTGTTTGTTTTTTGAGATGGAGTCTTGCTCTGTCTCCCAGGCTGGAGTGCAGTGGCGCAATCTCGGCTCACTGCAACCTCCACCTCCTGGGTTCAAGCTATTCTCGTGCCTCAGCCTCCCTGAGTAGCTGGAATTACAGGCGCCTACCACCACGCTCAGGTAACTTTTGTATTTTTAGTAAAGATGGAGTTTCACCATGTTGGCCAGGCTCTTTTCAAACTCCTGACCTCAGGTGATCCGCCCACCTCTGCCTCCCAAAGTGCTGAGATTACAGGCATGAGCCACCGTGCCCAGCCTGCTACAGGTTTTTCAAAAATAGGTAGGAAGCATGAGGGGACCAGGATCAGGGAAAAACTTGGAAAACTTTTCAAGGAACGACACTCCCCAAAGTAGCCAGGTCCATATGGTTTTATGGGGAGCACTTTCAAAGCTTCAAAGAACAGATAATTCTTCTGCTATTTAAAGTGTTTCAGAGCACAGAAACAAAATGAAAGCATCCAAATTCACTTTATGAAATTGCCTTAACTCTGTTATCAAACCTGATGAAGATGGCACAGACACCAAAACAACAAACCAATATCGACTACAAGAATAGATACAGGCCAGCCGTGGTGGCTCACACCTGTAATCCCAGCACTTTGGGATGCCAAGGCGGGTGGATCACCTGAGGTCAGGAGTTCGAGACCAGCCTGCCCAACATGGAGAAACCCCATCTCTACTAATAAAGTACACAATTAGCCGGGTGTGGTGGCACATGCCTGTATTTCCAGCTACTTGGGAGGCTGAGGCAGGAGAATTGCTGGAACCCGGGAGGCAGAAGTTGCAGTGAGCCGAGATTGCACCACTGCACTCCAGCCTAGCAACAAAGCGAGACTCTGTCTCGGGAAAAAAAAAAAAAGAATAGATATAAAAATTATTAATAAAATGTTAGTAAATAAAGTCCAACAGTATATGTGTTTATATATAAACATGTTACACATTTTAATGTTATTGAGGAAAAAAATTGGAAAACTCAGATCCATTTAAAAAGTGAAAAATGCCCATATTCTTACTAATCAAGATAACACTGGGAATTTATAAACATGTTTCAAAAACAGGATCAGACTGTTGTTAGGACAATATCTTCTTTCTTATCTTCTGTTATTCTAAATATCTCTGTGATCAACATGTTAATGGTTAAAACTTATTGCATATATTTACTTAAGATCAAAATCAAATAATTAAAATTTCTGCATTGAAATGTGGCATGTTTTAAAGCTTTTTATATGTATTGCCAAATTATCCTGTAGATAAATAATGGAAATTTTTGCAGTCCCAACTACAGCGTGTAAATATGCCATTTTCTCCATACCCTAACCTATGCTGAGTATTACCACTCTTAATAATCCTGCCAGATGAATAGATGAGAAATAGCATTATTATGCTGTTTCAATTTGCATTTCTTTTTACCACATTAAACATTTTCCCGCATGTTTCATGGCCATTAGTATTTCTTCTTTGGTTAATTAATTCTTCATGTCCTTAGCCCATTTTTCTGTTATAGGTCTACATTTTCTTATCAATTTTTAAAAGGTTTTTCGTCAGCCGGGTGCAATGGCTCACGCCTGTAATCCCAGCACTTTGGGAGGCTGAGGCAGGCAGATCATGAGGTCAGGAGACTGAGACCATCCTGGCTAACACGGTGAAACCCCGTCTCTACTAAAAATACAAAAAAATTAGCCAGGCGTGGTGGCGGGCGCCTGTAGTCCCAGCTACTCAGGAGGCTGAGTCAGGAGAATGGCGTGAACCCAGGAGGCAGAGATTGCAGTGAGCCAAGATTGCGCCACTGAACTCCAACCTGGGCAACAGAGCGAGACTCCATCTCAAAAAAAAAAAAAAGAAATAAAAGCTTTTTAGTCATATTAATTATACTAATGCTATTGTATCTTGTGGCAAATGTTTTCTCTAGTTTGGCCTTTCCTTTTCAACATCTGTAATGCTGATTTTTATCTTCCAGGAATTCTACTTTTTTTTTTTTTCTGAGATGGAGTTTCACCCTTGTTGCCCAGGTTGGAGTGCAATAGTACAATTTCGGCTCACTGCAACCTCCATCTCCCGGGCTCAAGCGATTCTCCTGCCTCAGCCTCCCAAGTAGTTGGGATTACAGGCATGAGCCACGACACCTGGCTAATTTTGTATTTTTAGTAGAGACAAGGTTTCAGCATGTTGGTCAGGCTGCTCTCGAACTCCTGACCTCAGGTGATCCACCCACCTCGGCCTCCCAAAGTGCTGGGATTACAGGCATGAGCCACCATGCCCAGCCAAAATTCTACATTTTTAATGTGGTCAGATCCATCAATCTTTTCCTTTATGTTTTATGCCTTTGGTTTAATGCTTAGAAAGTCTCCCTTATCCCCAAAGGATAGAAATATTTACTATATTTTTACCTAAAACATTTATGTGTTAACTTTCTTTATTCTTAGTAAACTTTACATTCAACTTCTGGTAACAAAATGTTAACAAAAGCCAGTAGTTTTGACCCATTTCTCCCTCCAATATCCATTCGAAATAACTCAGCAAACATAATAGAGCAATTCTGTGTCACTCATGGAAATTTGAGAAAGGTCCCATTCACAATCTTGTCAAAAAATGGTACAGGTGATTTCTGAGTGAGGGAGTCGTGGCCAGGTAGATTTACTACGTGTAGTAACTTTTGGGGCAAATTAAAGTAAGATCTGCATCATTTCTGACCTGACGCCTTTCTGTCCAACTCAGCTACCAAGTCTAAACTAACCAGACCTCTCTATGTGAGACTGACAAGCAGAAAAAAGACAGCATTTCAATGTAATAGTGATGAGAAGGAAGAAGGTAATAATAATAAACTATATAGCCAAGTACTACTGTAAGTGCTATGAGATACATTATCTTATTTAATCCTTAGAAGAACTCTTCGATGAGGGTTTGACTATACCTATCAAATAAACCAAGCTCAGAGGGTTTAGGTGAACTGCCATTCAAGTGTCAGAACTAGGATTCAAACCTGGGTTTTTCTAGTTCAAATGCCTGTGCCTTTATTATAGGCTATTACCTCCATAAAACAGGGAGACTAATCTGAGAATCCAGAGAAAATAGCTTCTAGTGAAAGTTATGCAAGAAGTAAGGGAAATATATTTTTTCACTCTAATTTGTATTCTTAGTGAGAACTGAGAGAACGCTGCTTTAATATAACAAGAGCTGGTTGCCATGAAGAAGAGCCACATTAAACAAAAAAGAGTTCTTGGATAAGAAACACATGACTTCCAAACTAATGAAACTCCATAGAGGCAGGAAATAGCAGATCTGGCACTGCCCAAAATGGAATTACTGCATTAGAAGATGGGCTGGAAGAATGATCCCAAAATTCAGAGGGAAAAAGTATGTAATGCAATGAAATGGTGAGGAAAGGAAAAATAGACACGGTATCTTTTTTCAAAACATTCAAACAAATATGTAATAGAATTTGCAGAGCAGATGATGAAGAAGAAATAAGCATAAAAAATACTAAAAAAGGCCGGGCGGTGGCTCATGCCTGTAATTCCAGCACTTTGGGAGGCCAAGGTGGGCAGATCACCTGAGGTTAGGAGTTCGAGACCAGCCTGACCAACTTGGAGAAACCCCCGTCTCTACTAAAAATACAAAATTAGCCAGGTGTGGTGGCACATGCCTGTAATCCCAGCCACTTGGGAGGCAGAGGTTGTGGTGAGCCGAGATCGCGCTTTTGCACTACAGCCTGGGCAATAAGAGCGAAACTCCATCTCAAAGAAACAAACAAACAAACAAATAAACAAAAAAACATTTTGCAGAGCTGAAGAAAGGCCCAAGTCAAAATTAAAATAATTCACTAAGTGCTAGAAAATATTACTGCACAGGAAAAACAAAATCCCTAGACATATCTTGATTAAATTTCTGAATTTCGAAGACAGACACACACACACACACACCAGAAAAAAAGAAGTTTTTCTCCAAAAAGAGAAGCTGGTTTGCCTCATGCTTCACATCTGCAATGCTCAATGCCAATAAAATTTGGAACAAGATTACAGGGCACCCATGAAAATAGGTCATAACTCAAATGCAACTCAAAAGTCTACATCTGGCCTAACATTCACAAACGAGGGCAAAAGGAAGTCACTTTGAGACATGTAATGACTGAAAAGGTTTATCAACTACCCATTTTTTTCTGGAAAAAAAACCTCAAAAATTATTGTTTTTCAAAAGAAATAAAAATCAAAATAAAAAACAGGAGAAAAATTTCTTCATGATCTTGTGGTAGACAATGATTTCTTAAACATGACAACAAATATTCTAATCTTAAAGGAAATATTGGCAAATTGGACTACTTAACAATTAAGAACTTTGGTTCTTAATGGTTCATCTGATGACACCATTAAGAGAATGAAAAAGGCCAAGCCCCATGGTACACGCCTGTTATCCCAGCACTTTGAAAGGCTGAGGCGGGAGGATCACTTGAGCTCCAGAGTTCGAGACTAGCCTGGGCAACTCCGAAACTCCATTTCTACAAAAAAAAAAAAAAAAAAAAAATCAATAATTAGCCAGACCTGGTGGCAGTGCCTGTAGTCTCAGCTACTCTGAAGGCTGAGATGGGAGGATCACTTGAGCCTGGGATGGTGGAGGCTGAATTGAGCCAAGATTGCGCCACTGAACTTCAGCCTTGGCAACAGAGTGAGGCCCTGTCTCAAAAAATAAAAAACAGAATGAAAAAGAAATCATCACAGTGAGACGAATTATTTGCAATACATTCAACCTTCATAAAACAGGGAGAGAGAGAACTCAACTCCAAAGTATATAAATAATCCGGATGGGTATGGTGGCTCATGCCTGTAATCTCGGCACTTTGGGAAGCCGAGGCGGGCAGATCACTTGAGCCCAGGAGTTCAAGACCAGCCCAGGCAACATCTCTACTGAAAAAAAAACAAAAATTAGCCAAGCCTGGTGGCGCTTGCCTGTAGTCCCAGCTACCCGGGAGGCTGAGGTAGGAGAATCACCTGAGCCCAGGGAGTCAAAGCTGCAGTAAGCCGAGATCAGGCCACTGCACTCCAACCTGGGCAACAGAGCAACAGTATGAGACCCTGTCTCAAAGAAAAATAGATGATAGATGATAGATGATAGATAGATGATAGATAGATGATAGATAGATAGATAGATAGATAGATAGATAGATAGATAGATAGATGTGTGTGTGTATATATACGTGTATACATGTGTGCGTGTATTTGTGTGTGTGTGTATGCGTGTGCATGTGTGTGTGTGTGTATATACACATATAGACTCCGGGGCTGGGAGCGGTGGCTCATGCCTGTAATCCCAGCCCTTTGGGAGGCTGAGGCGGGTGGATCGCCTGAGGTCAGGAGTTCAAGACCAGCCTGGCCAACGTGGTAAAACCCCCGTCTCTACTAAAAATAAAAAAAAATTTAGCTGGGCATGGTGCTGGGCGCCTGTAATCCCATCTACTCTGGGGGTTGAGGCAGGAGAATCGCTTGAACCCTGGAGATGGAGGTTGCAGTGAGCCAAGATTGCACCACTGCACTCCAGCCCGGGTGACAGAGCAAGACCCCATCTCAAAAAGAAAGAAAGAAAGAAAAGAATCCTACAAATCAATGGGAAAAAGGAAGAAACCTTCAGGAGAAACTGACAAGAGATCAAGAGATTTGAATAGTCACTTTACTACAGAGACTACCCAAATGGCCCAAGAGCACGAAAAGATGCTCAACCTTGTTAATCATCCAATATATGCCATTGATATGACAATGAAATACCACCACACACCCGTGGAAGAGCTAAAATGAAAAGAGACTGGCTAAACCAGTGTTGGTGAGGATGCAGAGCCAGTGGGACTGTCATATAATGCATTTTGGTGGGAGGGAAACCAGTACAGTACTTTAGAGAGCTGTGTTTGCAGTATGCACTAAGGCTAAGCAGTATGTACACTTCATGACCCAGCAATTTCACTTGTTCAACAGAAATGTGGACGTATTTACCACAAAAGGCACGCACTAGAATGTTTGTATTGGCAACATTTGTAATAGTCAAAAATTGGAACCACTTGAAGTCCCCATTGACAACACAGTGGATAAATAAAAAGGTGGTGTATTCATACAATACAATGAATTGTATGAATTCATAATCATACAAAGGTGGTGTATACATGGAAAGAAAAAGGAAGGTATTCATGCTTCACCTAACAGTGGATGAAAATATGGATGAATCTCACAATGGAAGCTGAGCAAAAACACCAGATCCAGAACAGTATATACTGTATGATTTCACTTACATCAAGTTTAAAAACAAGCAAAGTGAATCAATGGTAATAGAAGTCAGTATGGAATTTATCTTGGGGGAGCTGGGAAACAGTGCTGTAGTACTGGGGAGGTGGCACACGGAGGACTTCTACAGTTCTGCTAACAGAAATGTCCAATTTCTTGATTTAAGTGGTGGTTATATTGAGAATACTCATTTTATAAAAATTTATCAAGCTCTACACTTATGATAGGGCACTTCTCTGTATCATATTTTAAAAATTAATGTTTATATATAAATTAACAGAAGCTTAAACACTTGGAAATTATAAGGCAGACTTCTAAGTTATCTCTTAGATCAAAAAGGAAATCAAGAATGTAATTACAGAATATATAGAAACATACTACTATGTAAATATTGCATAAACACCCATAGTTTCACCTCAAAACTGCACTCAAAAGAAATTCATAGATAAATATTTTTAATGTTATCAGAAAGAAAGAAACAAATTATGCTTTTATCTCAAAAAGCCCAAAATGAGGAAAAATAGAAAATCAATAACAGCTGGTGGTGGTGGTTCATGCCTGTAATCCCAGTACTTTGGGAGGCCGAGGCAGGTGGATCACTTGAAGTCAGGAGTTTGAGACCAGCCTGACCAACATGGAGAAACCCCGTCTTTACTAAAAATACAAAAATTAGCTGGGCATGGTGGCGCATGACCGTAATCCCAGCTACTCGGGAGGCTGAGGCTGGAGAATTGCTTGAACCCGGGAGGTGGAGGTTGCAGTGAGCCCAGATAGCCCTATTGCACTCTAGCCTGGGCAACAAGAGCCAAACTCCATCTCAAAAAAAAAAGAAGAAAAGAAAATCAATATTAAGCAACATGGATGAATACATTCATAAAGGTAGTAGAAGAATAAGGATAAAAACAAAAATTGATTAATAAATATAAAAATTACTGTTATGATAAAACAATAAAAGAAATATATGACGAGTCCAAGAGAGAAAACATAGATATGCAACATTAGGAATGAGAAAAGGGTAGTAGCTTCGGATTCCAATTCACAAACTCAGGTGTATTTTCCATGACCAGACTTTGCATTTTCAGACTCACTCTATGGAGTAGCAGAAACAATTTTAGGCATTGAAGTTATCTCCTTTTTCCTGTGTTGGCACTCGTTTTTCTCAGGGGAAGAGGGTGTGCCATATGTAGTACCATGACTGGAGGGTGGAGGAGAGGTTGTTGAGCTTCAGCCCTGGGTTATTATTCTTATTTGCCATCATCTGCTCAGAAGCCTGTATGCATCCAATTTCTGGATGTCAGTTTAGGTCACTGTTGAATATACCCTCATTACAGACCACAAGGTTTTTTCATGAGCCTATCTCTCTTCCACCTAACTCCAATGCCTACTTCTTATAACTGCTAGGAGAAAATTCTACAGCTTCCATGCCACTCTAGATGATAAGCAACTCATTTGCACCTCTCCAAGATGCTTGGGTTCCCAGAAAACCCCCTATTGCAGTGGAGCAAACCTCCAAGCTAGGTCAGGTCTGTCTCTCTGCCTGCCTGCCTGGACCTAGCAGAGCCCTTTCCATTGTAACAGTCCATGCATTGCTTGCATGTTAACCTTAGATATATTTCTTCTCTTTGGGGTTTTGACGGTAGAGGTAGGGTGGGTGCCAGGTGCAAAAATTAAAAATACCTAGGAAGTAGAGGAGCAAGGGGAGTTATCTGTTGGTTGATCATCAGAATCTCAGGTGACAACACGCAGATGTAGAGGCCAGAAGAATAATTTTAAGAGAATGTTATGTATTCTGTTTAATCTTGATTGAGTATTCACAGTTGGGAAGGCACTGTGGTAAAGGCAGGGCTACAGAAGTAAAGATAGACAAGAATTACTCTTGAATCTTCCCTTTCTCTCCTCTCTTCTCATCCCACCTTTTCTATTCCATCAATTTCTAAGTCCTTTTATTTCTACTAATACTTATGAATATTTGCTGGATCTGCCCAGCTTCCTCCCCTCCCCCCCACCCTTTTTTTTTTGAGACAGAATTTCGCTGTTGTTGCCCAGGCTGGAGTACAATAGCGCAATCTCGGCTCACTGCAACCTCCGCCTCCTGGGTTCAAGCGATTCTCCTGCCTCAGCCTCCCCAGTAGCTGGGATTACAGGTATACAGCACCACGCCTGGCTAATTTTGTATTTTTAGTCGAGATGGGGTTTCTACATGTTGGTCAGGCTGGTCTTGAACTCCCAACCTCAGGTGATCCACCCGCCTCAGCCTCCCAAAGTGTTGTGATTACAGGCATGAGCCACCATGCCCAGCCAGCTTCCTCCACTTTTGTGGCCATCACTCTGGCCTTCTGTCTGGATATTCCAGCAGTTCTTCCCGGTCTTCCCCTCCCTCCACCCTAGCTGTGCGACTGTCCTCTGTTCCAACTGTTCTGAAATTCACCCAGCTTTTTGCAATGCAACTTATTTATTTTGCCTGTAAGTCCTCACACATGTGAATTCCTCTAGTGGGAGTACTTTTGACTCCTTCGTGGCTTTTTATGTTTTCTGTACTTTCATCTTTTATTTTAGGTTCAAGGAATATATGTGCAGGTTTGCTACATAAGTATATTGTGTAATGCTGAGGTTTTGGGTACGATTGATCCCATCACCCAGGTACTGAGCATAATACCCAATAGGCAGTTTTTCAAGCCTTGAAAAGCTCCCTCCCTCACCCTTTTCATAGTCCCCATTGTCTACTGTTGTCATATTTATAGCTGTGAGTACCCAATGTTTAGCTCCCACTTATAAGTGAGAACGTGCAGTATCTGGTTTTCTGTTTCTGCCTTAATTCACTTAGGATAATGGCCTCCAGCTGCATCCATGTTGCTGCAAAGGACATGATTTCATTCTTTTTTATGGCTGTGTAGTATTCCATGGTACATATGTACCACACTTGCTTTATCCAATCCATTGTTGATGGGCACCAAGGCTGATTTCATGTCTTTGCTACTGTTCATGCTGCGATGAACATACAAGTTCATGTCATTCTGATAGAACAATTTTTTTTGCTTTGGATATATACCCAGTAATGGGATTGCTGGATCGAGTGGTAGTTCTATCTTAAGTCCTTTGAGAAATATCCAAACTGTTTCCCACAGTGGCTGAACTAATGTACATTCCCACCAACACTGTATGTGTTCCCTTTTCTCTGCAGCCTCACCAGCATCTGTTGTTTTTATACCTTTTTTTTTTTTTTTTTTTGAGATGGAGTCTCTCTCTGTTGCCAGGCTGGAGTACAGTGTCACGATCTCGGCTCACTGCAACCTCCGCCTCCCAGGTGCAAGCGATTCTCCTGCCTCAGCCTCCCGAGTGGCTGGGATTACAGGTGTGCACCACTGCACCCGGCTAATTTTTTGTATTTTTAGTAGAGACAGGGTTTCACTTTGGGAGGCTGAGGAGAATCACCTGAGGTCAGGCAATTGTTACCTGCAATCTTCTTGTTATTAAATAAAATGAACACTTTTCAGTCCTTATCATTCCTACTAAACTGTGAACATGGGTACCCATTTACATTATGATCACAATGATGGCAATATAATTACATGATTAGTAGTTTTGCATCAATACTTAGTCCACTTCTAATTTTTGATTGTACCACTTTCTGACTCCTATCTTCACTTTTAGCATAATACTTTGCATATTCCGTAGTTCACTATTTTACTTCCTCTATAGTCATATCCTGAGCCCCTGTTTCTGTTTTCTTGCTTTCATACCCATTTCTAAAGCACCCTCAACTTGGCTCAACCTGCCTCTCTGCCTTCTCTGCTTCCACTTTTGGGTGGTTGATGCTGTTGATGAAAAGTCCTACCATTGTGCAGAAGGCATGATCTCCAGTCAAGTTTTCCAACTCTTCCCAGGTATCCTTCTATGTCTCCCAATCAGTTCTCTCTCCCATTCTCCACAGCTCTTAATTCAGACATTATCCATTTTTATTAAAACTCCCACTTCATTCATCTTCTGCCCCATAGGTGAGTATTATCTCTCCATCTTGTTTCAAGTATCAGATGGAAGCCATCCCCTGAAAATTTCCTCATTGTCCTCCCACCACACCTGTATGACCTGCACACAGACCTGCATCTCCACCCACCCTCCTCTTTCTCTCCTGCCTCAACGTCCCAAAGGCAACCTAACCTGGATCTCATTATCTGCCCCCTTTTCTCTATCTTATACTACCTAATTCTCATTAGCTTTGAAATCAGCTCATATCTCTCTCCTCTTGAAAATCAGTCCTTTAAATGTCTGACTGTCTGCTATGGTCTTGTGTGTCTTCTTCTTACATTGCCACACTTCTTGAGAGAAACACCTGGATTCACTGTCTCCACTTACTGATCTCCTTTTAATTCCTCAGTTTGTACCCACCTGGCCTCGCCACTACATCCAAATTGCTCTCACCTTGATTATAAACCACCTTCTTATTATTAAATCAAATGAACACTTTTCATTCCTTATCTTAGTGGAACACAGTAGCATTAGAAGGAATTAAAGACCCCCCTCTTTTCTGGAATTTTCTCCAGCCTTAGTGCTGGGAATACCAGCCCCTCCTGGTTTTCTAGCCACTCCCTCTCATTCTCCTTTGCCGATACCTTAAATGTTGGCATTCCTCAGGATCCTCTTTTATTCTCACTCCACATACTGTATAGGTCATAGCTATTCTCATGATTTCAGTTAACATCTGAATGCTGACCCCTTTCATATCTATATCTCCATTGAAGGCACTCTGAGCTCCAGACCTCTCTAGTGAAGACTTTTGGCTTGAGTGTCCCTCAGACACCAACTGATCAAAAATCAAATTCATTATTTTTCCTATCAAGTAACTCTTCCTCATCCTGGTCTTTACTTCTGTGAATGGCACTAACATACACTCAAAATTGAGCTCTTCCTCCTCCAAATCCAGAACCTCTCTCTCCTTTACCATCCACATCCAATGATCAAGTCCCGTATTTTCCATTCTATTAACATGTTTCAAACCTACCTTTGTCTCTCCATTTCCACCACCATCTGCCCTTTGGCTGGGTTATTGCCATGAGCTAAGTTGCTACCTTTACTTTTGCCTGCCTCCCAAACCCCATCATTCTTTTTTTGAGACTGAGTCTTGCTCTGTCACCCAGGCTGGAGTGCAGTGGCGTGATCTTGGCTCACTGCAACCTCTGCTTCCCAGGTTCAAGAGATTCTCCTACCTCAGCCTCCCATGTAGCTGGGACTACAGGCATGTGCCACCAAGCCCGGCTAATTTTTGCATTTTTAGTAGAGATGAGAGTTCACCATGTTGGCCAGGCTGGTCTCGAACTCATGACCTCAGGTGATCCCCCCGCCTCGACCTCCCAAAGTGCTGGGATTACAGGCATGAGCCACCCCACTTGGCCACCCCATCATTCTTTATGTCCTAAATTCGATATGTCGGGTTACTCATCATTTCTCATGTCTGTAGAATAAGGAGGGTACAGCAATTTATCAGATGAATTCACACAAATGTACTATGCTGCCCTTCCCGTGTCCTTGACACTCCAATCCACCCTGTAGCTGGAATCATCTTTCTAAGGTGAAAGGGTTATGACAGCACTGTCTTGCTTAAAACTCTCCAGTGATGCCCCGCTGTCTTCAAAACAAGTCTAGACTCCTCAATGTGTCTTATGAGTCCCTTCATGGTCTGGCCCCCATCTTGCCCCCTATTATGGGTTGAATTGTGTTCCCTCAAAATTCCTACATTGAAGTCCTAACCCTCAGCACCTCAGAATGTGAGCTTACTTGGAGCTGGGCCTTTACGGAGGTAATCAAGTTAAAATGAGGTCATTAGGCTGGGCACGGTGGCTCACGCCTGTAATCCCAGTACTCTGGGAGGCCGAGGCGGGTGGATCACCTGAGGTCATGAGTTCAAGACCAGCCTGACCAATATGGAGAAACCCCATCTCTACTAAAAATACAAAATTAGCTGGATATGGTGGCAGGCACCTGTAATCCCAGCTACTTGGGAGGCTGAGGCAGGAGAATTTCTTGAACCTGGGAGGCAGAGGTTGCAGTGAGCTGAGATTGTGCCATTGCACTCCAGCCTAGACAACAAGAGTGAAACTCTGTCTCAAATAAATAAATAAATAAATAAATAAATAAATAAATAAAATGAAGTCATTAGGATGGACTCTAATCCTAGACAGCTGGAATCCTTATAAAAATGAGAAATTTGGACACAGAGATAGACACATACAGAGAGAAAATGATGCGGAGATACAGGGAGAATGCCATGTGGACATGAACATGGCCATCCGTAAGCCAAGGAGAGAGAACGGGAGCAGCTCCTTCCCTCACAGTCTCAGAGGGAACCAACCTCACTGACAGCTTGATTCCCAGCATCTGGCCTCCAGAACTGTGAGGCCACCCTGTTTGTAGTTCTTTTTTTTTTTTTTTTTGAAACGGAGTTTCGCTGTTTCACCTAGGCTGGAGTGCAGTGGCACGATCTTGGCTCACTGCAACCTCTGCCTCCTGGGTTCAAGCAATTCTCCTGCCTCAGCCTCCCGAGCACACCATCACGCCGGGCTAAATTTTGTGTTTTTGGTAGAGACAGGGTTTCACCATGTTGGCCAGGCTGGTCTCGAACTCCTGACCTCACGATCCGCCTGCCTCGGCCTCCCAAAGTGCTGGGATTACAGGCGGGAGCCGCCACGCCCGGCCACTGTGGTACTTTCTTCAAACAGCCCTGGCCCTCTTTTCTTTCCTACACTTCTGCCAGCGGCACCCCTGCCTCCTTGTTCTACCATCTACATCCCCTGAATACTGTCAATTCTCTTAAATCTTCAGGCCTTTGCACAGGCTATTTCCTCAGTCTGGAATGCTCCTTTCCTTAGCAGTTTGCCTGCCTAACTCCTGTGTCATTTAATGTCTTGGCATAGTGCCTTCCTCCTCTGGAGAGTTCTTCCTGGCCATCCATCCTTCCTCCACCTCCACCCACCAAGACTTTATTAAATGCCCTTCTGGTAGCACATAGCATGCGATTATCAGACTACGCATTATTCCCTATTTTCTTGTCTCCTCGCTAGATGGCAACTTCCTGAAAGTAGGAATTATGTCATAGAAATCTACTATTTCTGCTTTTTCAGCACCCTTTGGTACTAGCACCCCAACTTTCCCTTAGAAAAACTCACCTTCCCTACTGCCAGTCCATGAGATTCAAATGATCCCACTCCATAGCTCAGGGCCGAGCAGGGTATCCAGCTCCTGTGCATGTATTTATATCCGCTTCTCATGGCCATAGATACGGATTCAGGGATGACCATGACCTGCTGGGACCACTGAGAGCAAGCTCTGAGATTTCTGCTAGGATTCTCAGGACTGAGAAACTCTCTTGTTGCTGGAATTGCTACATGTGGGGCTGCTGGCAACCCATGGCCTTGTTGATTCTACATAGGAGAGCCCACCAGAAAGTAAGGCTGACGCAGGGGCAGAGAGAGCTGTGGTAGGGAGAAAGATCAGTTCTTAGCTAAACCAGGGCTTGGGACATTTGTCCATTCCAGGGCTCTTTTCACAGTCTGATATTTCCCCTATGTGGTTA
Source organism: Homo sapiens (assembly GCF_000001405.40). Classification (NCBI taxonomy): domain Eukaryota; kingdom Metazoa; phylum Chordata; class Mammalia; order Primates; family Hominidae; genus Homo; species Homo sapiens. The sequence continues at coordinate 12,769,492 of NC_000017.11, read as the reverse complement.
ATAGGTTCACCAATGACAAAATAATAGGCAGGAATAAATTTAAGAGGAAAAAGTAGATTAAAAACTAGGTCTTATTCAGGAAGTCTATACATATAGGCCTCTTGATACCCAGTTTATCCTACATTATTATTCAACTTGCTCAGTTACTAAACTGATGAAAACATTGAATTCGCTAAGTTGTATATGTATGTATGTATCTTAATGGGCATATACATAGCTTGAGAATCTGTTTTGCGAAAGTTCTGATTGTATTAGTATGATCCATAGTAAGTATCAGTTCAGACAGTTTGTGCAGTGCTTAAGATCCGGGCTTTGGAGGCAGGCAAATCACAGTCTGACTCTTGGCTCTGCCATTTCTCAGTTGTGTAACTTTAGGCAATTTACGTATCCTCTAAGCCTGGTTTCTTTATTTGCAAAAATGAGGATAATAATGGTACTACTTCATGGGCCCATTGTGGGAATAAAAGGAAATAACACATATAAATAGTACATAGCATAAGGCCTGGGTACATCACACAGCCACGAAAAAAAAAAAGTTTTACATTTCTTTTTAAAATAAACATTTTATTTAAAAATATATGCATTTTTTTTTTTTTTTAAAAAAGAACACATGCCAACTTTGGTATTTTAGCCACTGCTTTTTGTCTCTTCCCAATAACCCACATTTCTTTCTGATTATGCTCAATTGAGCCAAAGAGACCAACGTGAAAACACCACTCCACAAGGTCCCACAGAGAACCTATGCTTGCTCTTTTTTTCTTTACAAAGTGTCTCTTTGTGCTTCACTGAGGGAGGATTTTAAGCACCCAGCAATACATTGTCCTCCGTTCTTACTGCAGGGCCATTGGAAAGGAACTCTGGGGAGCAGTGTGGGTTCCTTTCCTTTGGAAAACATTAAAAAAGCTTCCAGCATCCCCATCATTATACTCCCCTTTTCCATGAACACACAGGAGCTATGAAACCACTTCTAGGAAATGCATGCTCCAGGGTTCACGATGGGAGCAGATGGTTAAAATAAGCACAGGAGACCTTCTGGCGTTGGTTTGTCTTAATCCACAGGGAAAATCGCTGATTCCCAGAATCAAAAGGGAACTTACTCACATGTTATTGCATTCAATGAGTCCTGTGATAATTTCCCTGGCAGATGACAACAAAATTCTTCCCAGATCTCATCCTGTCTTGAAATCGTCTCCCCATGGGTAGGCTCAATCTAGCCAGGGTTTCTCTATAAACCTGGACTCTAGAATCAAACCCAGCTCCTTAACGCAACTGACCAGATCTTGGCACTACAGGATTGTCTTGTTCCAGGACCTGGGCTCTGTGTGTCTATCAGTATCATCTGTCTAATAAAGCACTGGCAATTTTGACCCTGAACCAACCTACAAATTTATATTGGATTTATGAGAAAACCAAGAACCCAGACTCTTCACTACAGGTTTTCTCATATCTGATATTTGATTGCAAACTGTGTACCAGCAATTTTGGGAACTTCCTTCTGTGAGGAAGGCAGCTGAGGGCTGTGGGGGGAAATCAAATTGCCTTCATATTCTTAGATGATTTTCTTTTAAGGGCCAGAGGCTCACCAGTAAGTGTCCCTTTTGTCTATAGAGCTGCTACGATAAGTAGGGATAGGACACAAAAATGCTTCCTCCACCCTTTCCTTATTTTCAAGGGGCTTCTGTATCTGGCAATCAACACAAATCTTCAAACTCTCGTGGATGTTTTAAATGATGGGAGATATTAAAAGATCTCCAAGTGATAGACTACTGGTGTTTGTCCACAAAGAAAAAGACAAGAATTTTGAAGTGAGAGATAGCTTTTAGCTAAAAAGTGATCCCCACCTCCACCCCCTCTTGGAAAAATGAAGACCCCTTTTTTTTTTTCATCGTAGCTGAAAGGTTTCTAGTTTGAGGACTGGGAGATTCTTAGTGTTCTTGCATGTGCAAATACAACTCCCTGGTCATTCAAATCTGAACAATCTGTGCTGAATCAATTCAGTATTGTTTATCTGAAGATTTGTGTGCTCTGCCCATGGTGGGCATTAAATATTAGCCACTGGATGAGTAAATTTGTTGTGGGAGTTTTCAGCCAGACCAGAATCTGTTTCTAAAAGAGCTGATTGACTTTAAAATAAATAACATTTGGAAAGGACTATTTTGAATGCTTGGGATAGGTTTTATTGATGCTTTTTTTTCAGGTTGGACATAAATGTTTTTGAATGGCAAAAGGCTGACAGTTCTCAGACCCTCTATTATTCAGGTGAAGATTGTCTTGGTTTCCTCAATTACTGGTACAATTATTGTAGTGCTAAGAATGACTTCTCCTTAAAAAAATTCTGATTTACTTCTCATAATGTGACAGCTGAACTGAGAAGTTCATAGATCAGAAAGTTTGGCCCTTTTTTCCTTCCCTCCTTTCTTTCCTCTCTTCTTTCCTTCCTTCCCTTCTCCCTCCTTTTCTCTTTACCCCCCTACCCATCTCCTATCTTCCTTCCTCGCTCCCTCCCTCTTCTTCCTCCCTCCCTCCCTCTCTTCCTCCCTCTTTCTCCCTTAGAATAGAATATGTGTTGTCTCAATAACGTTGATAGAAGCAGGGTCACTACTAATAAGCACTGGCTTCCTGCAAGCACTTGCACGAATAAATTTTTTGACTTCTTTAGATAAGTATGAATCTACCAGACTGCAGCAGATAGCTGCAAATGTCTTCAAGTCTTCATCACCATGGGGGTTCAGAGGTCTTAAGAAAACTACACATGGTCATCTTCAGGTTCTAAGAGCATTAGGGAACTTGAATGTGACCATCTTCGTAAGTCTCTGTACATCTTTTAGTCATGCCTGATTTGTCATCACAAAAGACACAACGAAGAGTTTAAAAGAATTTAAAATAAAATTCTCAATGGGAGACAAATTCATGGATTATCTGATCTACTGGAAGCAGCCAACTTCATCAATTTTCTCCCAATTATCTCCAGTTTTCTCCCTCAAATTTCATGTCTGAGCTATGAAGAGAGAGGGTGAATGCGGTTTGTGGAGACTGTAGAAGCAGGTTGAGAGCAGTTATCCAGAGATCTGCTCTTTTAACTGTGTTGGTTTGCATTAGGATATAGGAACCATTTTATCTTTTGTCTTCCGTAAGGCATATCTATCAGTCCTGGGTCATAGCCTCAAAGATCCCCATAAAAAGGTACAATCTGGAGAAGTACAGAGGCCTCCTAACTAGGTCTAGTCTCTCAGATAGAAATACCCAAGGAAAAAATAATTAACACTCAGTCCCAGGTCTCAGAGTAGGGGCACTGTGTGAGTTTGTTTTCCAAAGGAAGTAAGGGGAAGAAAAAACATACAAACAGCAAAACGTGACACCTGAAAAGTGCACTGACCAGCAAGCTTTGTCAAGACCCCAAGAAAACACCAACAGCTGAGGAATGAACAAATGTGTGGAGTGTATTAATAAGGTTTTCTTCCCCAGTAGCTTCATCTTCAAAGGAAACACTGGCAATTTTTTCTTCTGGATTTTTTTGGTTCTGATGACTGACATAAAAGCAAAATAAAAAATTTACCATGTGGATCTTTTAAAGCACAATACAGATAAAAGGAATGTAAAATGATTTTCTTGTTCCTTTCATATTCCTCTATAAGAGACTGTGATACCATTTCCAGCTACTAATGGTGAAGCTGTTCTGTCTTTTCACATCCATATTCATTGCCAAGATGAGCTTGTTCACGATAAGCAAGTAGCTGTGAGTCATCGGGTTGGAGCCGTTAGTCATACACAGAGAGGCAACGTGTAGTCTGGTTGGTTAATCAGAAATTCATAGTGAGAAAGGCCAGGTATCATTCACAGCAGATTAAGGGTTAAAGGCTTTTGGTGTAGAACTCTGTAACGCCGCTTTTGGAGATACATGCACACACAGATATAATATACACATATGTATATATCTATTATACATACATGTATGTTTGTGTGTGTATGTGTATTCCTCCACATCCCACCCCCAGAATAAGATCTGGCAGCTTTCAGAGTAGCAATCACCAAAAACTCTCTGTGTTCACACATTTTTACAAGTTAACAATGGAATGACTTCTAAATCTTTGGTTTATCAAAAAGAGAGCTTCTAAAATCCCAACATTTTTGATTATTTTTTCTATAAGTGCACAGTGAACAACTTTTTTTTTTTTTTTACAAAAGATAAAAACAGTGCCTTAGTGATTTAAATAAAAAAACAAAACAACAGCAATAGCTCCTTTCTACAGCATGCAACAATATAAAATGGTGAACTGGAGCCACAGAGAGCCTTACAGAGACTGTTCTGAAATTTTAGCTTTTTCCAACTCCCAGCCAAAGCCACGAGAGGTAATGAGGAATGCACATTAGACCATTGTCTTTTTCCTTCCATCGTTTTCAATGCGCAATTCTGTTTTCTTTCAAAAACCCAGATCTGAAATTCTCTCTTGTAAATATCATCCATATTTGTCTTTACAATGTAATGATTTCCAATTTCCCCAGAGCAACACAAACCAATAATTTCTTGAAAACTAAACGAGAATAGAAAGAACTTCGTGACTGATGGACCAAGTCACCAGTTTCTTCCTCAAGAAATTCTTGCAACTTCCTTTTGCAGCAAACTGTGCGTGTGGAGAATGAGTTCTCCAGAAGAACCTGGATTGTTAAATTTTTCAAAAATGGCTTTCTTAGGAGTATGGCAGCTTGTTAGAACTGAGAAGTCCTCCCCTCCCAATGTGGAGGCAGAAAAAGAAAGATGGCCAAACGAGGAACAGGAAAGGATTGGTACCTTGAAGGAAAAGTGGAGTGGGAGAAAGATAAACTGATAATAACAAAACAAAAGGAGAAGTTGGACTCCCATAAGTAATAGTCCTTCTATAGGAACCCAGGGTGTTTATCCCAGGGTATGTGAAATGATGTTATTCTCTAGTCCTGTCTGAATTATCCCTGGTGGGGCTCCCTTCCTGTGCCTCGAGATATACTTCTACCAATGTGGTCATCTCTAGTCTTTGGAACTAAAGGGGGCTGTGTTGGAGAGCTTGTGGCATCTCCTTCGGGGGAAGAAGGTCTGCATTCTTCAGGGTTCTCATCTAGGACACGTACTTATCAGCACAGAGATGGTGGGAATGATTGGGCCACTAGTTAAAAAAGAAGAAAGTTCCGAGTGGAGTTCTGTGGACTCAGTTCAGGTTAATTGTTATTAGTGACCACATCGAGTCCTGGGTACAGGTTCAGAACCACTCCAGCAGGGCAGTTTTGTGGTAGAGGGAAAAGAGAGTTGATTAGCTTCCCTGGAAATCGATTGGTTTTGTTCCTCTGTCTCAAGAACTTTTGATCTGAAGCTGGGTCTGGCTTCTCTTTTGAAAGATAGTAATGGAGACATTGGGCAACAGCTTCCATTGCAGGTATGTCTTCCATAAGCTTTGAGGGGCTGGCTTCCCTGTACTCCCAAAAGACTACGTTTTCCTTCCACGTTATGTCTAGTGAATTCATGAGAAAAGCTTACAGTGTGAGCTTATGCCCCAACAATGCCTGAGAAAAATTATGGGCTAGAAAATATACTGGTCTTTGAAAAGGCAGTGAAATATCTTTTTTGGCATCCTTAATCTGAGAAAGCACATTCTTTTAATGCATTGTTGAAATCATTAACAGTTACTGACTGTTGGTAAATATTACAGTATATGTATTTCTAAAAATGACTTTTGTTCTTGTTCATTGGCACAGAAATCATTGCTTCTTTTTAATTCTCTTCTTCTTCTTCTGTTTTTGGACAGTAAAGTATGTATGGCTGTGTGCTTTCCCCCATGGAACTCCATTGGTCTTCCATAGCACTGGTGCATTGGGCATTCTACCACTGCTGCAAGTGAAGGTCCATGGAAGAATTCAAATTGAGATCAGTGACATCCAGGAAATCGATGTTGAAGATGCTGGGGCTGCTGGTGGTGAGGGCGCTAAAGCCTGGTGTGGAATTTGGCGGAGTGAGGTCCAGCCACTCCATGGTTTCCCAGGGAGATTCAGTGAAGCTTAACTGCAGCCCATTGCTGTCCACAGAAGAGGGTGAAAACTGTGTCTGCATTGGAGAGAGGGGGCCTGGCAAGATCTCATGTGCATTGAAGAGGTCTTCTGCAGCCTTCCCAGAGAATCCATCCATTATCCCATCAAAGTGAGGCTCTTCGCTCCCAATTTTTAGAAGGGTGACATCACTCATCTTTCCTAGGGGGCTCTGGGAATTTAATAAGACTTCAAGATGCTCATCACTGTCGGTGGCATAGGGATCAAAGGGGATCTGGCTGCCTGAAGAGGCTTGTTCAAAGGAAGCCGAGGGCTTGGTGAGGACAGCAGTTGGACTTCGGGAAGATCTGGGTATCTTTGGGACTTTTTGAAGACATGAGTGATCCTCTCTAGCGTCTGCTGGCATTTCTGTGGGCAATACACGATGTGACTTGTTAAATCACTTCAAATTGAGCATGCCACACAATATGAGTGAGTTACACTTAGATACAGAAGATGGCCACGCTTCCCTGGTCACCGCTCACCACCCAGTCTCATCTCTAAGCTGCTCTATCAATCTCCAATTCATCTTCCCTCTGGTTTTTCCCAAACCCTTTCCTCTTGGGAATTCCACTCTGTGATTATTAAACTCTCTTCTCTGAAGGTTCCTGGCCTACTCCTCTGACCCCTGGTAGTCCCTTGAGGACACTGAGTCCATCCCAACACCATCAGTGAGGGCCTGAAGATGAGGGACCAGGCGCCATGCCATTGCCACTTTCTGATTGCTACTCCCCCCGCTTCTGATGACAACTCAGCAGTTTTGGGTTTTGAGGGTGACAGCAATGCCTCACCCCTAGCCTCCTGGTCACTCCCCCTCATCTACTGAAAACTCTGCTTCCTACTCCATTGCCTTTTCCCCACTTGAACCCTTCTCATTCTGTAACCTGAGCATCCTTGGAAATCACAGTGTTCATGCTGGCCTCTGAGCTCCCGACTTCCTCCTCAACTCCAGTGATTCCCCCACTGCCACTCTGTCAGACACACCTTGGATTGTGTCATCTCCAAATACTGCATCCCTCTGAAAGCTCACTTTCAAGCTATATTTTCTATTCTCTGTCCATCCTCTCCCAACCCTCCAAGCCACTTATTATGTACCTTGTAACAATAATTTCCCAACCATTTACAGTCACACTAATCCATAGACTCTACTATGTTATCACTGTCCACCAGCCCCTCTGGTCTTCACTTCTTTCCTTGTCTAGCCTGTATTTTTGGCAGAACCCCACACCTGGAGGAACCTGATCATCTGCCTTCGCTGAGCATGCTCTGGATCAGCAGAACATTGCAAGAGAAAAATTAAACAACTAAGCTGACTTGGTTTCACTTTAGATTTCTGAGGTCAGACCTACAACTGGCATTTAAGACTGCAAAACAACCCAGCTGTGTTTCTCCAGAAAACTCAGTTCATTCATGATTAAGTCATAACTGCTCTTCTTCCCCTGAATCTTCCACACTCCCCTTCTGCATCCTCACGCTTTTCTGGCCTTGCCACATATTTCATTAAAAATATACAAGGGCAGGCTGGGCGTGGTGGCTCACGCCTTTAATCCCAGCACTTTGGGAGGCCTAGGTGGGCAGATCACGAGGTCAAGAGATTGAGACCATCCTGGCCAACATGGTGAAACCCCGTCTCTACTAAACATACAAAAAATTAGCTGGGCGTGGTGGCACGCGCCTGTAGTCCCAGCTACTTGGGAGGCTGAGGCAGGAGAATCGCTTGATCCCAGGAGGCGGAGGTCGCAGTGACCCAAGATCCCGCCACTGCACTCCAGCCTGGCGACAGAGTGAGACTCCGTCTCAAAAATGTGTGTGTGTGTGTGTGTGTGTGTGTGTGTGTGTGTGTGTGTGTGTATGGGCATCTGATATGAACTCTTCTCATCTTTCCATTACAGAACTCATTTACATACATATGTTTGTACCCATCTCTTCCTTCTTCCCTCTTGCTACAATGGAGGAAAGGTCTGTTCACTTGCTTGTTGTCTGTCTCCCTTACCAGACTGTAAACTCCATAGGAATCAGGATCTTGTCTGATCATAGCACGGAGACTATGACAACGCCTGGCTACCCCTTCTCTGAGTCCTTTGCTACCTCCGTCTCTGAAATTTTAAATGTTTTTGGCTTAAGGATTCCTCCCTGAGTGCTTTTATTTTGATCTACACATGCTCCTTAGGTCATCTTATTCATTTGTGTGGTTTAAAATTCTAGGTACACACTCCATAATTTTTTAAGTAAATAAATGAACAAATTAAAAGGTGACAAAAAGAACATGCTGATTATGTTTTATTGCTAGCATGTATAACATTTAAGCATGAATGAACCATCCAGTGGAAGGTTGCTAATTGAATTTCACTTTGAGTAGGTAGCACAAAATGTTCATTATCTGCTTTTTTCTTTTATTATAATTGAGAAGGTAGGGGCATTGAGATTAGAACATAGAAAGAAGAAGTGCAGCAAGAGAAAACACTTAAGGAAACAAGGATTAGGCTGAAACATGAAAACTATTAAAATGATTGCTGAAAAATGCTCCTAGGACAAAGGCAGTGAGGAATCATCCACTAAGCCTTCTTTTATCAGCTCTAAAAATGTGCGAGAAGCTCAAAGGAAATGGCTCTCCCTGAGGACTACCTGGTACATCCAACTCACAGTGTGCATCTGATCTTGGTACCGAGAGTTCATTCCTTAGAGTTCATGTGGGCTCAGAATGTCCTAATGGACAGGACACAGGCAGTCTTACCTCCGCTTTCAATAAGCACGTCCAGGAGTTCATCCATCTGCTGACTCCGGGTCATTTGCTATTACAAATTAACCAAAGGAGGACAGACAATTTAGAAGGTGGTTATCTCCGTAGGAAATCATTAGAAGCAGCACTGCAAGATTTTGAACTAGGTTTGGTCAAGGTATTTTTTTTTCCAATTGTGGCAAAATACACATAACTTTAAATTTACTATCAACCATTTTTAAGTGTACAGTTAAGGGGCATTAAGTACATTCACACAATTGTGTGACCATCACCACCATCTGTCTTCAGAATTCTTTTCATCCTGCAAGACTAAAATCGTGTACCCATTCAACCATAATTTCCCACACCCCATCCTTTAGCCCCTGGCAACCGCCATTTTCCTTTCTGCCTTTACGAATTTGACTATTCTATCTAAGTCCCTCATAGAAGCGAATCGTACAGTATTTATTCTTTTGCAACTAGCTTATTTCCCTAAGCGTAATGTCCTTAAGGTTGATCTATGTTGTGACATGTGTCAGAATTTCTTTTTTTTAAAGACTGAATAAAATTCCATTGTATAGATATAACACATGTTGTTTATCCATTCATTTGTCAATGAACATATGGGTTGTTTCTACCTTTGGGCTACAGTGAATAATGCTGCTATGAACATAGGTCTATTGCCTAAAAATTTTTAAACCATGTCTGATTAAGCTTCAGTAGTAATTTTAGGCAGATAATCTACTGAATGAAACAGTCTACTACAACAGGAGAAGGGAAAAAGAAGGCAGAATGCTTTCTAGCACAGGGTACTTTAGAGTCGGTTCAGTTGTTTGAGGGGTTTTCATCCCAGGAGCAGGACATCTTAATAAATAGAAAATGTCTTTTTACGCTCTTACTTTGAAGTGACCTGAATCTACCTCTTGCTTGGTTGCTCCAATGTGGCTCAAGAACTTGGCTCATATTTTGATGGTTCCTCATGGCAGTAGCTTGAGGAACCTGTAGACACCAGTAGGGTATGCCCCCTCCTCTCTGGCTCATCTCAGTAGAGTCTTATTTCTGGATGTCCACTTTGCCTGGCCCTTTTCTTTTGAAACTGAAGAATCGGCTGATGTTTACAGAAACCAGGGGAGAGGAATGGGGAGAACAAAGGCATATATCCATCTCACTCCTCTGAGAGCCCAGACTCAATAAACATAGGTATCGGTAATCAATATGGATGGGAGCACTGACCAAAAAATGAGTCATTTATCAGTTCAGAAGGTACCAGATGCCTAAGGGTCTGGCAGGTAATGGAAATGAACTGAATATAGAATAAGAAAAAGAGGCAGAGAGCAGAGCATAGCTGTGGCTCAAAGTAGCAAAAGAACCTTGGTTTAGGCAATTGTTGTCTCGCAGCAGTGTGGCTCCTGGTTTGCCAGATCCTCTAATTTTTTAGAAATGAGAAAGCCCACTCTGCATACCATCTCCTGTTATTTAAAACATTCTTTAAGCCAAACAAAACTTAACTGCAGGCTGACTTTGATCTGTGGGATACCCATATGTAGCAATTGATGTAAATGTTCTTCTCTGGGTTGAGCACATATGAAGGGCTATCGAATACCTTATCCAAGCTCAGACTATTTGAAATAGGGGATCATTAATTGTTTCTCTTTTTCTTTTTCTTTTTTTTTTGAGATGGAGTTTTGCTCTTGTCACCCGGGCTGGAGTACAGTGCTACAAACTCGGCTCACTGCAACTCCACCTCCCAGGTTCAAGCAATTCTCCTGCCTCAGCCTCCAGAGTAGCTGGGATTACAGGCACACACCACCACACCCAGCTAATTTTTGTATTTTTAGTAGAGATGGGGTCTCACCATGTTGGTCAGGCTGGTCTCAAACTCCTGACCTCAGGTGATCCACTCACCTTGGCCTCCCAAAGTGCTGGGATTACAGGTGTGAGCCACCAGACCCAGCCTTGTTTTTTCTTTTTCTTACTTTTTAATTTTGAGACTTTCCAAATCCAAATGAAAGTAGAGGATACAGTGAACCTCCTTGCATTTATTATCCAGCTTCAATACCCGTCAGTGTTTTGCCAGGGTCACTGAATTTTAAAGCCAGGGAGAACCTTAGGAAGTATTACCCTGACAGTCACTCTCATCTATTTGAGAAGGTATTATGTGCCTGAACAATGTGGTAAGTGCGAGGCTATCTAGAATCCTTACCAAGTAAATATTATCCCTATTTTGCATAAGAGAGGTGAAGTATTCACCTTAGTGACAGTGGCAGCTGGCAGATGGCAGAACTGGTACCAAAGCCAGACAGGTGACCCTCTTCTCTCCCTGCCTCACACAGCTACACATGCAACACTGTTTTCCAATTATTGTCTAGATAATTTGCTTATTTTGGTGGTATGGCACATGACACACTCAATATCAGAATTTACAAACTGCGTGAAGTTTAATCATATCAAACAATGTCTGTTCATTGAGTCAGTCTATTCTTCCATAAAGAACAAATCACATGGTTACCTGCTTTACGGCATCTTCATAGGATGGAGGCTGTGTTACCTCTGAAATTGCTGAACTTGACTTAGAAAAAGTTGGGGATGGAATTGAAAACTTTGGCCCCACCTTATCAGAAGAGTGTAAACCAGCCATCTGCATGGGTAAAATATGAAGAAAGGCATTGAATTCATGGATCTGAAATTATGTTGTTTCTGTTCTAGAAACAACAGGCTAAATTTTGGAAAAATTGATCTAAGAGGAAAAAAGAAAAGTCCAGGGCTTAGAAAATAACTCCCATATATTAACAGTAGTGAATGCTACTGTGGGTTCATTGGTGGTGGCGTCTTAGAATGGCAACCTTGCAAGATCTATTTTCCTCCTTAAGGTGCACCCTCTTATTTTAGGGGAAAATAAGTAACAGTCCAATTCAATACAAACAGATCAGGCTAGGCGTGATGGCTCATAGCTGTAATACTAGCACTTTGGGAGGCCGAGGTGGGCAGATCACCTGAGGTCAGGAGTTCGAGAGCAGCCTGGCCAACATGGTGAAACCCCATCTCACTAAAAATAAAAAAATTAGCCAGGCATGGTGGTGCGCCTGTAATCCCAGCTACTTGGGAGGCTGAGGCGGAAGAATCGCTTGAACCTGGGAGGTGGAGGTTGCAGTGAGCCGAGATCGCGCCACTGCACTCCAGTCTGGCCGACAGAGTGAGACTGTGTCTCAAAAATAAATAAATAATAAATAAAAAATAATCAACCCAGGAATTTCCAGACTAATCTACCCCACAGGTCATTTATTCCAAACTGGGTATTTTGCAGAGAGCTGGAGGCATTGCTGAGGTCTCTTTATGAACCAGCTTTGTTTATTTTGAGTGTGTTCTCCTGTGGAGTGCCTGGCCCAATTCAGGGTCTCTGCCCCTTCCGACTTGTGGTATGTGGCACTTTTATGTCAGGCTTATCTTGTTTGTCTCCTTTCTGCCACCTCTTCTTTGCCCCTTGAGACTCTCCATACCCTGGATCCTTCATACCCCTGACTTCTTCCACCAGCTGAAGGGTGATATCTCTTCCTTTTCCATAAAGATATTGCACTGTGACCCCTGCTTTGCACATCTCTCCAATCCTGTCCATGGATCTGTGTCCCTCTCTCTTCCTCCAATGTTGTTTCCCACACACCCTGATCCCAATCTTTAACTTCACAGAAACTGGTTTACTGTTCAAGTTGTTTTGCAAACATATGGCCATTTTAGTCATCATGATTTCTGGGATGACCCCAGGAAATGACTCCTTGGGAAAACTTCTAACTCATATCTGTACATCCTTTTAGATGCATTTGGAGTGGATTTGTTTCTCTCTAGAATGAAATTTACTTCTGCCTTGAAAGGGAACTTCATTATTTTTCACTTTGGAGGACCTATTCCAGCCCTTTCTAATCAATCTGTCCCTCCCTCCCACCAGCATTTAATGTTGTAAGCATAGATCAGTCATTGTTAACCTATATTGTTCTTTATTTTTTTATTTTATTCTTTTTTTTTTTTTTTTTTTGAGATGCAGTCTCGCTCTGTCACCTGGGCTGGAGTGCAGTGGTGCGATCTCGGCTCACTGCAACTTCTGCCTCCCGGGTTACAGAAGAGAGAAGAGGCAAAGTGAATCCCAGGTTGAGGCCTTTTTTCAGGTGCCTACCTTTTGCTGTACACATGGGCTTTTGGGACAAGGGTTTCCCCCGGCACCATGACTGCTGTCTGCTTGGGCTCCAGAGAAGGGCGGGTGGAGGCTGGAAGAATGGGGAGAGAAGCTTGGAGGATGGCCATCGTGTGCTCCTGAGTTCTGCAAAGGAAGAAGTGACAAATTACATGGCCAGCAGCAGCTTACTTGAGTGTGACCTTTGCTGACAATTCTGGTTCCTGCCCTGTGTCCCCTGGTGTCATTTTTACAAACCTTCCTAAATTCCATTACCAGATGAACTTGCCTAAAATCTGGCTTTTTAGACATCACCTACTGCTCAGAAACTTCCAGTGGCTCCAGGTATCCACATCATAGGATTTCCGCTTTCAAACCGGATGGGTGTTCAAGACTCTACACTTTGGTGCTATTTACTTCTGCAAGCTTAAGTTCTACTATTCCCGCCATGGACCTCCGGCAGCATGCCCTGTACATTCCATCCCCCTACCTTGTCCCTTTCCTGGCCCTCTACTTTTTAACGTGACACTTCCTGTCAAGTCCAACCCCTTCATGAAAGCTTCCTGGACCTTTCCAGCCCTTTCTAATCAATCTGTCCCTCCCTCCCACCAGCATTTAATGTTGTAAGCATAGATCAGTCATTGTTAACCTATATTGTTCTTTATTTTTTTATTTTATTCATTTATTTTTAGACGGAGTCTCACTCTGTCGCCCGGGCTGCAGTGCAGTGGTGCGATCTCGGCTCACTGCAACCTCTGCCTCCCAGGTTCAGGCTATTCCCTTACCTCAGCATCCCTAGTAGCTAGGACTACAGGCGCGTGCCACCACGCCCGGCTAATTTTTGTACTTTTAGTAGAGATGGGGTCTCACCATATTGGCCAGGCTGGTCTCTATCTCCTGACCTCGTGATCCACCCGCCTCAGCCTCTCAAGCTGGGATTACAGGCATGAACCATCGCGCCTGGCCTAATTTTTGTATTTTTAGTAGAAATGGGGTTTCACCATATTGGCTAGGCTGGTCTCAAACTCCTGACCTTGTGATCCACTCGCTTGGCCTCCAAAGTGCTGGGATTACAGGCATGAGCCACTGTGCCTGGCCTAATTTTTGTATTTTTAGTAGAGATGGGGTTTCACTGTGTTGGCCAGGCTGGTCTCGAACTCTTGACCTTGTGATCCGCCCACCTCGGCCTCCCAAAGTGCTAGGATTACAGGTGTGAGCCAGTGCGCCTGGCCTGTTCTTTATCATTTTATCATGAAATTTTTAATGTCTTCAAAGAGTCTTTGTGAACCATAAATCACTGTGCAACGTTAGCAGCAGTATCATCAGTACTGAAATTTTTGGTCCAGAGCTGTGTCTCAAGAGCTATTTTTACCTTTGTTTCCCAGGACACTACACACTCAATAAATGTTTGTTAATTATGACAATAAGTTTTTTAGGTCCTAATTTCTCCCACAGTGCCCCTCAGGGGTAGTAGACATCATTCATTGGAATGCATTGTTCCTGTAGGTTTGTAAAAATTACTTCTCGTTACCTTTTGCCACACTTCACATTCTTGGGGTGGAGATATTCCACTTGAATAGGGCATTGTACTTAGAATTAACAAATCTTGGGTTCATGTGATCCTGGGTAACTAATTTAAGCTCTCTGAGCCTCATTTTCCTCAATGACAAATAAAGAATAATACATTGGAGCTCATAGGTTTCTTGTGGCAATAACTGAGATTACTCATAGACATGCCTTGTAATGCTTGGCACTTAGCAGGTATTCAGTTAATGTAAGTTTTCTTCTGATTCCTTTTCTAATAATGGTGATGTCAGAACCTTTTGATAATGTAACCTTTCTCAACTTGACTTACATAGGCTTTCCTAGTAATTCTTCAGCTCATGAGCATAAAGTCTTTGTCAGTCACCTTTGCCTAGTCTTTGAGTTAGTGAGTCTTCTAAGCCATCTCCTATGACCACTTCCATTCTGCTCCGGCCACTGGCCCTTTTTCTGATCCTTGAACAGTCCCTACAAGTTCCAACCTCAGGGCCCCTGCAAGTGCTATTTCTCGTTTGCCTTCAATGCCTTCACCCCAAATATCCACGACATTTTCTTTTTACTGCTTTCAAGGTTTTGCTAAACGTCCCTGGCTCTTCTATTTAAAGTTGCAAATTTCCGGCTGGGCATGGTGGCTCACGCCTGTAATCCCAGCACTTTGGGAGGCCAAGGCGGGCGGATCACGAGGTCAGGAGTTAGAGACCAGCCTGGCCAACATGGTGAAACTCTGTCTCTACTAAAAATACAAAAATAGCCAGGCATGGTGGTGTGCGCCTGTAGTCCCAGCTACTCGGGAGGCTGACGCAGAAAAATCGCTTGAACCCGGGAGGCAGAGGTTGCAGTGAGCCAAGATCACGCCACTGCACTCTAGCCTGGGTGACAGAGCGAGACTCTATCTCAAAAAAACAGTTGCAAACTTCCAAACTACACACACACACACACACATACACACACACACACCTCTTTGCTTTTTCTCCATAAGATGTGTCATCTTCTAATATAGTACATAATTAACTTTGAAATTGTTTAATTTACTTTTAAACTGTCTCTGTTCCCATGAGAATAGAAATTTTTGTTTGGCTAGTTCAGCACTAAGTCCCAGAGATGAGAACGGGGCCTGGCACATAGTAGGTGCTCAGTAAATGTTTGCACTATGCAGACCATTACATGAAGAGTAAGATCTGATGATTTCCCCTTTAAACCTTTGAGGCATTGGTTTGGCCTATGATAAGGTTGGACACCGAGGAATCCTGGGAATCCTGAGAACAGCGGTCAGCAAACTGCAGCCCACAAGCCAAGTCTTGCTCACTGACTATTTTTTAAAATAAAGTTTTATTGGGACAGAGCCATGTGCATTTGCTCACATGATATCTATGGCTGCTTTTGTGAAACAAAGGCAAAATTGGGTAGGTATGACACAGACAGTGTGACCTGCAAAGCAAAAAATATTTACCATCTCGCCCTTTACAGAGTAAGTTTGCCAACCCCTGCCTTAGAGGATGAGTGAGTTTGGTCTACCATGAGGATTCAAGGATTGTAGTGTCTGGGAGATTCTGCTATGCTTTTGGTAAACCCTTCCCATTGAAAATTCTGACATTAGCTCTTTAGCAGTTGAAAATTTGTAACCCACTTCCAGAAAGAAGTGTGCACCAGGCATGGCGCAAGGTGCTCTTACCTGTGCAGTGCACACCTGGCTGCTGATGGGCGAGGAGACCCTGTGCCCTTCTCCCTGGGCCCCGGAGGATGAGGGCAGAAAGTGAGGGTTGTTGGGTGATGGGGGCAAACTGATGTGCTGTGGGCTTTTCACAGCCCCCAGCGGTGAATGCTGAGGGGAACACTGGGGGCTGAGAAATGTGGAAGAAAGTACATTGGTTTGATCTGAGGACTCCACACAATGAGCATTTCCAAGAGGCTGGAGTTGAGCAGCTTCACAAGCCGGTGGGTGACACTCTGAGCTGCTGCTTTGTCTTTTCACAGGTACTTGGGATGCAAAAGGACAGCTGGAGACAGCCTCTTCCTGCTTGATGGAGGCAGCCAGGAAAGGCAGCGGCTTCTTCTCTGAACAGTTATTCCTTTTCTGCTTCTGAAGCTGCATCCTCAGCTCCTCCACCTGCCTCTGCTCTTGCTGGAGTTTCCAGGTGAGTTCATTGATCACCTTCTGCTTCTCCACCAGCATCTTGTCCTTCTCGGAGTCCAGCCCATCCAGCTCAGAAGGAACAGAGCCCCCATTCAGGCTGCTCATGAGACTTTCCTCCGTGCACACGTGGACTGGGGACGGGTGCAGGCCGAAGGAGGGGGAGGCATCATTGAAGGTGTCCGGCAGGGACCCAGCGACTGACAGGTCAGAGGAGGCTGGGGAGATCGGGGGGCTGGAGCTGGTGCTGCCAAAGTGGTAGAAGCCGTTGGACAGGGCACTGGTAGAAGAGGAAGACTGGTAATTGGGCAGCGTGTTGGGTGTGACAGGAAAAGTGACAGTCGTTATATCCCCAAAGTTCGGCACTGGGTTGCCAGAGCAGTCCTGGAAGGGTCGAAGCCGGTCCATGAGAGCCGTTTTGGTGCCTGACACAGGCAAGCCCCGAATTCGAAGCTGTTGTCTTAATTCAGAGACCTAAAGAAATCAGAATGTGGTTAGTGTGCTGTTTAACGACAATATTTTTAAAAGTGTATTCATTATACAATTAGCTTCAAAACATCACAAATGGAATTCTACAATACCCACCTCTTTTTTATACTTCTTTCCGATTTCCTCTCCTACCCCTGATATAAATCAGTTCTGCACAATTTTAACAATTATTTTTAACTTTATCGTATACGGTGTTTTCATGGCCTTAGAGTCATAGAAATGTAGAGCTTGAATGAATGGTAGAAGTCATCTAATCTACTGCCCGTCATCCCTCATGGCGATCTGTGTCCCCATTTTATAGATGAGAAAACATATCTGCCTGGGTTTAGACACAAGCCCTCCAACAATAGTCTTGAAGTACAGCAAAGTCTGCAGCTTTTCTGGCTTCCTTGGTGAGGGCTCTTCCTACCACGTTCTCTTCCTCAAACCTGAACATGCGCCAGAACCACTGGAGGGTGTGTTACAAAGCAGACTGCAGGGCCCCACTGTGGGGTTTCTGACCCAGTTGATACGCATTTCTAACAAGTCCTCAGGTGGTGCCCCGACCTGACTTTGAGAACCACGGCTCCATATAAACGTTTATGTCCTAATTGTAATGACCAGCTGAATAATAGTCGTATACTGAGAGAGTATGTGGCGATAAGACCATCAGTTCAACTCCTGGCCCTGTCTGTTACTAACTCAGTGATCAATCACTCCGTGCCTCAGTTTCCCTTCTGGGAAATGGAGGAAATAATGCTTACTTTATGCATTTTTGTGAGGGTTAAAATGGCTTAAAATGTATAAAGCACTTGGAATAGTGCCTGGCAAATTGTTGTGCAATATAAAGTTTTACTAATATTATTATGTTAATTCACTTGTAATTATCTTATCCCTGTATTTTTTATAATGTTCATAAACTGGAAACTCTAAATATCTACAAATATGAGAAGTGGTTAGGTAAATGATAGTGTATGCAAATGATGGGACACTACAGATCCATTAAAGCTGATGCTATAAATATTTGCTGACATTGGATGATTAATTGTTGTGGTATAGTAACAAGTGAACAAAGTTTGAATTGACTATTTTTCTAAAAATTATATAAACAATGTATGTACATATATATATACATATATATATTTGAACCTATGTTTGCATATGAAAAATCCAGATAAAAATATGCTAAAATGTTAACAACGGTTCTCCTTATCTGTATGTTCTAAATATGCCACATAAACGTATTACGTTTGTAATTAAAACAGGAAACATATTAAATACCTAAATGTCAATAATTTCATAAAACAGAAGACTATAGGGAAATATTCTGATACTCTGTAGGAAAAGATAGTTTGAGAAAAATATTGAAAACAAAATTTAAAACTTCTGTAAGTCAAGAAACTACAAAGCGCAAATACAAATAGCTATCTTGGGAAAAATGAATTGTGACACAAATAATAAAGTGTTAAAAAGCTCAATGTATCAAGTGTGCTAATTGATTAAAAAGAAGATTGATACCCAGTATAAAAATGAGCAAGGGATATATGATCCAGCTTTTCAGAAACGAAATAAAATTTAAAATATGGACAGTAATGTATGTATATCATCATTAGTAATCCAAGAAATGAAAATCTAATGAATATATATCTATTTGTATTGATTAAGTTGGCAAATGAATAAGAAGACTTTGTGTTAGTTAAGTAGCGGCAAAAATTAAATTAGTTTTTTTTTGAGGCGGAGTCTTGCTCTGTTGGTCAGGCTGGAGTGCAGCGGCATAATCTCGGCTCACTGCAACCTCCACCTCCCGGGTTCAAGCAATTCTCCCGCCTCAGCCTCCCGAGTAGCTGGGATTACAGGCACGCACCACCACACCGGGCTAATTTTTGTATTTTAAGTAGAGACGGGGTTTCACCATGTTGGCCAGGCTGGTCTGGAACTCCTGACCTTAGATGATCCACTCACCTCAGCCTCCCAAAGTGCTGGGATTACAGGCGTGAGCCATAGCGCCCGGCCCAAAATTACAACGTGTTTGTAAAGCTCTTTATTACATTGCTATTCAAAGTATGGTCCTTAGACAAGCAACATCAGCATCGCCTGGGAGCTAGTTGGAAATGCAGAATCTTGGGCCCCTCCCCAGACCTAAATCAGAATCTTCATGCTACCAAGAGCTCAGGTGATTCAGTTCACACATTAATGTTTGAGAAGTGCTGCTTCGACTTGCTGCTTCTGGGAACAGACACATAAATGTTCACGGCAGAAATTTTAATATGTATCAAAAACTTTAGCCGGGCGCCGTGGCTCACTCCTGTAATCCCAGAACTTTGGGAGGCCGAGGCGGGCGGATCACGAGGTCAGGAGATCGAGACCACGGTGAAACCCCGTCTCTACTAAAAATACAAAAAATTAGCTGGGCATGATGGCGGGCGCCTGTAGTCCCAGCTATTCGGGAGGCTGAGGCAGGAGAAAGGCGTGAACCCGGAAGGCGGAGCTTGCAGTGAGCCGAGATCCGGCCACTGCACTCCAGCCTGGGCGACAGAGCGAGCCTCCGTCTCAAAAACAAACAAACAAACAAACAAAAAACTTTAAACAATATTAATATATTTAATTCAGGAATTTTATTCTAGCCTGAGGAAATAATCAGAGAAACTAATAAATGTAGGCACAAAGATCACTGAAATCATATATATATATACACACACACATATATATACACATATGTATACATATATACACATATGTATGTGTATATACATATGTGTATATATACGTGTGTATATATACACACGTATATATAGGTTTTGAGACATGTGTATATATATACACACATATATATAGGTTTTGTATATATACATATACATATGTATATACATACATATATATATATAAGTTTTGAGACAGAGTCTCGCTCTGTCACCCAGGCTGGAGTGTAGTGGTGCGATCTCAGCTCACTGCAACCTCCGTCTCCTGGGTTCAAGCAATTCCCCTGCCTCAGCCTCCTGAGTAGCTGAGATTACAGGTGTGCACCACCACACCCGGCTAATTTTTTGTATTTTTAGTAGAGATGGGGTTTCACCATGTTGGCCATGCTGGTTTTGAACACCTGACCTCAAGCGATCCGCCCACCTTGGCCTCCCAAACGCTAGGATTACAGGCGTGAGCCACTGCGCCCCGCCTGAAATCACGTTTTGAATAGCAAAAATCTGGTAGCTAGTGAAGTGTCCAGCAGTGGAATGTTAACTAGGTGGTGAAGTGATATGCTGCTATTAAAAATAAAAAATTTATTGAATATTAACAGTTATGAAAAATGTTCACGATGTGTTAAGAAAAGAAGTATGCCAGTAATTTATGTGCACGTAATTTTTTCAAGACAATTATTTTAAAACAAAATGTTTATATGCATTTTAAACCTAGAAGGAAATATAATCTGCTTTCTGTTAGTCTTATCTTTCAAAATACTGTTTACTTTTCTACACACTATCATATTTCAACAGTCAATATATGTTACTTTATAATCAGCTAAAAGGAAAGGATTGAATTAACTTACATTAGCAATTATTTATTTACCCTATAGTCTTGCTGGAATTGTTTTATCATTTTCTTTTAGATTTGCTGGTTTGAAAAAGTACAAAATGGCAACTCATTATTGTTTTAATTTTGAATTACTTAAAATTGATGAGTTCTACATTTATTTTTAGAATCTGTCTTGCCACTGAATAATTTAACTACATTATTAAATAATGTAGCTCATATTCTAAAAATGAATACAGTTGAGTTTAATTTACCTTAAACTTCAGAATATTACACTGTATGCGCTTGTTCAGGACAAAGGTTTATATACACCTCTTCCCTACATTCACTAGTGTTTTCATCACTAATAACTTTTTAAACTATTATGGAAAAATTCACACATACACAAAAGTAGATAGAAAGTCTAATGAACCTCATATACTCATCAACAAACTTCAACAATTATCACTCATGCCCAATCTTGTTTCTTCTATACTCCAACCCACTTCTCCTACCTTTCCTGAATTATTTTGAAGCAAAGCATACATAATTTCATCCAAATAATTTGGTCTCTATCTCTGAAAGATAAGTACTCTTAAAAAGCCATAATATAATAACATTATCACACCTTAAAATATGAATTATTATTTCTTAATATCAATAAGGTATTCTCTCAGTTTTTTAAACTTTCAGTCTCTCTCTTTCTCTCTCTCTCCAGTTTTTTTGTTTTTTTGTTTTTTTTTTTTTTTTTTGAGACGGAGTCAAGCTCTGTCATCAGGCTAGAGTGCAGTGACACGATCTTGGCTCACTGCAACCTCCACCTCCCGGGTTCAAGCGATTCTCCCGCCTCAGCCTCCCGAGTAGCTGGATTACAGGCGTGCACCACCACGCCCAGCTAATTTTTATATTTTTCGTAGAGATGGGGTTTCACCGTGTTGGTCAGGCTGGTCTTGATCTCTTGACTTCATGATCCGCCTACCGCAGCACCCAAAGTGCTGCGATTATAGGCGTGAGCCACCACGCCCAGCCAGTTTTTTTTTTTTTTAAATAGGATCCAAAAAATTATCCACATACTGTGATATATAACCATGAACTTTTCAAAAAGAAATCAAAGACTTTTCTCTCAGTGTTCTTTTCCTTTTGTGTAGCAAAACATGAAAATTGCTTGCAAATGTCACCTTCATTATATGACCTTTCTGATTACTATTAGCGGGGTCACCTTCATCCATTCCTCTTATTTCTCCCTTTCCTCAATTGTGGTTGCATCATATGCCTCCTTCATTCCTCTTCTCTCTTTCCTTCTCACTCTTTCCATTTTGTTCTTTGTCAATCTCATTCACCCTTCTAGGTTCAATGCTCCACACGTCGCACATGAGTCTGAAATTTCTTTTCCCACCCCTGACAAGACAGCCTGGCTAATTCTTACTGATGGAAATGGATGACTTTTCTCTCGGTTGTCCTGCTGGTACCCGCGACTTGACTTTCCCAAACTGAATGAACTTGCCACTGTCCCTTCACATCAACTCCTCATTCTACTCTCCTTCTGTCATTGATGTCACTCTCCCAAGACTCAGATGGCGCCTCTCCCCATACACACAGTGAGTGGTCAAGTCCAGCCACGTTCTCTCCTGCCCATCTCTCTCTTTCCACTCACGTCTCATACAATAGCAAAGCCCTTGAAATAAGTTACTTAGCTTTAAGCCTCAGTTTTGTCATTCATAAGCTGGTTAAACTGCCTATCATTTGACCTCTTTATGATTCTGGTTTTTATTTTCACTTTTTAAATTGGGGAGACAAAACTTATCTTGCAGGGTGAAAATTAAAGCAAATCTACACAGAATGAATGACAGATGGTTTATATTTAAAAAAAAAAAAAATTGGTAGGGGCTGGGCAGGGTGGCTCATGCCTGTAATCCCAGCACTTTGGGAGGCCAAGGCCGGTGGATCACCTGAGGTCAGGAGTTCGAGACCAGCCTGGCCAACTGGTGAAACCCTGTCTCTACTAAAAATACAAAAATTAGCTGGGTGTAGTGGTAGGTGCCTGTAGTCCCAGCTACTAGGGAAGCTAAGGCAGGAGAATCGCTTGAAGCCGGGAAGCAGAGCTTGCAGTGAGCCAAGATTGTGCCACTGCACTCCAGCCTGGATGACAGAGCAAGACTCCATCTCAAAAAAAAAAAAAAAAAAAGGTAGGCACCATCATCATCATCATCTCCTTATACCTATACTAATTACCGTAACTCTCACCAGCCAATGATTCTGAGCATGTGTATCTAGAGGGATCCACCTGCCTCAGCCTCCCAAAAGTGGGTTTTGAGGGGTCTGACAGATGGCACTATCATATCTGGATCATGTTTCTCTTTGGCTAAAGCATCTCCTGTCTCACTTGTCTCCTGTCTTACTCTTATCTAGAAATAGCCTACTTAAAAATTATTTTTTGCTATGGTAAAATAAACATAAAGTTTGTCTTTTCCCTCTATCTCAAAAGAAAGGGCTCTTGCCCTTTCTTGCCCTTCCACCTTCTGCCCTTCTACCATGGGATGGCATTTGCCAGATACTGGTGCCATGTCCTCGGACTTCTCAGTTCTAGAACTGTGAGAAATAAATTCCTTTTCTTTTCAAATTTCCCAGTTTCCAGTATCCTGTTACGGCTGCATAAAATGGACTAGACAACTGGGGTGTTCAACCACAGCAGGATAAATTCTGTCACCTCCTTCAGTGTTTCCTACAGTCTTCTTCCCCTCCCACTCTCTTACTCCAGATATCAGTTGGTCCTGGTGATGTTAACAACATACTGTTGTATTTGTTTAAAAAAAGAAAGAAACTCATGTCAAATCCTATACCTTCAGATCATCCAGGTTAGGTGGGAGTGGGCCTGGTTTGAAAGAAGAGACACCAGTTTGTCCAGAAAAACTGTTTTTGACAGGAGACAAGGGGGTATTGCTCAGTGGCGTTGAAGAAGAGTTTGGATTTCTGACCATCTGTTCATTTGGTTCCCTAAAAAACAAACAAAGAGGCATTTCAAGTACAATCAAATATTGGTGGGATAACTTGCATTTAGATCGGATCCCAAAGTGATTGCCTGCAAGGGTCAGGCATGTAATAAACCAGCAGAAGAGACCAGGGTGAGGAAAAACAACACTGCCGGCTAGACGGTAAGCGGTGCGTGACATCTGAACTTTGTTTAGGGAGATAAGAGGGAGTGGCAGGGACTTTGGCATATGAAAGAGGACACATCCACCTGTGATTCAGCTGATGCTCTGTCCTGGGGAGGCCAAACACACCTGGTGAAGCTTGGTTGCGTTTAGTGCTCAGCATAATTGCTAGTATATAGTCTGAGGATGACACAGGAGGAATCTACATCTCAACTTTATATGTGGGGATATTGACAATTTAAAGGGTGACCTGGCCAGGCACGGTGGCTCATGCCTGTAATCCGAGCACTTTGGGAGGCCGAGGCGGGTGGATCACCTGAGGTTGGGAGTTTGAGACCAGCCTGACCAACGTGGAGAGACCCTGTCTCTACTAAAAATACAAAATTAGCCGGGCGTGGTGGCGCATGCCTGTAATCCTAGCTACTAGGGAGGCTGAGGCAGGAGAATCGCTTGAACCTGGGAGGCGGAGGTTGCGGTGAGCCAAGATCGCGCCATTGCACTCCAGCCTGGGCAACAAGAGTGAAACTCCATCTCGAAAAAATAAATGAATAAATAAATAAATATATTTAAAAAAAATAAAAGGTGACCTAGCAATGTGGTCACACAACCTGGGCTCAGGAGTCAATCTTTGAGAGTGTCTGTCAGCTGCTCAGCCCTGTTCCTTCTAAAAGCAGAAGGGCATCGGAATTGCTCATAATTCCAATATCACATTCTTAGACTTTCCATAGTCCAACTTGAAAGTGCTAATACTTTCCTTTTCCCCAAAGGGGCCTCTTATCAAGGGCATTGATTTATAGCAGTCCCTCCACCTATTGGCAGTTTCACTTTACAAGATTTCAGTTACCTGAGGTCAACTGCAGTTCAAAAATAGTTGTGTCCAGTACAATAAGTTATTTTGAGAGAGAAACCACCACATCCAGATACCTTTTATTACAGTATCTTGCTATAATTGTTCTACATTATTGCTAGCTATTATTGTTATTCTCTCACTGTGCCTAATTTATAAGTGAAACCTTATCACAGGTATATATGCCTAAGAAAAATACAGTATATGTAGAGTTCAGTACTCTCTGAGGTTTCAGGGATCCAATGAGGGTTTGGAATACATCTGCAGATATAGAGGGCCCTGTATTTGCTTCCTCCCAGTCTTACGGCTCTGAAAAGGTGTGCATAGTTTCTAAATTGAGTCACCTTCCAAACATACTGGATGAGGAAATGGTGCAATACAGGACTTGCTAGGCCCCATGGTGCTGGCAGATAGATATTAATAGACACCCTTCCCAACCTCTGCCCACAGCCACCCTCCCAGCCTTGCCGGACTTACTTAAGCTGAGCTTGGTGCATCCCTAGGTAGCTGAATCGGTGTTGCTGCTGCTGCTGCTGCTGGCTGAGGATTTGGAGCTGCAGGAACAGCTGCTGTTGCTGGAGCAGCCGAGCGTAGGCTGAGTCCATAGGTGGAGGGGACTTCTCTGCCTTCTGGTCTGGGGGAATGTACTGGTGATATTTAAGCTTCTTCACCTTTGGCTTGGGGTCCTTGGGCTTTTTGTGGCGGTTCTTACTGTCACCCAAGGATTTGGACTGCAAAGAAGATGAGGAAATTGCATGTGCTTTAGGTGATGGCTGAGAATGATTTTGCATCATGGACACGTTGTGAGGCAGTTTTGTCTGATGGCCATTCTTGGATCTCAGAAATATAATATAGCAAAGGCATGATGTACAAAGAGCTCCTAGGACACTAACGTTGCTAATGAACAAATCCATTGCAAATGTATCACACTGGAAGGACACTCCTTAGACAGGGAATGTTGAATCTTAGAAGCAGCTCCAGAGTTTTTCCTTTCTGGAGTACAGCAAAATGTAATCCTGTGTTTCAATGAGTGCATTCTCCTAACCTAAAACCAACTGATGACCTAACAAAGGTTGCATTCTGATCTTGAGACTACTTGTAGAAAGTTCTTTCATGGCTGGGAGCGATGGCTCACACCTGTAATGCCAATGCCAACACTTTGGGAGGCCGAGGCGGGTGGATCACCTGAAGTCATGAGTTCGAGACTAGCCTGACCAACACGGTGAAACCCCTTCTCTACAAAAAATACAAAAAGTAGCCAGGTGTGGTGTCAGGCGCCTGTAATCCCAGCTACTCGGGAAACTGAGGCAGGAGAATTGCTTGAACCCAGGAGGCAGAGGTTGCAGTGAGCCGAGATCACGCCATTGCACTCCAGCCTGGGCAACAAGAGCGAAACTCCATCTCAAAAAAAAAAAAAAAAAAAAAAAGAACTTTCATATGCATATGTGCAGTCACTTTTAGTTAAACACTTAATAAGTCGACTTATTAATGACATAAACTAAGATAAAACTAAGATTTTCTTTGAAAATCTAGAATGTGGTTATTTGTTGCTTTGAGCTGAAAGTAAGATAAACCTTGCCTATCTGCCTGCTGAACACCCTCTCGCCTGCCTGCCAAATACCGATGAAAGATCAGGAAGTAACACCTTTTGAAATAAGGACACTTTACTTATTATGGGAAGGGTTATCCACCTAACTGGAACACTTCCCAGAGTTGGAACCCAAAGCATGTATTGCATGATTTGGACACACTGAATCAGGAAGTTAAGGGTATAGTCTTGGAAGATAAGACAAATTTTTGAAAGTGGTACAATTACTTAACTTTAATACATCTCAGTTTCCTCACCTGCAAGTTGGAGAAAATATTCTTTACTTTTTCTCTCACTAATCAATATAAAGACTATAAAAGATAATATTGAAATAATAACAGGTAGTCAATGAACAGGTAATTATGTCTATAACCTGCTCCTGAAATAAAAGACCTTTGTATATTAGGAAGGAATGGGTCCATCCTGTTATCAGGTTAAAAAAAAGTAATTTTCAGGCCGGGCGCGGTGGCTCATGCCTGTAATCCCAGCACTTTGGGAGGCGGAGGTGGGCGCATCACTTGAGGTCAGGAGTTCGAGACCAGCCTGGCCAACATGGTGAAACCCTGTCTCTGGTAAAAATACAAAAAATTAGCTGGGCTTGGTGGTAGATGCCTGTAGTCTCAGCTTCTCGGGAGGGTGAGGCAGTAGAATAGCTTGAACCCAGGAGGTGGAGGTTGCAGTAAGCCGAGATTGCGCCACTACACTCCAGCCTGGGTGATAGAGCGAGACTCCGCCTCAAAAAAAAAAAATAATTTTCAAACCCTGACTTTATTACAGAAGGTTGAAATGAAGAACACGGATGTCATGACCACGAGTGAGCTAGGATTTGGGGGAACATTGGAAGGAAAGTGTGTTTCCACCGGTGTCCAGAAGAGGGGGCTCCTGAACAGCTGGCAAGCATATTCTGACTTGGCAGGTTCCCCACTTCAACCACAAACTACACATCTGAATGTGACCTTATCCAAAGGAGCTTACAACTCACTTGGACTCAGCGCAATGCACCCCCAAAGGCTCTTTTGTTTTCCAAAGAGACTTCTTCCTGGCGACTAATGAATAATGAACACAAGTAGTTGGGTGTGTTTGGTGGCTCCGTTTCTCTCTGCTTACTAATCGATTAGCATTCTAGTTAGTTAATCAGTCTTCTGTCCTTGGAGAGTTTCTGCAGGGCTCCCGAAACCAGCTCTGCCCTGGCCTGCTCCAGACCAGCTGCTGTTGTCGCCTCATTCTGAGGCTTGCCTTGTCTGGGGAGGATGGGAGCTGCAGCCCTGGCAGGGTCCCGCAGCTAAGTCGGAGGTCCAGGAGCTTTTTTTCTCTATGTTGCCTTAGCACATTCCAGAAGATACTGAAATCGGACCATTTACTCTGGATAGTCTGGGGTAAAGGCTACTATTACTATTCTCTTTTTGAGCCCAGGGGACACTAAGGTTTTTGTGTTTGTTGACCAAGCAGAAGAAATGATGGCTCTTCTACAAACAACCAGCCTGCCGGGACCAGCTGGGTGTCTGTAAGAATCGCCTTTTTCACAGAAAGCGATCTGTTCATCTCCTGGGCTTCTATCATACTTTCTACTACAGTGAGGTTGAAGGCTTTGCTAATTTTTTTTTTTTTTATATATATATACAGAGTCTCGCTCTGTCGACCAGGCTAGAGTGCAGTGACTGCGATCTCGGCTCACTGCCACCACCCCCTCCTGGGTTCAAGCGATTATCCTGCCTCAGCCTCCTGAGTAGCTGGGATTACAGGCACACGCCACCACGTCCGGCTAATTTTTGTATTTTTTGGTAGAGACGGGGTTTCACCATATTGGCCAGGCTGGTCTCGAACTCCTGACCTCAGGTGATCTGCCCGCCTCGGCCTCCCAAAGTGCTGGGATTACAGGCGTGAGCCACCATGCTCCACTGCTAACTTAAATTATGCAAAATTTAAATACTGTGATAGAAATATGAATAACATTTCTTTTTATACTCAGCTTTAGAAATAACGGGACTCATCTCCTCCTCCTTCCCCTGCAATGAACAAAATGCATTGATAGTCACATAATTTCCGACCTGTTGAGCTGAGTGAATTGTCAGCTGGGTTTAAGCTCTTGTGGTTTGGTGGGGGAGCCTTATTGGCAAACTGAAGTGTCTATCATCCATTAGACCATAAAACTGTTACTATATCATTGATTTTTACTTCAATTTACAATCTTTTTTAAGTCCCGTAAGAGTCATTTTAACATTCATTAAGTGGTGGCACTCGAGCTGAGAAAACGTGTTCCCAAATCAGTTGGAAGTTATTTGGGTATAGGCCAGGCACGGTGGCTTACGCCTGTAATCCCAGCACTCTGGGAGGCTGAGGCAGGTGGATTACCTGAGGTCAGGAGTTCAAGATCAGCCTGACCAACATGGAGAAACCCCGTCTTTACTAAAAATACAAAATTTGCCAGGCATGGTGGTGTGCACCTATACTCCCAGCTACTGGGGAGGCTGAGGCAGGAGAATCACTTGAACCTGGGAGGCGGAGGTTGCGACGAGCTGAGATCACGCCACTGCACTCCAGCCTGGGCAACAAGAGTGAAACTCCATCTCAAAAGAAAAAAAAAAGGAACACAAAGGGAAGTTATTTGGGATAAAACATTATAAAGAAGGCCACATGATTACCAGGCAATTAACTGAAGAGAGAGCAGCCTGTGTACTGTGAGATGCGATGCTGGTGTTTATAGAAGCACGAGTCGCAAGTGCAAAGATATGGACCCAACCGAAGTGCCCATCAACCAACAAGTGGATAAAGAAAATGTGGTACATATACAACATGGAATGCTACTCAGCCATAAAAAGGAATGAAATAATGTCTTTTGCAGCCACTTGGATGGAGCTGCAGGCCATTATTCTAAGTGAAGTAACTCAGGAATGGAAAACCAAGTATCATGTGTTCTCACTTATAAGTGGGAACTAAGCTATGAGGATGCAGAGGCGTAAGAATTATGTAATGGAATTTGGGGATTGGGGGAAGATTGGGAGTGGGGTGAGGGATAAAAGATTCCGTATTGTGTACAGTGTACACTGCTCAGGTGACGGGTGCACTACAATCTCCGAAATCGCCACTAAAGGGCCGGGCGCAGTGGCTCACGCCTGTAATCCCAGCACTTTGGAAGGCCAAGGCAGGTGGATCATGAGGTCAGGAGATGAAGACCATCCTGGCTAACACAGTGAAACCCCATCTCTATGAAAAACACAAAAAATTAGCCGGGCATGGTGGCGGGAGCCTGTAGTCCCAGATACTCGGGAGGCTGAGGCAGGAGAATCACTTGAACCTGGGAGGCGGAGGTTGCAGTGAGCTGAGATCGCGCCACTGTATTCCAACCTGGGCAACAGAGAGAGACTCTGTCTCAAAAAAGAAAAAAGAAAAAGAAAAAAAATCACCACTAAAGAACTTCTCTGTGTAACCAAAAACCACCTGCACCCCCAAAACTATTGAAATAAAAATAAAAATTAACAAAAAGATATAATGCTGAGAAAACTAAACATTTGCTATAATGATTCTAGCTACCTGCCTACTATGAATGAAACCCCGTGGTTATTTCCATAGGAAGACTGGCTTGAATGATGTAAGTTTTACGTTATGCAAGCTTTTCAGGGCTACTTCCCTTGCATAAAATCCAACTGCTGCATACCTATTTTATGAAACTTGCAAATCCTGCCTTACAATCAGCTGTGTCTACCTCAAAGGTGAGCTTATGAAATCTTTTAAGTGGGGAACGTGCTGGCTGGACTGTGATTCCAAAGAAATGCAAACCCACAGCCTTCTCCGTGGCAGAGGTGACTTCTGCTGTGCTGCAAGGATGGTGACCCATTTCTCATCTCCTGTTTTGTGACCCTCCTAGTGAGCTGAACCTCTGCCTGGGTCCTCCGTGTAACTCTCCTCGTGTTGTCAGACCTAACTCAGAAAGTTCTGCTCCAAGTCGGCTCTGTGAGCCGAGCGCTCAGGCAGGGCTTGGAGGCTGATGTGTCCGTACCTTTACAGCAGCATGCACGGCTATGGGGGTGCTGGGGGGGCCAAGCCCCTGCTTCCCCGCATCTGACTGGTGGCTGGGCTGTGAGGCTGAGTCATTTCTGTCATTTTCTGAGCCAGAAGCAAGATCCTGAAATCCAAATGTTACCGATATTAGGAAGATACAGGAATAAGTTGTGTGACACAGAAATGTTAGAGTCCGTATATATACCTCTGCTGCTTTCATCCTAGCTTCTCACCCAAGTAAATATCAGCCTACTCCCTCAGTGGGAGGAGTCACATACGTATATGTGTGTATATATGTGTGTGTGTATATATATGTACATGTGTATACACATATAAATATGTTTATGTGTATATACATATATACATATATATATATAAACTTATCATCCAGCTGAGAACACTTTTGAGAGAGAAAGGGAATCATTCTAAGTAATGATTCCAAAAGACAGGTATAAAACTGGTCTGTTCTAGGCAAACTGGGACATCTGGTCTCGGTGTGTGGGCGTTCCACCTGTGTGTGACAAGGTCCACCTGTCTTGATAATGCAATTGAAAAAGAGCAGCAGGGAAGAGTGAGTGTAGGAATTTGGGGGGAAAGTAGGACAATGAACAAGGTAGATAAAAAGGATGTTAGCAGAAAAAGGGAAAGTGTGTGTTTGGAAGTGTGTGTGTGTATCTCCAAGTGTGTGTCTGAGTGTTTATATGTGCATGTATGTGTGTACGTGCATGCGTGCTTATGAGCATGTGTGTATATATGTGTGTGTGCATGTTAGGTGTATACGTGTGTGTGTGTGCACATGTGTGCACACAGGCATGTATATGTATATGTGGTTTTGTGTGTATACATATGTGAGTCTGTGTGTGTGTTTGTGTGTGCGTGCGCATGCATGTGTATAAAGTCATAAGAAACCTTTACCAGAGGTAGAGTCTGTAAAGGGAAAAATTATTTTCTCTTTCTCTCCTATATTCCTCTGTTTCAACTCTGACAAAAAGGAGCCAGGGCTGCCCATGATCTCTCCATGGGGGGTGAGGAATGAGCTTTGCAGTTCTTCCCTGAGCCCTGCCTGGCACCTGTCAAAGGCCCAAAGGATTCTTTTCTCTTGGAGCCTCAGTGTCCTCATCTGTCAAACATGATTGCCGGGAGAAATGACAAACAATGATTTTTGCATCTTGCCTGGCATTGTTCGGTGCTTGTTCTCTTCTTCCCCTCTCCTAAGGTGAAGCAGAAAAGAACTTGCCTTTTCCTCAAACCATTCTTAAATCAGAAGCTTAGGAATTTACTGTCAGAATAATGTGTACAAATGATCTGATACACCGTTTGATGTTATCAAAGAAATTTGGCTGCAAAGACCAGCTGTGGCATGCAGGGGAAGGAAAAATGCTTTGATTATACACTCTTGCACAATAAACACACAAGTATTCAGCTCAGCTTTCCATGCCTCCCTTTTTCCTCCCATTTCACTTTTTCTCCTTGGCAGCTTTAGGTTTGCTCTGATGGGGTGAAGATAGGCATGACGGTGATCAGTAACTGGCATGGTTTTGGGAAACGAGGCACTGAATGATAATTATTTTAACTGTCCCTAATATCTGTATGGTACTTTTCAGTGGGAAAAAATAACCCAGCTTTCAAATGTATCTAATTTCAGTTCATTGCACAATTTCTGTGAGGCCAGGAGTGGTAAAGGGAAGGGGCTGAGGGTCTGAAGGGCTCTCTGGATAGAGACAGAGTTGGAAGAGCTCACATCTGGCTTTCACACTTACGCATCTCCTTCCCCTCATATGTGGATGCCCGGGTGCATCTCTCTTAAGGGCTCCATACCTCTGGCTGGATTTCCCCGGCGTGGCTGACACTCTGCCATACTTCTAGAGCCCACCAGTTGCTCGGCCTCACAGAGCTTTAGTTCCTTCTCTGTCAGAATCAACCTCGATGATACCTACTTGGAGGGGTCTCTGATTTCAAATGAGGAAACTTTTGTGATGCACTTGGCACTGCCCCTGGCCCAGAGTGAGCACTTAATATGTAGCAGGAACTGTTGTTCATAATCATCATTATTCTTTTTTTTTCCCCCTTTGAGATGGAGTTTCAATCTTGTTGCCCAGGCTGGAGTGCAGTGGCATGATCTCAGCTCACTGCAACCTCTGCCTTCCGGTTTCAAGTGATTCTCCTGCCTCAGCCTCCCAAGTAGCTGGGATTACAGGCGCGCACCACCATGCCCGGCTAATTTTTGTATTTTTAGTAGAGACGGGGTTTCACCGTGTTGGCCAGGCTGGTCTTGCACTCCTGATCTCAGGTGATCCGCCCGCCTCAGCCTCCCAAAGTGCCGGGATTGCAGGCGTGAGCCACCGTGCCCAGCCCATAATCATCATTATTCTTTATAAATGTGCTTTAAGAGTATTCTCAATACATGTTCCTCATGCTCAAGGGTTTGTAGATTTGTACAGAAAGAGGTGAATGTTATGGTTGGGTTGGGGCTGAATTTTGCTGCAGCTTGCTAGGTAGAAACCTGCTAAAAGCAGAAGCAACGTGGGCCTCCCTGCCTTGGAGAGAGCCAGCGTTTCCTTCTCTCCACTCCCTGGAGCCCCGTAGTGAGTCCTCAGTGCATAGAGAGATGGTGAACTTTGAATCAGTCCTGCTCTGGCACTTTCTAGCTGGGAGATTGTTGGCGAGTCATCCAATCTCACTGAGTCTTAGCTAGTTTGTCCATAAAAATGGAGATAAAAGGTATCTGCTTGGCAGAGCAGATGCTTAATGGATAAGTTAAAGGGTGTAGTTCTGGAGGTTCTCTTTCAGTGTTTTCTGGAGCTTTTGTCACCCCACACAGAGGCCTGCGCTGAATAGAGTGAGAAGAGGCATCAAAATGCTGTGGCAGCCAGGGACATCTCTGCATTCTCTAAGCAAAACCAGCTGTTAACAGTGTTGATGTTAAGACTGAAACGATAATACACTGAGATGCTGTTTTACTTTTTTCGTTTGTTTGTTTTGTTTTTTACCTGGTTTGTCCCCAGAGAACCTGTCGAAGGGGTATCTGAGGCTTTAGCGTCTGGCGGGGATCCCGCTGAGTTTTGGGGGTCTTCACTTCGAGTCTGATCCGGAGAAAGCCCATCGCTGCTGCTGTCCTCTTCAAAGGCAAAAGCATCCGTGGATTTGGAGAAACTCACCTGGTTACCTGAGGGGGTGAAATCCAGGAACTTGGTCAGTGGCTTAGGAGCATCAAAGGGCATTTTTGGAAATGCTTCGATGTGTCATTTCTATTAAAAATACACCTCTCTCTCTCCAGTTTGTTTTAAGTTTAGGTAAGAGTGAAGCTATACTTTAAATTATTTGGTTTATAAAAAGCGGTTTGTTTGGCATGGAGGAAAGAGTGCTCTATCAAAGGTCTATCATCACTTGTTAAACTTTATTTTCACGTTTCTGCATTTCTTCCTGTTTTCTTTGGGAACCCATATGTTTTTGAAACTAAACTGGGGAAGGTAAGGAAAGAACAGGGAATGCTGGGTGCAGAATGAGGCCAGAGGAAAACATGGTGGGAGCATGCGCCCGTGTCCCTCGGGTTTTACGATGAGAGATGGAATCGAGATGACAGCCTGCCATTTGCATCATCTTCAAACATAAAGCAGGGCGCACAGCACGCAATGTTTAGCAAACTTTGTTAATAAGGATAAGCTAGGACAGCTACTAAGTTTAAATTCCTAAATGTCAGAATTAGCTAATGTCACCAGTGCATCCCAAAGAGCCATTCAACGAATGCATGACTGTTTACAAAAGCCATAAATGTGTCTCAGAAACCTCAGCTTGATCCTCATTTTTTATTATTTGGCATTTCTTTGTATTCCTCATATCTTTGTGTCTATTTTGGAATTCCTCAATGGCTCACACAAGCAGAGACTCTTCCTCTGCCGCCTGCATGGTTTTGCTAAGGGAACAGACAAATTGGTGTGGGAGAGGGGTTATCACACCAGATGGGACTAGAATGACATCCTTACATTTTTATTTGCCAAATTTCATCTGGTTTATTATCCAGCTGCACAGTACACAATGTGCTGAAGCCACATAGCTCTCCTGACCCGAGTCCAGGGACTGCTCTGCGCTAAAGGAATTTAGGTATTATCAGGAAGTTTTCCAGTCTGATATTCTGCAATCACACTGACAAGAACTTTTGACTCTTGCCTTGTGCAGATAAGAGAAAGGAGCTCTCACCGCAGGGATTGCAAAGGCAACGAGGAGCTGGAAGTAATGGAACAAATGTGGCTTTGGGCTTGTCATCGCCACCACTGCTGGCATCTGTCACAGGCCCTCTCACAGGCATCCAAGTGTCACATCAGGAAGGAGGCCGTGCAAGGACAGGGCAGGGGGAAACTCCAGTCACAGGCCCATGGGGCGGCCCACTAACTGGGAAGGGTTTGGGGCTGAGCATTTCTGCTCCAAGGTTATTTATAAAAGTCATTATCGCTTTACCATGAATATAAAAGTAATACATGTTCATCATAGAAATTCATACCTTAGAAAAATGCCTAATGTGGCTGGGCACGGTGGCTCATGCCTGTAATCCCAGCACTTTGGGAGGCCGAGGCAGGTGGATCATGAGGTCAGGAATTCGAGACCAGCCTGGCCAACATGGTGAAACCCCGTCTCTACTAAAAATACAAAAATTAGCCAGACATGGTGGCGAGCACCTGTAATCCCAGCTACTCCGGAGGCTGAGGCAGGAGAATTGCTTGAACCCGGGAGGCAGTGGTTGCAGTCAGCAGAGATCACACCACTGAACTCTAGCCCGGGCGACAGAACAAGACTGTGTCTCAAAAAAAAAAAAAAAAAAAAAAAAGGATCATGTGTATTACTGAGGGCCAGGTAGGCATGCAGTAGGTGGGTGGGTGGATGGGGGTTAGGGGGTTAAGTGTTCCCCACTCTAGAAGTCACTGCATTTTCTTGGGATCCACATGGCACGTGCCCCGGGCCAGTGCCATTCACACTCTCAGAGACCCTGCATGTGACTTTGTCAGCCTCTCAGGGCAGCCAGTCTTCTCTGCCCAGCAGGACCCTCAGTCTGAGAGCTTTGTGATGTCACCTCCCCTGCCCACTTCCTTCAGTCTAAATGCATGTGGACCTTCTCTGATCTGATACTTCTCATGACAAAGACTCCTCCTCTCTCCACACAGGGTATCACCTCCCAGATGTGTACAAATTAGAGGAAATTAACCAAATTGCAAAATCTACATATTCTAACATGGGTGGAAATGTTAAGAGAAGGGGAGAGAGGGTGGTTTCTCCTCTTATGACCCCAAAACCCTAATTTCATTGTTTCAAGTAGAGAGAGAGCAAATAATAAAAATAGCAGGTGGCTGAGTAGTTTACCTAGCAGTGGCAGCAATAGCAAAAACAGCTAACTTTGTTAGACTTCATAATAGTTCAGGAAGGGGGCACATTTTCTCATTTCTTTCTTTTTTTCTTTTTTCTTTTTTTTGAGACGGAGTCTTGCTCTGTCACCCAGGCTGGAGTGCAGTGACATGATCTCAACTCACTGAAACTCCCCCTCCGAGGTTTAAGTGATTCTCTGGCCTCAGCCTCCCAAGTAGCTGGGACTACAGGCATGCGCCACCATGCCCAGCTAATTTTTGTATTTTTGTGGAGACAGGGTTTCACCATGTTAGCCAGGCTGGTCTTGAACTCCTGACCTCAGGTGATCCACACACCTCGGCCTCCCAAAGTGCTGGGATTACAGGCGTGAGCCACTGCACCCAGCCTTCTCATTTCTTTTTAATAAATGAACACATTGTAAGGTCAGGTCTACCCAGTTATTTTGAGACTGAACTAGGACCACAGTATCAGCCGTTGGAATCTCAGACTCACCTGGTAGAGGGGGTGGCAGAATTAGTCATCTTTCCTGGAAGTCAGCAGGTGAAGCCATTGTATGGTTTATGGTACATCATCAACCTGCTTGGTTGATTGGGGGATAGGTAGGGCAGGGGTAACACAGAAAATGACCAACATCTCTACTATTTGGTTGTTTTTTTTTTTTTGAGATGGAGTCTTGCTCTGTTGCCCAGGCTGGAGTGCAGTGGCACAATCTCGACTCACTGCAACCTCCACCTCCCGGGTTCAAGTAATTCTCCTGTCTCAACCTCCCAAGTAGCTGGTCCTACAGGCACCTGCCACCACATCTGGCTAATTTTTTGTATTTTTAGTAGAGACAGGGTTTCACTGTGTTAGCCAGGATGGTTTCGATCTCCTGACCTCGTGATCCACCTGCTGTAGCCTCCCAAAGTGCTGGGATTATAGGCGTGAGCCACCGCGCCCAGCCTACTTCGTATACATAGGTCATATGCTAAGGCTGTCTCCAGAATTCCACAAAATAGCTGAATTTTTGAGATCTGAGGGACTGACTGTGACATCTTGCTTTTGAGGAACAAAGAAGGCAGGAGATTCTGGGAAGGGAGAGTCCCGATGAATTTAATTCGGACTTGCCTCAGTAAAGGGGTGGAAAGATTGTTGCAGCCCTGAAGTTACTACCAGTGAATCAGCCCTTTCCACTCTGACACCTGGCATTTGGTGACCCCAGGTCGAAGCACAAGAATGATGTCGAAAAGTCTAGAAGTTGAGTATCTGGAATAAAGGTGTAGGTAATCAATCCCCCTTTCCCCAGGGCTGGACGGAGCATTCCTAAATTGTTGCGTTTAACTCCAGCCTTCCCATTTTAAGAGGAGCAGAGACAAGCTGAGGTGTGATCAGATAAGATATGGCTAAGAGAAGAGACAGAAAACCATGAGAAAGGAGATCCTTGTATCTGGATGGGACACAATCAGAGAATCTGTCACGGGCCAGACTGCCTGGTGAGTGCTGGTGGTGGTTACAGAGAGGAGACAGCGATGCGAAGTTGTCCAAGAAGCCTCCCGGAGGAGGTGGGATTGAATGGAGCCTGAAGTGACTGTCAGCGGTGGACAGGACAGCAGAAAGGGAGAGGGGCGCGTCTGACAATGAAAGGATGGGGCGTGTGGACGAGAAATGATAGAGTGGCCATTAGCATGCTTGGGTTGGGGAGGATGACAAAGAAGTGCTTTCAGCCAGGGGAGAGGGCTATTTTAGGAGCCAACCCCTGGAGAGACATTGCTTGTAGGAGTCTCCCTTGCTTAAGTCAATGAAATGAGGAAACCATGAGTGCATGGAACTACATCCCGCGTACGGGTTTACACCTGCGTAAACAACCAGGATGAGTGCCAAGGCCCCAAATATGACTCCTCTCCGGTATCTAAAAAGCACAATGTGCCAAGTTAGAACATACTGACAGCTGCACTGAGGACCACTGGTCGCTGTCCAGGCCACAAGATCTCACCATGGGGGCCCCTGTCAATCACCACTCTTTCAGGGCTACAAGTGACTGGTTTAGATTTGCCACTGCCAGGGCAGAAGATGAGGGAAAGGGCAGGGAGCCCAGACACAGCTATAGACTTAGCTCGTCGCTGTTGATGGGAAAAACCTTAACAGTGGAGGGGCTCCTGTAAGTACATAGCAGTGGCTTCCTTTTGGCATGAACACCTCCTGTGGTGTTCGGTGTGGCCCACAAGGCCCTGGGTTCTGGAGTCAGACGCATTTGAGTTTGCTTTTTGGTTCTACCAGTTCAGGGATAGCGTGACAGTTGGCAAGTTATTTGACCTCTCTGAGCCTCAGTTTCCCCATCTATAAAATGGGAATCATCATCATAATAGCTAGCTTTCAGGGTTTCGAGGATTAGGTAATAACATATGGAAAGCACTGGGCCCAGTTCCTGACGTGTAAGTGATTAATAATTTCTTGCTGTTATTGTTGCTATTGTTGCTATTGTTTTTGGTAGGAGCATCTGTTTGTCTCAAGTTTAACATCATCAAAAATAAACAGACCACCCGGGAGGCAGTTTATCCTCTGGTCAGCTTTGCAAAGGTCAGCACAACTCCAGAACCAGAAAAACTGGTTGGTCCTGAGAGGTTCCTTCTGGGAAAGCAAAGGCGGCCCTTCCTCAGAGTAGGAGGAGTGTGGGTGGAAAGGCTGGCATGCCACTCCCTCTCCTTCCTGGTTCAAGCCAAGCCCATGCAGAGAGGGACAAAGGTCACCTTATCTGACTGCCTCTGGAATGACCAAGTCTCCTGGCTCCGTGGTGTGACCCTGGGCCTCCGCTCCAATCTTCCCCAGCATGAGGCTGGCTGGGAGCTGATGGAGAGCGGTGTGCTGGCTATTGTCCCTGCAGACGCGTCGGGGCTGTGATGACAAGGACCTGCTTTGGGAAGCCCTGACATCATCCTCTGGCTATGCTCGCAGGACTGGCTCTGGGCACTGGCCCCTTGGGGATCTTGGGCTGGTGACTCGGAGCCTCTCCTCTCCCTCTTGGAAGTGATCAGATGAATGAGTCAGCTGTACTTTCTTTGCATAAACATTTAAAATGCCAAGATTAAAGCAAGATAATTGGAATCCTAGTTACCTTTCTGTGAAGACCCACACCAAGGGCAGGAAACCATGAAGTAGAATATGAAAATGCGCCTCCTTCCTTATCAACCTGTGAGCTGGCCCGGTCCACTGCAATAGAAGCTATTTTAAATCATGGACAGACTACCTCCTGACATCCTGGAAGAGACTGAAGCAAAATTTGTGTCCTAAGGGAGAAAGTCGTACACAGAAAGGTAGCTATAGTTTCAGTGTAGCTGTTGCCTAAAGACATTTGCATAGATTTAGCATGTCATAGTCTACAGACTGATTGGACTATCTAACCAAAGTCAGAACTCACTGCTCTGGAAAGCGATCAGATGCTTTTATTATGGAAATGGCATAATAGGTAGATGTTGGAATGACTAATTTTTTTTACTCAGATCCCTGGCACTTTAGAAATTTGCCTTATGTCTTTTTTTTTTTTTTTTTGAGATGGAGTTTCGCTCATCGCCCAAGCTGGAGTGCAGTGACGCGATCTTGGCTCACTGCAACTTCCACCTCCCAGGTTCAAGCGATTCTCCTGCCTCAGCCTCCCAAGTAGCTGGGATTACAGATGCCTGTCACCATGCCCAGCTAATTTTGTATTTTTAGTAGAGATGGGGTTTCTCCACGTTGGTCAGGTTGGTCTCGAACTTCTGATCCCAGGTGATCCACCACCGCTCAGCCTCCCAAAGTGCTGGGATTGCAGGCATGAGCCACCACGCCTGGCCTTTTTTTTCCTTTTTTTGAGAGATAGGGTCTCACTCTGTCACCCAGGCTGGTGTGCAGTGGTTTGATCATAGCTTACTGCAGCCTCAAACTCCTGGGTTCAAGTGATCCTCCTGCCTCAGCCTCCCGAGTAACTAGGACTACAGGCATGCACCAGTATGCCTGGCTAATTTTAAATTTTTTTGTAAAGATGAGGTGTCACTATGCTGCCCAGGATGATCTTCATGTCTTTTGATACACCTGATCCTAGGGCCACACAAGTCAGGAAAAGCAGTTAACCTGTGTAAATACCTGCCCTGCGTTGCTCTTGAGGTGAATCCTCTAGGGATGAAAAATAACATTAGGCAAGGCGGGCAGATCACGAGGTCAGGAGTTCGAGATCAGCCTTGCCAACATGGTGAAACCCCATCTCTACTAAAAATACAAAAATTAGCCAGGTGTGGTGCCACGCACCTGTAATCCCAGCTACTTGGAAGGCTGAGGCAGGAGAATTGTTTGAACCTGGGAGGTTGCAGTGAGCAGAGATCGCGCCATTGCACTCCAGCCTGGGCGACAAGAGCAAAAACTCCATCTCAAAAAAAAAAAAGTGCTTTATCCTGTCTCCCTTTTCTCTTTGACAGGATGCTCCTCAGCCCCTCCCAGAGCCTCAAGCTGCCCTCAGATTTCTAGAGGCCTCTCTCCAACTTCAGCTCCCACCTGGGCATGCCCTGCCCACCTCTCAATGATGCCTGAGATGGCTTCCACAGAGGCAAAGCCCTTACTTCACAGGGCGGCAGAGGCAGACTCCAGGCACTTCCTTTCTCTCTCAGCGCTCACCCTTTCCTCCCGCCACTCCCACACGCTCCAACACTCCCAGCTCCCTGATTCTCTTGCCCAACTCTTTCCCAGAACCATCCTCAGCAAAGTATTTGTCACGTATGCCTCAGTGTGTTTCTTTACCCCAAGGGTGGTTTACTCTTTGGAAATTATTTCTCATGATGGAATGATAGATTTTGTTCATGAGAAAGTTATGCCAAAGCAAAATGTTCTTTTTTATGCCAAAGCAAACAGCCCTACCATCTCACTCAGGGCCATGGTTATTATCTAGCTGCCTTCAAAATGAACGATCAGAGAGGGTGAAGACTTTTGGTGTCTCTGAAGAATGACTAGATTCTTAGTGAATAGGAGGGTTTTGTTATGAAGTCTAAGCGTGGGGCACATTGGTGAGCAGTGACTAGCACAGGATCTTTTATAAATGTAAATGATAGAAATGGGTGACTTCTGGACCAGCCCCGGAGGGGCTGAATTATTGCTTTCTACATGAAACGGTCATGGTGATAAAAAGAACAAATTTAGGTTTGACAATGGGGCTATATATTCTAAATCACGGGTTCTTTTTTTAAAAAGACTGGCTGGGCACGGTGGCTCACGCCTGTAATCTCAGCACTTTGGGAGGCCAAGGCGGGTGGATCACCTGAGGTGGGGAGTTCGAGACAAGCCTGACCAATGTGGAGAAACCCCATCTCTACTAAAAATACAAAATTAGCTGGGCATGGTGGTGGATGCCTGTAATTCCAGCTACTTGGGAGGCTGAGGCAGGAGAATCACTTGAACCCGGGAGACAGAGGTTGCGGTGAGCTGAAATCATGCCATTGCACTCCAGCCTGGGCAACAAGAGCGAAACTCTGTCTTAAAAAAACAACAACAAAAAAACCTGACTCAGGTGGGAAGACTGGCCCAGTCCCATGAAAAGGTGAGAACACTTTAGGAGAAGATGCTTGTCTTTTGGAGCTGAAAACCTGGGCCCTTCTACTGTTGGTAAAGCTGGGAAGGCCAGCCTGGGTTCTGTTTTACTCAAGCCAGGAGTCAGACATCTGGACAATATACGACTTTCGTGGGAGCTAAGGGATGTTCACGTTAAGTGAAGAAAATGCTCTGATGACCAGCGAGAGAATTAACAAG
Organism: Homo sapiens; assembly: GCF_000001405.40. NCBI lineage: Eukaryota > Metazoa > Chordata > Mammalia > Primates > Hominidae > Homo > Homo sapiens. The sequence continues at coordinate 12,728,226 of NC_000017.11, read as the reverse complement.
CTAGAAGTAAGCCTGTAGGGGTCTCAACACAGAGGGATATTTCAGTAATAATTACCACTCATAAACTGAGCAAGACCATGCTAAACTCCAGGATATCATTTCTGTTCTCATGAATCATCGCTTTCATGTAACACAATGCTTTTGGTATTCAGTGTTCTGGCCTGATAAGCGGTTTTCTACGAAGGCGAAATAGGCAATGAGGTGCATGCTCTCAGATACAGCCCCGAGGAGGACCAAGTCCCCTATTACCCTACAGAATGTCATTTTAGGGTGATGAACCTGTTTTTTTCCCTCCACCTGGAAACTGTAAGACTCTATGAATTCAGAAAGTCAACTTGCAGCCTGGGAGTGGGATCAGAAACTGGTACTCAAGAGGAGAGGGGAAGAGACGCGGTGCTTTCATCCAGCTGACTGCAAGAGGGATGATGTCTGGGAGTAAGAAGGAAAATCCCAGGGTAGGGACAGTCCTCTGTCAAAAATGTCCTTCCCTGTGTTGGGAGAGGTTCTAGATTCTAGAGTTTCTATTGCAGGGTTGGAGAATTGTTGGTCCTTAATGAAGTTTGGAGGGAGGGAGACAATGAGTAAATGATCCTCTCAGAGCTTGGCAGAAACTCAGAAACACAGCTGCAGAGAGAGCTGGAAAATGTAAACACATCTGGAAAGGCACGTGGACAGGGGAGGGAAAATACCCAGAGGCTGGAAGAATGATACACAGTGCAACCACAACCAAGGGAGAAGATATGATCACAAGAAGTGACATACAGAATAGTGAGCTGGGTCACCTTCGCCATTGGAAGGACTATAGCTGTCTCTATAGCTGTCTCTAAATGCGCTCTCTGTAGCTGTCTCTAAGCAACTCTCTCTGTCTTTATGATATTCCTGTTCACCTTTCCCCTAAAAACTCAGGCACATTTAAAGGGTCATTGCTAAAGAGGCTGATGCGTAGATGAGTAACAGGTGCTCAATTGCCCATTACTGCTGTCCACTTTTGGATTTTTCTTGGATTAAGTCACCCTGTATCTTCTGCCTCTTTCTCTAGCCATTCCTTTTGTTTATTAGTCACAGATTCCCTGTTTCTATGTTAAACACTACTGCGTGGGAGCCTCATTTTAGACCTCTTCTCTTTTTATACATCCTAATTCCCCGCAACTACCTTCCTCCACTGGGCGCTCATGATTCTTCAGAGAAACTTAGAACAACTGGGAGCCAATACTGTCTACTACTTGAGGCCAATAACTTTAAAATTCAGGAGGGGAGTGAGAATTTTTAGTAATAGGTAAGTTGTACAAATTAAGGAGAAAATTTGAGTGGACAAATAATCATGGGCAAAATTGAAAAAAACTCAAAGAACTACTCTTGGAAAAGGCACTGGTTTCTTAATTTCCTTGGTTTCCTACGATTTTAGTAAGCAATGTTTTAAAGCAACCAATCATTATGATCATATTTAAATGCTTCCAGAACATGAAAAAATATGAAAAGGTAATCATAAACTATTTTGTGAAGTATGTGTAGGTTTGACATTTAAATCTGAAAAATAAAAAACAACATAGACCAGCATCATTTATGAATATTGTGGCAGACAGGACTAGCTACTTATCAAAAACCAGGATCCCCCTTCCATAATACAGAGGCAGTGCTGGAAATGGCTGTTCAGCCAGAGAATACCTTTCTCAGCCATTTGTACTGTTCTCACAATGGAATGTGAGTGGAAGTGATGTGTTCATTTCCAGGTTGAGATTTTTTTTAATAAGTGGATGAAACTTCTCATCTTTTCTTCCCCCTTTGCTGGATACATTCAGAGAATGACAAAGCTCTAGGGCAGAGAATGGCAAACTGAGGCCTGTGTGCCTGCAGCCTGTTTTTGTAAATAAAGTTTTATTGGAACATAGTCATGCCTATTTGTTTACTTACTGCCCATGGCAACCTTCCTGCTACAACATCAGAGTTGAGTAGTGACAGGGGCAGTCTCAAGTATTTATTATCTGCTCCCTTAAGAAAAAGTGCCACCCTCGCTGTAGGGAATGATGGCGCAACAAGACTGAAGGAGGCTTTTCATGGAGGAAAAGCCTCTCTGAACTCTTTCTAAGCAAGAAATACACCTTTCTTGTTAAGCTGTTGAAGTTTTGTGGTTTGTTCCCCAGCCAGCATTATCCCAACTAATAATGAAATAGATGCAAAATCCCAAATAAAATACTAGCAATTTCTAGAACCAAATTTATGACAGATTGTTTTCCCCTAGAAATTCAAGGAAGATTAGGAAAGGTAGCAATATCACATTACTTGGTCAAAGAAGAAAAGCCACCTCATCATCTTTTGATATGCTTTAAAAGCGTTTAAAAAAACTCAACATCTATCTTGCAAACTACTCTTAGTGGGATAGGAATAGAGAAATACTTCCTTAGAATATCTATCCTATACCAAAGGCTACATCATATACAGATGTGAGTGACTAGAAAAATCCGATTTAAGAGAGAAACAAAACAAAAATGTATGTAATCATCAATATAAGACATTATAACATAATATAAAACATACAGCAACACTAATATAATATAATACATATAATATAATATTACTTTTGAGGCACTGGCAAGGTATCAATAACAATAGTATTCCACTATGTAATATATCAATAATTATTAAATTATATATTAACATATTATTGTATAATATAAACATGTGCTTTATATAATTCATACATATAGTTTTATATATAAGATAAACATCTATATGATATAGATATTTTGTATAAGATATATATTATTTGGTTTGCATAATATAGTATAGTATACTTTATAATATATAATTTATATAAAGTGTGTATAATGCATAAATAATATATACTATATTCATAAATAAAATACATAAACATGACATGTAATTTATTTTATTAATATACTACATAGATTTTTAGAAAATATATTAATTCTATAATATGCTAATCATGTTGTTGTCTTTCAAGTACCAGCCAGTGAACCAAGGCAGAAAATAAAAATGAAGCAGAAAACAAATTTCCATTCCCTTAGACCTGGACAACTTAAGATAAACTGAGAAACTGTTGGAACTATTAAGATCTTTGACACTGCCCAGTTATAAAATAAATGTGCGCAATTAATAGGTTTCCCATATATCAGCAATAATCAATGTGACTTTACTTAAAAACAACAAACTTTGCAAAGGGAAATAAAAAAAAGACTTGAATAAGTGGAGATAGATACTATGGAAGAATTTATAAAATTATATATTTTAAACACATGAATTCACCATAAATTAACATATAAATTCAGTGCAATCCTAAACAAAATTGCAATAGAATTGAAGTTGACACAAAAAATTGATTCTAATTTTCACTTAAAATATACTTGCAAGAGTAGCCATGAAACTTTAGAAAAATCAGACAAATGTAAAGAAACTTGTGAAGACAGATATTAACACAAATTGTAAAATAGATCATAAAATTGTGATAAACAAAAAAATTAGACCTCTCTCTTAAACCAACCACTTAAATAGTTTCAGACATACTAAGGATTTAAATGTAAAAATAAAAGTATATAGATATTACAAGGCAATCTAGGTGAATAAACTCTATATTTTTAAGTTAGGAAATATTTTCAATAAAAATGAATTCAGAAAATATAATGAAAAAGATGAGCGGATTTGACTATAGATTAATTAGGAACTGCTATAGGTAAAATTGACCATATAAAAAAATAAAAAGTGAAGGACAAACTGGTAAAAGGATGTGAGATACCTGTGACAGATGGAGGATTAGCATTTTTTCCCTATATAAATAGCATACACAAAGCAGTAAAGCGAGAACATGCTCAGCTTTCTTTTTCAGAGAAAAAGTCATGTATTGCCAACGATACATAATCACAAGGAAAAATATAATCTACTAGAAACCAAAGAATGCAAATTGAAAGGAGACCTTTTTCCTATCATGTAAAAATAAATCTTAAATTTACATGCACTCAACAAAAGAAAAATAAATAAATAAATTTACAGGCACAGAACAGAATGTTTTAAGAAACAATAAGAGATGCCTGATGGAGATTTTTACCTGCCCAAGAGCTTATCAGAGTAAACATGGTGGCAGTGCACTCTTGAATACTCAAGGCCAAGTTCAAAGGCCCCAGATATTTAGTGGGGAGGGAGAGAGTAGATGAGAGAGAAAATCACAGTGGGATATTTAAGTAGACACTGACAGACAAGTATATTGCCTCTCCTGGAGTTGATATTTTCATATTTACCAGTTCCAAAGGCAAAATTCATGTGGCCTCTGAATCGCAGGGTGAGAGCAAGATTTTAGAATGTGAATAAACTTGATGACAAGTTTTATAATAAACTTAGTTTTGGATAAAATGCCCTTACACCTACTTTTTGACAATGTGTCAAAACATTTAAATATACACTGCTTATTAATATCTACCAATAGTTCTCAGAGCGGATTGCGGCATAGCTGGAGAAAGCTAAGTGTGTCTGTAGGAGCATTAAGCTCCCCTTTCTCCCTGATACCATAGTTTTCCTGGGTTCCACCCCAAAGCCTCTATGAGTGAATTCAGTACTGGCAGGCTGTTTGGGTCCACCTAGTATCAGTTGTTCAAAAAGTCTACAAAACGATGTTATACAGTTTATAACAGAATCAGTATTTGTGTCTCCTTTTTGAGTATTTGTCCTTTGACTTCGTGGAGCAAGTGAGAGCTGTCAGAGTTTTTACATGTACTGTTTACCATGAATTTCACTCCCAGGAGCCTGTGAGCTGGGTAGGGTGAGTACTGTCACCTCCATCTCAAGGTGAAGTGAATTGGGCAACTGGATCTAGGGTCCGGGTTTTCTAGTCTGGGGCCAGTGCTCTTTCCGCTGATACAGTCTACCTCTCTTTAAACAAGGAAGGCTAAACAGGACCATGACTGTGACTCCTAAGTAATGGATGTCTTATAGGGGAGATGTTTTGAGCATTACACCTGGTCAGGTTCTCAACTTGCCTGACTAGAGCAAAATTACCCTGTGTTGACTTGGCCTTGGGGTGTACAAGAATGGGGATTGCAACAAATGCCCAGGATCCCTGGTTATGGAGAATTAACTGGACTAACAACCCATGGTATGGCTCTTATCTGGTGAGAGGCCCTCATCCCCAAAGATCCTAGTATGTCAGAGCTCCGGGCTGCCCTCAGATCTCAATAGCACCAAGGAGAGACATGCCATTTGTTCTAACTACCTTTTATGGCCTCTTTCACAGCAGAATCCACAGGAAGAATGTTTTTTTCCACCAGCTCCAGTGGCCCTGGTCGTAGAGCAATTTTTTCATTGAGATCATCGGCGAGTCGGGCTCTTTTCAGCTTCATCTGAGCAGTTGGAATGGACCTCTCTGCAGTGGAAGCTAAAGGGTTGAAATGAAAAGGATCAGTTCTAGAATTTGATGTCTCTGTCTCTCTCTTTTTTGTTTTTTGGCTTGTGGTTACAAACGATTGTGTCACATTGTGCTCTACCATCCTAATAATTTTTCGATGCAATCATCATCACTTTACAGGGATTAGCACCAAAGCCTAGACACTTCCAAATAAAGGCAAATCGAGAGGCACATGGAAAAGTTAGAGAAGCTTGCTTTGCGAGGATTCGTGAAAAAATGTACAATTTGGAGATTTTGTAAGCAACCAGTCTGCAGGGCCTGTATTGTTTGCCTAACCCTAAGCTATGGCACTTGGATGCACATTTGGTCTGCATAGTGACTGGCACAGGCTAGGCCTGCAGTAAATGTTATCTGTTGTTATAATTAGTAGTACTAGTATGACTTTTAAAGGATTTTGGACTAGTCAATGCTGTGACCGACTGAGTCAAATGTCCAGGTCAGTTGCGAAAGAAAAAAAATTCCATTGAAACAGTTATTTAATTAAACAGAGGGATTTTTAAAAGTTGAATTCATCCACAGGCAGTTTCTCATCATTTGGAGGGTGTGAAAGGTCACGTACAGAGCCTTAAATCCACTTCGATACAGCTGACACCAAACTTCCTTTTTAGGTTGGGCCCTGACTTATTTCTGTGGAAGAACTCAGAAGAGAATCCAGCCAACTTATTGCTGTCATGGAGAACTGTAAGTTAAGATTCTATAAGAGTTTGCACCTTCACTCTCAACTTCATAAATCTAGAAAGTGAGATATTTACAGACAAGTCCCTTAGCCCCCTTATTTTATTATTATCAACCTGCTAATCCCAGACCCTGTGTCTGGCACTGATCTAGAACTCTCCATACAGAAGAAGTCTAGGGATGTCTTATTGGTTGCCACAGGCTTGGCTGTGGAAGCTGCCTCTTCAAAGCATTTCACATTCAATGGAGGGAATGTCAATACTCCAAACCAAAGAATGGGCATACCAAAGCCCATGTCCTCTCCAAAGCACCCCTTACAGTTCCTTGCAAGGGCAGCTTGCTGGCTCTCTGCCTCAGCCATCTTTCTGACTCATCCTGTGTACCAACTCAGGACTGATCTTCAGAAAGCCCTCTTTTCCTCTGGTGCCTCCGTACAAGATGCTTCCCACCATCCACATCTCTCAGTCCAGTTTTTCAAGACTGCTACAAATTTAATCTACCTCCTGCCATGACCTGTGGCTCTCCAGCCCAAATCTACCATTCCAGAGAGCCTGGTCCTTATCCTTCTGTCCTCTATGTCTTGCTGCATTCACCTTTGCACCTTGGCTTATTTCCTTTCCCCACCTTGAACTTCTTCCCCACTCCCCATTACCAACATCGTACTTTTGGGTCCCAGCATAAGGCTTTCCTAACTCTTCCTGTTCTTATAGATCTCTTTCGCTTTGACTGCCTCTAGCAGTTACAAGGACAAACCCTTCATCTTGTTGCCTCTGAAACTGGGCAATAAATTCCTGGGCAGCAGGAGTCATTTTGTATCTAGCAGATCTTTTATGCTCCAAGAAGCTAATTCCCAATTTCTGTTGACAAAAGAGGACCCCATGGGAGGCACCAGAGACATGCAATTGAACTGGGGGTTGGTGCAGTTCACACCCTGTTATTTTAATTCAAGACCGTAATGATGGAAGAAATAACATTTCATATGTTTTTTGATTATAGCATTACTGTGTCCTCATTGTCATAAATGTGAAAAATGCTAAAAAAAAAAAGTGTGCAAAAAAAAATGAAGGCTTCAGGAAAATCCCTACTTAGAGTCACCTATTTTTTTTTTTTTTTTTTTTTTAAGACAGAGTCTTGCTCTGTTGCCCAGGCTGGAGTGCAGTGGCGTGATCTCGGCTCACTGCCAGCTCTGCCTCCCGGGTTCACGCCATTCTCCTGCCTCAGCCTCCCGAGTAGCTGGGACTACAGGCACCCGCCACCACGCCCAGCTAATTGTTTGTATTTTTAGTAGAGATGGGGTTTCACTGTGTTAGCCAGGATGGTCTCGATCTCCTGACCTTATGATCCGCCCGCCTCGGCCTCCCAAAGTGCTGGGATTACAAGGCGTGAGCCACCGCACCTGGCCGGTGTCACCTATTTTTAAGACCTGTGTGTCTTTCTTAGTTATTTATATTGATTGGTAGGTTTATGTTTTTCTTCCCAGAATCTGACTATGAATATAGTTTAAGTATATAATAAGTATATAATTTTTCTTCCCAGAATTTGGCAGCAAATATAGTTTTGATTTTTGCTCTTTTTCCTAAACATTGTCCTGTAAACCTTTTCTCATTAAATTACTCTTTGAAAGCCTTGTTTGTAGTAGCTCTATGGTATTGAAATGGGTCTGTTGTCTGGGATATATACCTGGTTCTTTGTCATGGTCGAGAAAGAATTCAGGACAGGGATACACACGAGGAATGGGTTTAGGAGCGGAAGGTTTAGTAGAAAAAGAAGAGAGAGAGAAAAACCTTCCACATGCTGAGAAAGCGGATCGCCCAAGAAGGGTCTCCGGTTTGTGGCAGAGAGCAATCGATTTTGTACAGAGGCTTGAGGAGGCGGTGATTGATTTACATAGGTCCCAGGGGATTGGTTTGACCAGTTGTGTCATTTACATAGCCCCTGAAAAGACTGGCCCTCCCACCCTAGTCTTTTATTATGCAAATACGGCCTCCACTTGGAGGCGGCCATGATCCCTGTACATGTGGTACCTGGAGGCTGCCATGACACTGGTAAACGTGGTGACAAGGAAAAGAGCGGGAGACGCCATTTTCAATATTCCTGGCTTCCAGGTACAGCTAACGACATTTACATATAAAAGCTCCTAGTCTGCATATCTATTTCAGACTGCTTTCTGTCAGAGAAGAAATGGTTTGGAGCTGCTATTTATTAAAGGAAAATTCCACCGAGAATTCTTTTACCCTTTCTAGCTGCCTAAAATTTTTTTTTTTTTTTTTTTTTGAGACTGAGTCTCGCTCTTGTCACCCAGGCTGGAGTGCAATGGCACGATCTCGGCTCACTGCAACCTCCGCCTCCCGGGTTCAAGCGATTCTCCTGCCTCAGCCTCCCGAGTAGCTGGGATTACAGGCACGTGCCACCACGCCCGGCTAATTTTTTTTTTTTTTTTTTTGTATTTTTAGTACAGACGGGGTTTCATTGTGTTGGCCAGGCTGGTCTCAAACTCCTGACCTCAGGTGATCCGCCCGCCTCGGCCTCCCAAAGTGCTAGGATTACAGGCGTGAGCCACTGTACCCAGCCTAAAAATAATTTCTTAATAACTCTTGTATTAGCATTAAATTGTATGGTTGATCCATAGTTTATTCAGCCAATCCTCTATTGTTAGACATTTCACTATTTTTCACCATCTAAAGTAATTCCACGATAAGCATCATTGTGAGATAAATCTTTGTCTGATTATTTTCTTTGAATAAAATACTAGACATTATATTATGAGCTAAAGGGTGGGCACATTTTTAAGGAGTTTGATACAGGTTATCAAATTGCCCTCCTGAAAAGTTGATCCAATTGCACTCCCACCAGCAGTGTATGGGAACGCATGTAACTCTTGCCACACATGATACTTATTTTTATTTGTTAACTTGATCACTGAAAAGTCTGTATGTCTTTTTTTTTTTTTTTTTTTTTTTTTTTTTTGAGACAGAGTCTCCCTCTGTGGCCCCGGCTGGAGTGCGGTGGCGCGATCTCAGCTCACTGCAACCTCCGCCTCCCAGGTTCAAGCAATTCTCCTGCTTCAGCCTCCTGAGTAGCTGGGACTACAGGCGCCCACCACCACACCCGGCTAAGTTTTTGTATATTTAGTAGAGATGGGGTTTCACGGTGTTAGCCAGGCTGGTCTTGAATTCCTGACCTCAAATGATCTGCCAGCCTCAGCCTCCCAAAGTACTGGGATTACAGGCGTGAGCCACCACACCCGGCCTGAAAGGTCTGTATGTCATTTGAAATGACATCGTTTGGATTTTTGTGCAGCAGTGATTTTTGTGCTGACATAGCAGCTGCTTCTAGGCTTGTAGACACCATTGCAAAGGAGGTAAGAATTCTGTCACCTCCCTTTGAGGGACTTTTTTCTGTTTTCCAGACACCTGGCATCCTTTGGCTGCCTCACGCAGATCAAAGCCTCCCATCCCACACAGCCTTCCCTTGAGTTCAGCATTGGCCTCTTTCTTTTCCCTACCCTGAAAACAGTTCTCCGTCTTAAAATATCCCACCTACTTTAGGGTTGAAAAAGGGTCAGTCTTGGAAAGCCAGAATAAATAACAAATGATGTCACTCAAAGAACCAAGGTTCACAATTTCCAGGATATATTTCAGAGTCTTTCGTGCGCTTTAAAGCTAGTGTTCAGTCTTGGAAGGAAATCCACATTCTAGAGAAATAGCATGCAGGCCTTGTGCAGGCTGTTCCCTCAGACTGCGACCCCCTTCCATCTTTTTCTACCTGGCTCAGCCCTCACGTTCCAGCCCATTTCCTCACTCCTCCCCTGTCCATTCTGATTCCGATGGCTCTTTTCTTTGATCCTCTTCCATACACCCACCACACCAGGCATTTCCTTTCTTTTCATGCTGGATTGTAAATGTGATTCTCGTGTCCTCTGTTATACTGTGAGACCCTCTGAGGGCACAAACCTGTGTCTTATTCATCGTTGAACCCACTGGCCTGGCAGAGCAGCCAACTCCTAGCAGACACCCAATACAGTGTGTGTTCAAGGAACAAATATCTCATAGGTAACTGTCAAATTAGGGATTGGACCTCTTTTAGGGTGGGCACCAATGGTCTCGGGGATTCTGTCTCAGGGAAGGCAACTTATGAGGCGGGAGTAGAAGCCACTCCTCCTGCATGCAGATGTCAGAATATGGGGACCAGTTAGTTGTTTGTTTGCCTTGTCTCACATACCCCAGCACAGAGGTGGCACCCTAAGGCAGAACTAGGCCTACTTTGATCAGCACTAATTTCCTCAGATTGTATTCCCTGCACACCAGAAGGTAAAGGCATCAGCAAAGGACAATCAATTACCTGGAGAATACAGAGGTAGCAAGGGAACTGTGATCCTCTTCCAAAGTGAGTGATGATCCAGATTAGTAATAATTGTCAGCACATGTTGGACGTGTTCCATGCACTCCTAGAAGTTATGTGATTTGCCCAGGCCTTAGAGTTAGGAGATCGCACAGCTGAGATTAGAGCCCAAGTCTCTAACCCGCTTAACCATTTTATGGCTTCCCAACTTGGGTATCTACGTGGCCTAGAAGGCTTAGATGATTACTTGAAACTACCACTTTGTAACGGCAAGGGAGATTTTTAAGAGGGCTTAGCAACTGTACAGAGACAAGTAACTCTGGGAAAATGGCCCACCATTCTGCAGCATCTCTTGGTGTCTGATTTCTTGCAGCCTTACCTTGGAGTATGTGCATATTAACCAAGTCGGCACTGTTGCACCTGTTTCTGGCTTTGCGCTTCAGGGAATTTTTAGCCTGTAGAACCCAAACAAGAGAAATCACCTAGTTTTACCTTTTAAAAAACTCAATTTATCTCACAGGAGAAAATAACCTTTTAAAATAATAAATGAAACATGAAAATATTCTTGGTGTCCCACATTTTGATGAAGGAACATTTCCAAAGACCCCTCGAGTAATTTTTAGATGGGAAAATAAGATAAGAAGGTAAAGAGCTTGGGTCCACATCAGGGCTACAAACCTAAAGCTTTTTCAGGGACAGGCAGGTTGGTACATGTTAATAACATGTCACTATAACAGAACACTAGGCTGTTTGTATTATAATGAATCTTATTCCATTGCCTTTTTTTTTTTTTTTTTTTTTTTTTTTTTTTTTTTGAGACAGCATCTCTGTCATCCAGGCTGGAATGCAGTGGCACAATCAAAGCTCACTGCAGCCTTGACCTCCTGGGCACAAGTGATCCTCCTGCCTTAGTCCCATGAGTAGCTGGGACCACAGGCATGCATCACCAAACCCAGCTAATTTTTTTCTTTAATTTTTAATTTTTAGTAGAGACAGGGTTTCACCATGTTTCCTAGGCTGGTCTTGAACTCCTGGACTCAAGCAATCTGCCCACCTCAGCCTCCCAAAGTACTGGGACAGCCATGAGCCACAGCACCCAGCCTCCATTTCCTCTGAAAACAGTCACAAAATTAACCAAGACCAGAGTTAAAACATTGCCTAAATCCATCTAATATAACATGACAACGTATGCCTCTTTCCCGTTATTCGCTTGACTTCTCTTTTAGGACATGTGAAAATGTAAAGCCTACAGATTCAGACCCACCAGGAACTGGATGGGCATGAAGAGATGGGTTATCTACCCAGTCTCATTACCTTCTTGATGGGGCTGTCGGTAGGGCTGTTACAGGCTGTGGGAGGGCCAACACTGGACCCCAGGTTTCTGATGTCTAGTTCTGGGTTTTTATCTCACTACAGTGGATCTCCCAGTGGCCCCCTGAGAGGGGTCTGGGAATCACTCCAGTTCTGATAAGAGTCTGCTGTTCTTTGTTATTCTCCAGGTAGTAGGAATCACAGCCACTTGTGAGCTACTTTGAAGAGTTGCAGATCCCTCCTCTTCCTCTCTACCCATAGACAAGCTGCAAGGCTAGTACTCTCAGGTAAGGAAATACCAGCAGGCAGATACTCTCTTTGCCTTTCCTTCTCACTCAAAGTGTTGATACTTGCTAAATAGTATTTATTAATATATTATTGACAAATTCAAGTTGCAGAGATTTGTTATGAAGGTACAGAATATATGCCAAATCTCACCCTCAAATGTTACAAAAAAAGAAGGGAAAAAAGCAAAATAACCTTTTGCCTTTAAGTAGCTACAAATGAGTTCTGTATGCATAAACCATGCCTTACCCTTGAATTGGATTTTTTAAAATCTGATTGTTGTTAAGAAATGACAGTAATAACAGGTAAGGCAGCTTGAAAACCGACTCCACTTCCTTCTCTAAAGTGTTTTTGACTCCAGTGCATCCCTACTGTAATTTCTTCCAACATTAGAAAAATTGGGGACATTTTTTAAAAAAGCTGAAAAATAGGAGTTTCAAAGCTAATATAGTTGATCCTATTTCTATAGTTACCGGTTAATAGGAGTAAGATTCCACATGATATGAGGGCAGGGGACTGGCAAATTGATTGTGTTTGTTGTAGGAATTCTACACGCATCCACCAAGGATTAGCATTCAGAGATTCATAACCTATAGTCTAAGCTTGGGTCAAGAAATTTGCAAAAATTACCTTGTCACTATCCAAATGTTTTCTTTGCTCATGGAATTCAGCTGGACGTTTCAGTGCTGAAACAGAAACACAAAAACGTGAGTGGAGGCTGGGTTAAGGGCATTGGTCTGTATCGCAGAGTTTGCTGGTGTGCTTGCTGAGCTATGCACAGTAGGGAGGTGATTGCCTTTATTAGGCCACAAGCAATGAGAGAGGACAGGCCTGGAGGACACCAGCGGCCCTGAAGCCGTAGGAGACAGAGGAAGTGGAATCGAAGCCTCAAACGGGGAGTAGCAGAGGCAGGATGTGCAACAAGAAGAGAAGTGATGGAGGCAGGGCATTCCAAGTTCCGGAGGAAATAGAAGGGGTGGTGGAAAACTGAAAACAGAAATAACGCTCTGGTTTGAGGGAGAGGTGTAGACTTGGGTAACTACCACCCTCTTTGACTTTGCTCTGCCCTAGAGTGCAAAAGGCTTGGGGGATGACTGTGGTCTGTGTCTGTGGGGTGGGGTGGTGCTTTGGAGGAAGGGACGGTACTCTGGATAAAGTGTGTGGCTGGTAGGTCAGGAACATGCAACTAAGGGTGTTGAGTGAGAAGCAGAGAATCAAACTTTGAGGGCTGGAAGGAACCTTGGAGACAGGGAAGTTAACTCCAACCGTGAACAGAATGGGGAAACTGAGGTCCACAGAAATTGACTGACTTGCCCAGGATCAGTTAGGGCTAGGAGCATAGGTCCTGTGACAACTCTAACCTCTTTCAAGATGTGATATGTAAAATATTAACAACCAGTAGACACAGGCACTGGTCAGTCATACAGAACACACAGCAGCCGTGAACAACCTGGATGGAATGCCAGCCTTCACTCTCTTCCCATGACCTCCTCCTCATCACCCTTCATAGCACCTCTTATGGGGATTTAATAAACTCCTTTGAGCAAAGAAGTAGAACATCATTTTGCAAAATTCTACATTTTGCCTTGATTTTCCTAATCTAGAACAATCTCAATCAGGAGCCACAAATAATCACTTTTCATGATTAGTGATGAGGTTGATTAGCAGTTACAGACTTGCATTGATTTTTTTTCCCCTGAATTGTATGTCTGGACAACTTGAGGAATCACATGATCCCGAGTTCCAATGTTACTAGAACAGTGGTCTACTGTAAGCTGCAGGTGATGAAATATTCTTCCAAATCTTGGCCAGCACAAAAATTAGGTTTCTGACCAGATCGGGGTGTGTGTGTGTGTGTGTGTGTGTGTGTGTGTGTGTGTGCACGTGCCTCATTCAACCCTTAAGACCATGCTGAATCTGAACATAGTTTTCAGCAGGGTTTGCTGGAGATCAAGCAGACATAGTTGTAGTCATGACGGCTACCATAATGGTAGTTGGCCATAGTATCCTCTTTAAGGATGCTGCTTGGGGAGTTAACAGGTCACGCTCTCTATAAATCTCCCTGTTCACCCCAACATTAACAATGTTGGCTGAAGGAACATGCAGAATTGCCCCATCTGGCTTCCTTGTGCCAAAAATAGTTGACAGGCATCCTTCTCACTTTGACCAAAGATTAAGAGACTTCCCTTCTTATAGAAAAAAAAATGAACATGCTTCTTGAATACCATTGATCTAGAAATTGTTTTTCAGTTATCTTTGCTTTCTGCTTTTTACTCTTAAAATGAGCTTCTCTGCAAAACCTCCCTTTTTAGATGACCCTTTTCTCCCATTTCTCCCAACTCAGTGATTCTGAGAAATTAACGTGCAGCTGTCCTGTGTTGCGCATGCATTTTCTTTGAGTTGGGTCTGGTCATCATCCTTAATAAGGCTTGCCTTTTCCTGTGTTTGATCGCAGGTGGAATTTATGTCGAGGGAGTTCTGCAAAGCAACTCCCTTTCCCCCTAAGCAACCAGATTATGATACAAAGTCTGCTTGAAGTCCAGCGGGCCATTGTGGATCTACACAATCTGTATCAATACCTCTGTCCTATCTCCTGGTAATCATTTAGTTAGGTATTGTATATTAGTGTAGTTTAATTACTTACATAACCCAGAAAATGAATGGATCTTCGTGTGGCCTTATTAAGTGGTTAAAAAGAATAACATGCCCTTTTCCTCTAGAAACTCCCTGAAAGGATTAGCATGAATAGATCTTGGGATATCGCTGACATTCCAAACACAATTGGTTTTAACTGGGCTTGGGGTTTAGGAGGAATTTAATGGGTTCTCATGTCTCTGAGGCTGTTCAATTCTTATTAGCAAAGCTTATTAATTGTTCTAAGAAACACTGTATTTCCTGTATCTCAGCTTCGTAGAACTACAATTCATCACTTCTTGGTGTTAATAACTCCCCTGTGAGATGATTCACACGGTCCAGTTCTCTGATGCCAGGAGCACAAAGGTCTTCTGGAACCTTCTGCCACAGGGTGGAAGAAACTATCTCCATTTAGCAAGCACTTGGGAAGAAAGCCAGAGAGGTTCACATGCTGCATTTTACCACATGCTCTTCTCCTCAGAGGTTAAGGGGTGTTATATGGGCCACTGGCTTGAGGTCACACCATGGAAAACTATCCTGCCATGGGCCTGGGGTTGAGGTTTGCTTTCTCAGTGACTTCAGAGACCGTGGGTTTTAGCCACCTCCCATGAAGGCCAACAAAAGCAATGGAGCCCCCCACCTCTCAGTTGGGTTTTTGGAAAATACACAAAAAACCACTTCTGCTGCCAGCCTGGGGAGTATCAAATGGCAACATTTTGTATTTAAAGAACTTTGACTTTTAAGATTGAAAAGGAATTTGGATTCTAAATTTTTAAAAAAGTCCATGTGATTTTGAATTAAAATACTGTTGTAAATTCAGTCAGCCACACATCTAACTCATTCTCCCTGGAGGAAGATTAATGGCTCCTCACAAGGGAATTTGTGTTCTTGCCTCAGAGTTTTGTTGTGGGCTATTCCTATTTCTGTCCCCAAAGCTATCGCTAATTTGGGTCAGCCGAGCATATAAACATTTGCTGACTTAGAACTTAGAAAAAAGATCCCAAGATAAGAACAGTCTTCCTGCAGTCCTCTGCTCTCCACTGTAACCTCGTGCCTCCAGCAGGATCCCAGAAAAAGGAGAAGACAGGTCGTGGAACCACAGAGAACTCATTGAAGGCAGGGGCCTCACTCCTCAGCACAGGGTAGGGTCCCTGGAGTTGGGCAACTCCAGCAACAGAAGCAGGGGCTGTACCTGGTGTTGGGCTGTGCCTGGTGCAGACCCTGACTTCTCTTAATGGGACCATTCAGCTGCAGGCTTGGAGCAATACCAGATCCATTGCTACTAAGAGGACCAAGAGGAAGAATTAAAGAGCCAGAGACTTGGGGCGGCAACGAGTGCAGCGTTCTCTAAGTGCAGCTTCCGGACCAGCATCTTCAGCAATTGGGAACACGTTAGAAATTCCAATTCTTGGCCGGGTGTGGTGGCTCACACCTGTAATCTCAGCACTTTGGGAGGCTGAGGCAGGTGGATCATGAGGTCAGGAGTTCAAGACCAGCCTGGCCAAGATGGTGAAACCCTGTCTCTTCTAAAAATACAAAAATTAGCTGGAACCCAGGCGGCAGAGGTTGCAGTGAGCCAAGATCGCGCCACTGCATTCCAGCCTGGGCGACAGAGTGAGACTCTGTCTCAAAAAAAAAAAAAAAAAGAAAAAAGAAATCCCAATTCCTGGGCCCCAACCCAGCCCCACAGAATCAGAAACTCTCAGTAGAACCCAGGAATCTTTGTTTTAACAAGCCTTCTGGGTGATTCTGATGCAAAAGCTTCAGAACCGCTGTGATGGGATTTCTAAGTCCAGTGGATCTTGATCTAGGGGTGTTGGGAACCTAGGACTTCAAAAATGGAGCAATGAATCATCAGGACTGATTTTCAGCATTTCAAGAAGCTGAAGAGAAAGAGTATGTCTGTCCAGAGAAAGGCTGCTTGGACTAACAAAGCTGTCACTTTTCATTGCTCCTGCCTGGAATCATAGCAACTTGGTTTAGTTACGGTTGTTCTCATCAACAAGCACTAGCTGGTAAATTTATATACCATTAATTAGAAAATTAACTCAAAAACATAAAATTAACTATTTAAAAGATGCATGGATTAATAATTAATGCATGTAGGATTCTTTAGGTGGACAGGGAAGACAATACTATTTTAAACATAAGACCTATGGCAGTGATGGGTAGAATTAAAGAAGTCCTGGGTAACTAAATATTTGGGAACCATCCATTTGAGCTCTGTTCTTGCTCTGCCATCTACTTTTGGTATAACCTTGAGTAAGCCTGAGAGTTTTCCTGTGCTCTCAGTTTCCCACTTATAAAAATGGGCCTATTCATGTTTGTCTTCTCTCTGTCTTGGTTTTAAAGACAAATTGGGTCATGAGAATTTTTTTTATATATATAATGATAATGCTTTGGAGATTATATTTTCTTTTATGCTTGGAAATAAATTGCTAGTTCAGTACTCCAATGATAGTCTTAAGGGTCTGTTACCCCAATAATAGTCTCAACAGTCTGAAAACAGTGCATTTTCCCAATGTAGCTTTCTAATGTTCAAGACCTGGCTAGCATACTTGGAGAATTTGATTGCAACATCTGTGAACACTTTGGAATTTCTCAGAAGGAGGGTACAAAGACAAATTCAAAGTGTGCCTGTAATGACTAGTTTTCTAGTTTCTAAGGAACAGGGAAATGGAAAATTGAAGGAGAGATGGGGGAAAAGAAGGAAGGTCAGATTTTTGACCCAAATGGGATTGACATGAAAATCCAGGGCACCTTTTTCTATCTCTGAATTTGAGATGTTAGAAAGAAGGGAAGAGGCAGACAGATTAATTCCCTTGCGCCGTGTACTGCTCAGACAGCCGACAGTGTGTGGTAGGGTGCTGTGGGGGAAAAGCCAAGTCAAATGAATGCACTGAGAAAAGGAAGAGAGACTTTGTCCAGTCAACTTCTCAAAACTATCGTGAAGCTGCATGTGATATGGGTGCGGGAATTGCCCCGGTCATTCTTCTTGCTATTCAGAAGTACCACAAAATTCAGGGATTTACCAAGGTTTTGCAGTAAGTATGTGGCTGCTGTAGCTTGGATTAGTCTGCAAAAAAAATAAAGGCAGCACCATTCATAGACAGCTCATTGTATCTTTAAATTCATTTACATTGATCAGATCATGAAACCAAGCTGCCCAGACATTTCATTCTGGCCAGCAGGGGCTTTCTCTGAGACTCTGTGGACACGTAGCAGCCTCCCCGGGCCCCGTGTCCTCTCAAGTCCACTTTAGATCTCTAATCTCATCTTCTGTATTCCAGGAGAATAAATTAAACCTTCTTTCATCTCTCCCCTGGGTTAAACATCATAGATTCACTTTAGTAGCAGAGGGAGACGGAGAGGAAAAAGTCATCTTTCCTTCAATCTTCCTGGATAGCCATTCCCATGTAGTGGTGTGAGGTTGTCCAAAATCATTAAATGGGATGATTAAATGGGGGTGGTTTGGGGCCCCTCCTAGACTGGAAGCGCTTTGAAACAGAAGTTGAGTCTGACTTCTCTGTGTGTGTTCCCCAGAGCCTTTCTCACAGCAGAGGATTAATAAAGATTTACTGAAATGCTCTATGACCAGTTTATTGAGTCTGATTTACATGGCTGGTCATCTTTCCACACTAAGTCTTCAGAAGCGGTTGGAATAAAATGGTGTTATTTAAAATTTTACCCAGGAGAGTGATACCCAGGGAGAAGAATTGCAGGAGAGAAAATTTGCATAAGAAATGATGAACAGGCCCAATAGGTCTAGGGAAGGAGGTGGACTCTCTGTCCTAATGCCACGAGAATGTAGAGAACCTTGATGTTCTCTTGCAACCTTGAGCCCAAAAGGGTGGGATAGTGAAACCATTTCCTATGAATCCTGGTTGATGATGGCAAAGTAGGCAATTTGAAATCTCCATATTGAGATTTAGAGGTGAGATTTTGGAGATAAATCTAAACAATAAGTCCTTTAAGTAATATTTCTAAGTTAACTTTGAGAGACTATTTTATTAAGGTTTCATGCCGAGTTTGAAAATGTGAATTTCACAACTGCCATTGTAAATGCACCTGGTCTGAGAACCCTTAAGTTGTTCCAGTGATTCTGTGCTGGCCTCAGAACCCTGCCTGTCTTGACTAAAAGTCAAGAGATGGTGCCTTTAAATTCATTCAAAGCATGTAAAGAGGGAAATTAGCCTAAACTCATAATGCCCACACATAAGAACAAAGTGAATGTTTAAGAGAAGTGATTCATGGGGATTATAAAAAACAATTTGTTGCTGGTTGCTAACCACTGTTTATTACTCAGCAGCAACCTCAAACCCTGCAGAATGCATGCCCAGGAAAAGGGAAGGAAGAAAATTTCAATCCATTTGGATTAGTTTCACTAGAATTACACATGATTCACCTCATTAGAGTCAATGGGGGAGGAGCCTCATAATTTAATTATCAATTTGGAATGCAATTGAAGGGAGACCTGCCATACAGCTAAGTCAGTGAAACCTTTCATTCAATGCTCATCATGGCGAAACATAGATTATGATGTAGAATCTGAAGCCATTGCATTTAAATCATTGTTTTATCTTTGGCATTTTCGCACGACACACTTTTGAAATTTTCTAAGTTCTAACTGAATTTTTTGGCCATAAAATGCCTTATGATAGCAATATAAGTGGTTTTAAAGGCCAAGCGATTCATTTTGAACGTTTGAAAAAAGGAGCCTAGGCGGGGATCAGGAGACACAGGTTCTGGCCTCAGCTCCTCCACAATAGGAAGGGGTTGCATGTTATCCAGGGGATAAGCCCTGAAGATTTAACCTAATGTAAAACTCAAGACTAATTGGTGGCAGGTGCTTCTGTCGACCAGTTAAAAATAGTATTGCTGGCCAGGCGCGGTGGCTCACGCCTGTAATCCCAGCACTTTGGGAACCCGAGGTGGGTGGATCACGAAGTCAGGAGTTCGAGACCATCCTGGCCAACATGGTGAAACCTGTCTCTACTAAAAATACAAAAAATTAGCCAGGCATGGTGGCACGTGCCTGTAGTCCCAGCTACTCGGAGGCTGAGGCAGGAGAATGGCGTGAACCTGGGAGACGGAGGTTGCAGTGAGCCGAGATCACGCTACTGCACTCCAGCCTGGGCGACACAGTGAGACTCTGTCTCAAAAAAAAAAAAAGTATTTCTATTTGATAAGGACAATTAACAGTTCACTTGGCCATCAACTTTGAGTTTTGACAATTTATGACATGTTTAGAAAGATTGCAACTATTTCAAATCTTATGAATAAAGCAAGATTTTATGAATAATTTTATCTGGCATGCATTTACATTCTCATCAATCAAACTGCAGAAAATGGGACCATATTAGATGTAGGCTTTGGGACATCTGAAAAACCTCTTAGGCCTCTTTAACCTCAGTTTCATGAACATTAAAGACAAACAGGGACTGGGGTAGGTCAGGGGT
Source organism: Homo sapiens (assembly GCF_000001405.40). Taxonomy (NCBI): domain Eukaryota; kingdom Metazoa; phylum Chordata; class Mammalia; order Primates; family Hominidae; genus Homo; species Homo sapiens. The sequence continues at coordinate 12,708,111 of NC_000017.11, read as the reverse complement.
TTTCAAACTCTATTCTGAAGAGAACCAGCACTGCAGAGAGAATTATCAGGGGGCTTCTGGAAGGGACAAGGAGAGGCCCAGTAATTGGGGCATAGATCCTTGACACTGCCTCAGCCAGTGCATATATATGTATATATGTATACACACACACACACATATATATAGTGCATAAGACGTAACAATTAAAAAATTAGAAAATCACAGAATTAGGTAGGCTCTGAGGATGATTAACTTTTCTTCCTCTTTTCCTTTCTCCTTTTCTTTTACTTTCTGTTTCAAAAAATTTAAATAATAGAATGAAAAAATAAAGTCTTCTTGTGTAAGGTAATGAGTTGCACACTGGATTATGCTTCTGTGTGCTTTTTTAATTTTTATTTACTTATTTATTTATTTATTTTGAGACGGAGTCTCGCTCTGTTGCCCAGGCTGGAGTGCAGTGGCGCGATCTCTGCTCACTGCAAGCTCTGCCTCCTGGGTTCACGCCATTCTCCTGCCTCAGCCTCCCGAGTAGCTGGGACTACAGGTGCCTGCCACCACACCTGGCTAATTTTTTCTTTTTTTTGTATTTTTAGTAGAGACGGGTTTTCTCCGTGTTAGCCACAATGGTCTCGATCTCCTGACCTCATGATCTGCCCACCTCTGCCTCCCAAAGTGCTGGGATTACAGGCTTGAGTCACCGTGCCCAGCCTGCTTCTGTGTGCTTTTTATCAGCTTTCCCCCTAATATCTTGACTCTCTCTGAGGGACCATCTTGCTTATTATTGTTGTCCCTAAAGTGCCTGGCATGGTCCCGTGTACATAGCCTGGTTTATAATAAAATTTGTTGAATTATATTGAATTGAAAATATCCTGAGGCCCTTGGTTCCTCTTTCCTTCTCCCAATTGTTTGCATTTAGACATGTTTCCTTAGGTGCCAGAGGAAACACACTGCTCTGCTGAAATGCATGTAGATTGCATGTTTAATCTCTGATTGGACTGAAGAGGCTAACCATCAGCAGGTGAAGAGATGCATCCTATCTCTAGCTTCCTGAGAAGAGCTAAGTAGAAAAGGTCTGTACAGGCAGGGCCTGCAGTGTGCACCAGCCGTGACTTGGACACTTTTCCACAGCAGACTCTACACTCTTGGAAAGCCTGGTTGAAAGGAGGTAGCTGCAGATTGGGGAAAACCTTCATCATAGTGTGTGATTTTAAAATGCTTTATTATTTCATGATTTGTAGGATTTTTTTCTAGAAATTATCTTAATGATGCCATGGACTAATGATGCAAAATTTCTAATAAGTGGTATTTTGTTAATATGCATATTATTTGATTCTGGAATTCCTGGGGAACAAAATATTATATTTCATTGGACTCTACTATACAAATGAACATTTGATTTATATAACTTACATGATAGGTGTTATTTTACAATGTATGCTAGGGTTAATTACCATCTTCATTGGGTGTTTTTACTAATTTTCAGATTTAACCCCGTATCCCTCCAAAAATATTTATTCTCAGCCAAATGCCAGCTGCAAGACCCAGGCTCAGAGTATTTAAGCACATGAGTCCAACTTTAAATCAGATGTGTACAACTTGGGCTTACGGAAAGGTTGCAGGTCCATTTGCTCCACTTGCCTTTCCAGAATTAAAGAGAAAGAAACATCGGTGAAGGGATAGATTATCAGCTTTGAGTGAAATTGTCTTGACCTGATCTGACATCCGCAGACCTTTGGTTTCTTCCTGTCTTTAGCACCTCCAAAGAAAGGCTAAGATGAAACAGGCCACACATAGACTTGCTCCTTTGCTTCCTCAGCATAGTTGTCAACGTTGTTTAAACAGCCTTGAAATCACAGGGTGAGCTGTTTCTTTTGTACTTCACAAACCTCTAACAGAGTTGTCCCACTTTAAGGTCACATACTGTTTACTATTCTAGAGCTTAGCCATGAACAAAGGATTACTTTTGAATTACAAAACAAGAGGCCTGAAAAATTCTTAGTTCTGTTCTGGCTCTGAAACAAAGACTAAACTTTCAATGTTTAGCCATGGGTCATAGCGCTTCAATATAACTAACTACACAACATTTTTTCTAACTAATGTAACTAACTACACTATATAGGGCTATACATAGGGCTTCAATACAACTAACTACACTACAGTTTTTCAAGGGCAAACTTCTGCTTGTTGTATACTGAACTCTGAAGTAACAGTCACAACAGCATTTTACAGACACCTGAATTTCTGCACAAGTCATTATAGATCTTGATTTTTAAATTTTGTTGGAGAGGAAGTTAGAATCTATGACCTAGAGCAGCTTTACCCATGACTTATTCATCCAGGGTACCCTTTTCTCTATTTCTACAGATAACCAAGAGTTAGCTTTCATTGCTGAATTGGTAGAAAATTTAAAATATATCTTCTAAAAGATACAATAATCCTTCTTCTTTTACCCAGTTCGTGGCCAGTAATTCAACATTATATCATTTATGCTAAAATGGTATTGCCACTCCACCTTCTAGAAAGGAAATACTTGACCAATATTCAATGACTTGTGGACTCCAATATCCCAAACAGAACTGAAATTCAGGAAGTGAGAAAAAGATGATGTAATTGATGCTTCTGGAAAGAATATTAATTATATCCAATTTTAAAAGTAGATGAGTCAGGGGTGCCCATAATGAATTGTGTTTACCCTGAGAACAAATCCACTACATTGGAATTTTAGGCATAACCAGTATCATTAAAAGGAGCCCCTTGCAGGTGAGTAGGTAGCAGTCGGGGCAAAGCATCCAAGGTCTGGGATTTCTGCTGATACCAATGCTTTGAAGATCTTCGGAGACCAATGCATTGGCTTAAACTAAATGACCTCTGAGGCACTTTCCAGCTCCCAAATGGTGTGGCCCTATGTATATCAGTAATTAAGAGATGCAGGTACTCACGTGGTATTATGCCTTGGTTAGCCAGTTGTTCCTGGGTCCTTCTTTGTTGAAGTCTTAACTGTAAAACTTAGAAAAGGGAGTGTTAGTTTGTGAGTTGGGCTAAATATCATTACAATCATTATATTTTCATTACACATTCATAGATCGTCTCATTTTATTTCTAAAAGAGTTCTGTAAATTATTTGAAGTACATTTTAATTTCTGTTGTAGACACAGTGGAAGAAGAAGGAGAGAAGCTGAGAAGGTTACAAGGTTTTGCAGTAAGTCTGTCCCAAACTAGAATTAGAATACTTGTCTCCTCTTTGAAGTGATTGTTATTTTCGCAGTGCCATGCTCTCTCTCTCTACACTCTGTCATTTGCAAGATAAATATCATCTAATTCCACTTGGTTGGCAACCAGTGATATCAAAAGGGGAGACAGAGTCCCACCTAGGTTCACATCTCATCTCTACCCCCTTAATAGCTGTGTATCCCTAAGCAAGTTGCTTAACCTCTCTGACCCTCAGTTTCCTCGTTTGTAAATAAAAACAATGCCTACCTGGTGGTGTTGCCATAAAGTTTGATAAAACAATGTATGCACATTGCTTAGCAGAATGTCTGGCACATGTAATGACATTTTGATAAGTGGTAGTATTATGAGAATCTGGAATTCTCCTGGGAATTCAAAGAAGGACTATTGGAGTTGTGCTTTTCTTAGAAAAATTAAAACACTGTAAAATTCTCAAAATTATACATTATAAATAAATATAAGTATGTTCCCAATATTACGTATCTATAACACAAATAGATTATACATATCATATACATGTAATAGTAAAAATTAAATAATATTGAATTATTAACTTCTGAGGGCAGTATTTACAATGTTCTCCTTCCCATTGCCCCCTCTCCTCCAAACACATTCTATCTTTGGAAATTCAGACTCCTCCTCATGGATATTCCATTTTCTCTGTATACACTGACAAGAGAGAGCTTAAAGCTTGAATCCACTTGGATTAATCATCTGCTAAAATAAAAACCGTGTTTTCCAGAGGACTGCAACAGAACTTGGAGACTAGATAAGGCTCACAATGTCCAGAATACAATCTAAAATACTCTAACACAAAAAACTAGGAAAATGTGACCAATTCTAAATGGAAAAGACAATGAACAGATGCAAACCTCGAGATGGGTCAGATGTTGAAATTATCAGACAAATACTTTAAAATAGTTATTTCCAACTAGGTTCAATGAAGTAAAAGAAATGGACAAAAAATAGGAAATCTCAGCAGCAAAATAGAACACATAAAAAGAAACCAAGTAGAAACATTAAAACTTAACAATACAATATTTGGAATAAAAAATTATTGAATGGACTTAATAGAAGAATATCAAAGGAATGAGTCAGTAAACTTGAAGACAGATCAAACTGAAGAAGAGAGAGAAAAAAGATGAAAAAAAAATGAGCAGAGCCTCAGGAACTAGTGTGACAATATCTAAAAGTCTAACATTAGCCTCAGGGATTCGTGTGACAATATCTAAAAGTCTAACGTTAGGGAATTAAGAGTCCCAGAAGCAGAGCAGAGTCATAGAGCAAGTTTTAATTTAATTGAAGTGGAGCAGATTAATGTCACATAAAATAGATATCAAGTCACAGAGTATTGTCAGAGATAAAGAATGGAAATTTCGTAATTATAAGAGGGAATAGCAATTATAAATGGATATGCATTTAAGAACAGAACCTCAAAATACATGAAGCAAAAATGGACAGAATTAAAGGAATAAATAGACAGTTTCAAAATCACAAAAACTTCCTGAAGTTGGTGAAAAAAAATGTACAGATTCAAAAGGCTCAGTAAACCCTACACCAAATATATTCACAGAAAACCACACTTAGATACATAATAATCCAATGGCTGAAGCTAAAGATAGAGAGAAAAATCTTAAAAACAGGTGGGGGAGACACAACATATTATATAAAGAAAAATGTTGATTTACATAGCCACAGAATTCTCTTCAGAAACAATGAAAGCTAGAAAATAAAAAACAAAAAGAGAAACAGATAAACACCCCGCCCCCCAATCTACCAACTCAGAATAGAAAATGACCTCTAGGAATGAAGGTGAAATAAAGATATTTTCAGGTAAAGAAAAAATAATATAATTTCTTACAAGAAATGCTTAAGTAAATTCTTCAGGCTCAAGGGAAATGATACCAGAAGATAACACAGATATTCAGGAATGAATAAAGAATGTCAGAAATGGCAACTCTATTAATAAATATTAAAGATATTTATATTTCTTCTTAAACATATACAACTTTATAAGGAAAAATTATAACATTGTCTTGCGATGCTCTTAAAGCACATAGATGTAATACAGATTACAGTGATAACATAAAGGACTTCTTATGACTGCCAAATTTCTATACTTCACATGTAGTGGTATAATACTAACTATAGGTAGACTGTCACAGTTAATGATTATATTGTAACCAATAATAAAAACACAAAGGGTGTAACTAAAAAAAACCCAATAAATTGAAACAATGCTAAAAATATCAAGTAATCCAAAGAAGGCAAGAGAGGGGGAATATAGGAACAAAAAGTATAGGGACAAACAAAAAACAAGTAATATAATGGTAGATCCAAATCCAACCATGCCAATAATTACATCAAATTTTAATAGTTGAAATGCTCAAATAAAACAGAGTGTATCAGAAAGAATTTATAAAGGCCATATTCAATTATATGTTGTCTGCAAGAGACACACTTTATATATAAAGTGTCAGATTGGTTGAAAGTAAGTAGATGGAAAAAAGGTATACCATACAGACAGCAAGCATAAGAAAGCTGAAATAACTATATTAATATCACATAAAATAGACATCAAGTCTATTTTGTCAGAGATAAATAATGGAAATTTTATAATTGTAAGTGGCAGAATTCATCAGGAAGACATAGCAATTATAAACGGATATGCATTTAAGAACAGAACCTCAAAATACATGAAACAAAAATGGACAGAATTAAAGGAATAAATAGACAATTTCAAAATGACAGTAGGAGATTTTAAGACTCCTCTCTCAACATCAGATATAACTACATTTAAAAAAATACTAATGACATAGAGGATTTGAGCAATAATATCAAACATCTTGATATAATTAATATTTGTTTAGCACTACACCTAACAACTGCAGAATAAACATTCTTTTCAAGTGTACATGGTACATTCACCAATATACACTAGGCCATAGAATAAGTTTTAATAAATTTGAAATAATTGCTCTCATATAGAGTATGTTTTCTGACCACATTGGAATTAATTCTAACTCAAAAGCAATATACTATTAACAAAAATCTTTGGCAATACATTTCTAGATAATTCATAGTCAACACAAAATCATGAGAGTAATTAAAAATATTTTAAACCGAATAATAAAAAATATACAACATATTATAACTACTTCATATCATAATTTCCCATAACCCATATTACAACTTATGAGATACAGCTAAAGCAGTGATGAGAGGGAAACTTAGAGTTTTAAATACTTATATTAGAAAAAGAGAAACATTAAATCAGTGACCTAAGATTCTACTGTAAGAAGATAAAAAAGAAGTATGCTCATAGTAAGGAGAAATAAGAAATAATAAAGATTAAAGCAGAAATCTTTATAATAGAAAACAGACAAGTAGTAGAAAAAATTGACAATGCCAAAAGCTAGTTATTTGCAAAGATCAACAAAACTGTCAAACTCCTAACTAGACTTATTTTATTTTATTTTATTTTATTTATTTTGAGACGGAGTCTCACTCTGTCACCAAGGCTGGAGTGCAGTGGCACGATCTCGGCTCACTGCAACCTCCGACTCCCAGGTTCAAGCGATTCCCCTGCCTCTTCCTCCTGAGTAGCTGGGATTACAAGCGTGCACCACCATGCCAGGCTAATTTTTGTATTTTTAGTAGAGACGAGGTTTCGCCATGTTGGTGAGGTTGGTCTAGAACTCCTAACCTCAAGTGATCCACCTGCCTTGGCCTCCCAAAGTGACTGATTATAAAGGTAGAGAATAAAATTTATCAATAACAGGACTAAAAAAATGTGTTATAACCATATATTCTAGACATTAAAGATAATGAGAAAATATAATTAACAAATTTGTGTTAATAAATTAAACAACTTAAAGTGGACACATTTCGTGAAAACTAAAGCTTACCAAAATTGATACCAAAAACACAGAAAATCTGAATAGCAATATGTTTATTAAATCATAGATTGATTATTATAACCCCCCCACACACATACACACACATACAAAAATATTCAGGCCCCGGCAGTCTTACTGGTGAATTTCTATCCAGATGTGATAGGAACAAGTTGTTTTCCAAGTTTTCCATTAAATAACACATTTTATACATTATACCAATTATAAATAAGAATTCTCAATTATTTTATCTTTCAATATCATAGATCTTAATCAAATGAAGACGAAGTTTATAAAAATCTCCCACTGCCTCAAGCCTGTAATCCCAGCACTTTGGGAGGCCCAGACGGGTGGATCACGAGGTCAGGAGATCGAGACCATTCTGGCCAAAATGGTGAAACCCCGTCTCTACTAAAAATACAAAAAAATTAGCTGGGTGTGGTGGGGGGTGCCTGTAGTCCCAGCTACTCGGGAGGCTGAGGCAGGAGAATGGCGTGAACCCAGGAGGCAGAGCTTGCAGTAAGCTGAGATCGCGCCACTGCACTCCAGCAGTCTGGGCAACAGAGTGAGACTCCATCTCAAAAAAAAAAAAAAAAAAAAAAAAAAAAATTCTCCCATTGCTAGAGTTAGCCAATTAGAAGACTCTTTCAGTTCTCTAGATATTAAGCCATTTTGACTTAGATTGAGCTGGACAAAGGCAGTGGAAATGGAAACAAAAGACGAAAATATTAAAAACACTTTGAACAAAAAGAATTAGAAGAGTTTGGGGACATGAAGGAGGATAGAAATATATGCTTATTGACTGGTTGTGGTGGCTCACGCCTGTAATCCCAGCATTTTGGGAGGCCAAGGTGAGTGGATCACGAGGTCAGGAGTCCAAGACCAGCCTGGCCAACATGACAAAACCCCGTCTCTACTAAAAATACAAAAAAATTAGCCAGGCCTGGTGGTGGGCGCCTGTGGTCCCAGCTACTCGGGAGGCTGAGGCAGGAGAATTGCTTGAACTGGGAGGCAGAGGTTGCAGTGAGCCGAGATTGTGCCATTGCACTCCAGCCTGGGTGACAAGAGCAAGACTCCATCTCAAAAAAAAAAAAAAAAAAGGTAAAAAAAAAAAAAGAAATATATATTACTATCTTTCAAGAGGTTGTTAGTCTGGGATCTTTGGATATGTTGCAAGAAATACAGCTACTTGATGTATGCAACTATATCTGCGTATATGCATTATTTTCTTGGGTATGGGTCCGTAGCACACTTTAGATTCCCAAAGAAAGCCAAGGCTTCCAAATTTAAGCTCCTTTAATTTAAAGCTTAAAGATTTAGGGTTCTGAAAACATGTATCAGAGTTATGTTATAATAAAGTTGACAGAGAACTCTGAAAAAACGATGAGCATAATTTTAGACAACCTGAATTTTTGTTGTCCTGGTAAATATGAAATAAGGTGCCTGATAAACAATTGAGATATAGGGCTGGAGAAAGGCTGAGAGGTTAGGGCTGGAACACTGATTTCGGGCATCATCTTTAAGTAAGTGGCCACAAAACATTTTAGCAGAATTTCTAAAAGAAGAGAAATATATGATCAAAGAAGGCTGGGCATGGTGGCTCATGCCTGTAATCCCAGCACTTTGAGAGGCCAAGGCGGGTGGATCACTTGAGGTCAGAGCTCAAGAGCAGCCTGGCCAAAATGGTGAAACCCCATCTCTACTAAAAATACAAAACTTAGCAGGGCATGGTGGTGCATGTCTGTGATCCCAGGTACTGGGGAGGCTGAGGCATGAGAATCACTTGAACCCGGGAAGCGGAGGTTGCAGTGAGCCAAGACTGGGCCACTGCACTCCAGCCTGGGCAACAAGCAAGACCCTGTCTCAAAAAATATATATATATTATCAGAGGAGAGGAGAGAGAAGACAAAAACAGAGAGAAAAATTCCATTACAAATAATGAAAGAATGACATTAAAGAGGGTCTGGGGCCGGGCGCGGTGGCTCACGCCTGTAATCCCAGCACTTTGGGAGGCCGAGGCGGGCAGATCATGAGGTCAGGAGATCGAGACCATCCTGGCTAACACGGTGAAACCCCGTCTTTACTAAAAATACAAAAAATTAGCCGGGCGTGGTGGCGGGCGTCTGTAGTCCCAACTACTCGGGAGGCTGAGGCAGGAGAATGGCGTGAACCGGGGAGGCGGAGCTTGCAGTGAGCTGAGATCACGCCACTGCACTCCAGCCTGGGCAACAGAGCCAGACTCTGTCTCACAAAAAAAAAAAAAAAAAAAAAAAAAAAAAGAGGGTCTGGTAGGAGACAAAATTTCTTTGCTTCTATATGGAGAAATCACTGGCCTACTTGACATCACTCATTTCCATACTTCTTTTTTTGGTTTAATTGTTTGCAGATTTTTCAGTTATAAAGATTGAAGGCATTAATTCATTACATTCGTTCAATCATTCATTACATATTAGACTGCCTACTATGTGAAAGCATTGCTTGCTGTTGGCATACAGTGGTGAATAGGAGAGTTACTATTCTCATGACCGTAACATGCTAGCTGGGGAGATAAACTCAATTTTCCCTGAATACAAAATAAATTCCTCTCCCTCTCACCTCAAGAACTTGGTCTTCAAGGGCCCTGTTAAATCACTGATGCTGTATGCAAAAATGTTGCTTGCATGTGTGTAAATGAGTATTTCTATGGACTGGCTTATGACTTTTATCAGATTTTCGGAAGTCTCTGAGACTTACAAAAGTTAAGAACCTTCAGTTCAGATCTAGACTAAACCATCTCACATCTTTCTTTTCTTATTTTTATTAGTGGGTTATCTCCTTGCAATACATGTTACGCAGCATTAGCAGATCAATTTCCGTAAACTCCCTTTTTATAAGATTACTTCGTATAGCATCTTGCGGTGGCTCCTTATGCTAGCCTTTGAGGTCTTTTCCTATATGCACATTATTCCCCACACAAACTCTCTTTTCCAGTTCAGCCTGCCCCTCCTGAGCCTAACCTATGCATTCACATTGTTTGCCTTTGATTATGATATCCCTGCATACGGAATTTGGTATATGGTTTGAGGCTAGGCTCTAACTCTAATTTATCCCAAATAGTTGGGAAACTATATATAACTGCCACTTATTAAAAAATTTCCTTTGCTTACTGATTTATAATGCCAACTTCTTCATTTACTTAAGTTCTAATATAAGCCACAATCTGTTTCTAGGTGCTAAGTTCTAATTCGTATTAATTTATACTTCCTATTTTTTTTTAGCAGCAAAAATACTAAATGTTTTCTGTTTCAAGATGGCAAACTGAGCAAACACCTGATTCCTATAAATAACAGAAATGGTAGTTTTAAAAATGTATACCTAGGCCGGTGGCAGTGGCTCAAGCCTGTAATTCCCAGCACTTTGGGAGGCCGAGACGAGGTCAGGAGATCGAGATCATCCTGGCTAACGTGAAGAAACCCCATCTCTACTAAAGATACAAAAAATTAGCCAGGTGTAGTGGTGGGCGCCTGTAGTCTCAGCTACTCAGGAGGCTGAGGCAGGAGAATGGCATGAACCCAGGAGGCGGAGCTTGCAGTGAGCCAAGATTGCGCCACTGCACTCCAGCCTGGGCGACAGAGCGAGACCCCGTCTCAAAAAAAAAAAAAAAAAAAAATATATATATATATATATATATATACTCCTATACCAGAAAAGAAGAATGAGATTCCTCAGCGAATTGGAACCCTAAGTAATTTATGAAACACACAAAACATATGGGATTGGATTGAAAAACTAAGTTCTAAGATCTGCAAGTGAGGAATTGAAAGCTGTGCCAAGAGCCCTCCATGCCAAGGAGCAGGAGGGGACCCAAGGCTCAATCAAACAGGATTGTTAGCTGGGGTACTGAGACAGGAGGTCTACCCCTGTGACATCCTGTATCTGTCCCTACATTGGACTAGGCATTGGTTATGGGGCATGGGAATGTCTGTCTGCAGGTCTTCGAGTGGTAGCAGCAAATCCAGCCTGTTTGGAGACACAGCGATGGGCCTTATAGATTGCTGACAATATCCAAGAGCGTCATGATTTCTTCATCCTCTGAAACTAGCTCCTGGCTCATCCTATTCCTCCCTTACAATCCTCGAATTCACCAAAACACAAGTATCAGTGACATGTGTTTTCTCTGTAAGCTTGCTCACCTGTGCACTGTCTAACAGATATCTGCAAGGGCACGATGTTAGCGTACAATCAAGAATCGCCTAATCTGGGAGGAGTATCAGCAGTATGAAAGAAAACTCTAAACCTAACCAAAGGAAAGAACATACCCTTAAGGCAACAGTATGAACAAAGGGAACAGGCCTTTCTCAGAAACAGGCAAGATAATTCATCAACAGAAAAATAATACATTAACCACCTCACAGCCACCAGGATGGCTACCGTCCATAAAACAGAAAACAAGTGGTGGCATGGATATGGAGAGATTAACACCCTTGTGCACTGTTGATGGGAATGTAAAATGGGCAACTACTGTGGAAAAGAGTAGGGCAGCTCCTCAAAATAGTAAACACAGTATTACTGTATGATCCATCAATTTCACCTGTGGGTATATACTCAAAAGAATTGAAGGCAGGGACATGAAGAGATACTTGTACATCTACCCTCATAGCAGCATTATTCTTAATAGCCAAAAGGGGGAAGTGACACCAGTGTCCATCGATGGACAAAGGATAAACACAATGTGATATATTTATAAAATGGGGCCGGGCACAGTGGCTCACACTTGTAATCCCAGCACTTTGGGAGGTCGAGGCGGGCGGACCACGAGGTCAAGAGATTAAGACCATCCTCGTCAACATGGTGAAACCCCGTCTCTACTAAAAAAAAATAGGAGGTGGAGGTTGCAGTGAGCCGAGATTGCACCACTGCACTCCAGGCTGGTAACAGGGCGAGACTCTGTCTAAAACAACAACAACAACAACAACAACAAAGGAATATTATTCAGCCTTAAAAGGAAGGAAATTCTGACATGCTACGACATGGATGAAACTTGAAGACATGATGCTGAGTGAGATAAGCCAATTACAAAAGTAGAAACACTATATGAATCCACTTATATAAGGTACCTAGAGTAGTCCATCTCATAGAGACAGAAAGTAGGAGGGGGGTTCCAGGGGCTGGGGGAAGAGAGAATGGGGGGTTATAGTTTAATGCAAACAGAGTTTCAGCTTTGCAAAATCTTAGTGATGATTATACAACAGTGTGAGTGTACGTAATGCCACTGAACTGTACAGTTAAAATGGTTAATAGGGTACATTTTATGTGTATTATACCACAATTCAAAAAATTAAAATTCAAAAAATAGTATCTTTCCTATTAACACTAATCGCAAAGTAAAAATTCATTCATTAAAATAAACTCAACTAAAAATGAACTTGTGAACTAGAAGATTGAGCTAAACTGTCCTCTTAGAATGTAGCACAAAGGGATAAAGGGGTAAGAAGCAAAAACAATATGAGCTTAATGCAGAAACATTGCAAAATATAGAAGAGCTTCTAGGAGAAAACATATTTATCTGCTCTGGTCTTAATGTTTGTGTCCCTCCAAAAGCTATATGTTGCGATCTTAATCCTCAAGATGATGGTATTAAGAAGTTTGAGAGGTCACTAGGTCATGTGGGCACAGCCCTCATATTTGGGATTGGTGCCCTTATAAAGGAGGCTTCAGAGAGCTGTCTGGCCCCTTCCACCACGGGAGGAGGCAGTGAGAGGCGGACTTCTATGAACTAGGAAAGGGGCCCTCATCAGACACCAAGCCTGCCTGTAGCTTTAACTTTCCAGCCTCTGGAACGGTGAGAAATAAATTTATTGTGGCTTATAAGTTACCCAGTTTATGGCATTTGGTTATGGCAGTCTGAATGGACTAAGATCATCTCTAAACTAGGGATACTTCTTGCTAATATTTCATTCATGAAGTTTAGGTCCTTTTTCCTATATGTTTGTGTGGGATCACATTATAAGGGTTCCTTCATTAGCTGATTTTTATTAGTAATATATCAAAGATACATTCACATGCCATTTAATACCCATCAAATGATGCTATTTTAGTAGCTGTAGAGCTACTAAATTTCTTTCCTTTTTTTTTTTTTTTTTTTTTTGGTTATTCCTTAAGTCATTGAACCATTGGCCATTATTGAAGGTTTAGATTTCTTAAAGTTTTAACATTAAAAATCACAGTGGACATTCTTTCTAGTTGATTTTTGGCCACGTCTTTGATATTACATTAAGAAACACTCCTAGAAGTAGAATGATTTCATCACAGGAAATGTCAAATTTGAAGGCGTTTGGTACGTATGACAATAGCTCTCCTAAAAGGTTGTTCTGATCTTCCCACAAAGTATGACCAGGTTGCCCATTTCTCTTGGCCTTGTTGCTCCTATCACATGGAAGCTACTGGAATCTTTCTCTCCTCTGAAGCTGGAGGCCTGGCTGCTGGGTCAGGGTCTAACTCTAAAGGGAGTGGGCAGAGAGCTAAGTCCTGGATGATCTCAGCAGTGGAATTCGTCCCTGGGTGGCTTCTTCTCCAGGTTCGGCTGAGCTTTGATACTAGAGATTGAGCTCAAATGCACCCATCCCTCTCTGCGGCTGCTTCCCACTGCAGATAGGACAGTCCTGACACTTCAGACAGAAACCTTGCCCCACTGGCCTTATGCTTGGTGAAGCTACCTTGCTCTCTGGGCACAGCCACCTGCAGCTTTTGCTTGGCCCCTTCCCGGATGCCTTTTTGTGCTTTGCTGAGCAGAGCTTCCCTTCCCTTCCCTGCTTTCAGCTTGCTGCGCCCATTTGTGTCCCAGAGCTCCTGGCAAACCTCCATGAACCCATCATAGCTAAAAGTACTGTTTGAGCAGAAGGTTACTTTTTGGCCCATGCCTTCTTTCCACTCCCAGTTCTACCCACCTCTAAGTGACAGGTATTCCTGGAGTTTTCTCTTCATTCACCTTTTTGGGGACCTCATTCTTATCTTTGGAAGGTCGTGGGAAGTGAGTTCTTGGTGTCTTTTCTACATCATCCCAATGTTTTTATCAACAGCAGAAATCTCTCTCATGATTCTGACATTTGGGTGTCAGTCTTTCTAGGCTTCCAGAATCAAAGCAGTATTTTTTTCTATTCTTGCATTCTTTTGGCCATTGTCATCAGAATTGGGAGTCATATGTTTGTGTTTAAGTTGTCTCTTTACTCAGAGGTCTGGGCTTTGGATTCTGATTTCCTCATTTGAATATTCTTGTTCCAGTGCTACACCATTTATTTTATTCTAGACTAATGATATATATTTTCATGTCTGGTAGGGAGCACCTTATTTTATTTTATTTTATTTTATTTTATTTTATTTTATTTTATTTTATTTTATTTTATTCTATTTTATTTTTTTTGAGACAGAGTCTCTCTGCGACTCCCAGGCTGGAATGCAATGGCACAATCTTGGCTCACTGCCACCGCTGCCTCCCAGGTTCAAGCGAATCTCCTGCCTCAGCCTCCTGAGTAGCTGGGATTACAGACACACACCATCATGTCCAGCTCATTTTTGTATTTTTAGTAGAGACAGGGTTTCACAATGTTGGCCAGGCTGGTCTTGAACTCCTGACCTCGGGTGATCCGCCCACCTCGGCCTCCCAAAGTGCTGGGATTACAGGCGTGAGACACCGTGACTGGTCTATGGTTTTTTTTGTTTGTTTGTTTGTTTTAAAAAAACATAAATGTCCCACGACAGCTCCACCCTGGATTTTTCTCCAAAATGAACTTCAGGAACAAGTAGCAAGTTCTACCACCACCCTACGCATGTACCTTCCTAAAGAAGGGAAAATATGTTCCCTTAATATTCTATAATCATAGAATAGGTGTGAAGCCTATTGAGTCAGAGAAGCAGCCCACTGTTTAATAATTATTTAAAAATGCATAGAAACTTGTGGGTCAAGTATAGTGGAGAACCAGGACTAGATTCCACGCTTGTAGCTCGGGGCTGGAACTAGGTTCCAACTCAAGAATGGGAGCTATACTATCTCTGCACAACACGGGAGCTGCGACCAGAGAGTGCAGAGTTTAGAAAGTGATAAACTCACTAATGCCTTCCCAATAATCCTGTGAAGTTGTTAACTATTATTTGTTGTTAATATTAAGGTTATTGCTATGTACAGATAGGTGGGCCAGGGCTCTTGGAAATTGAGGGTTAGGAAGCTTGGCAGAGTTCACTCACCTGTGCCTGGGAGAGAAAGCAGAGGCACTCAGAAGAGGGAGAACCAGGTGCGGCTGTATAGGTCTCCTTAGAGTTTCAGGTTGAAGAGGAGGGAAATATCAGGATTGAAGGACATTGTGACATTTTGCTTATTACTTAGACAGTCACCTCTGCCACATGCCCGCTGCTGGTGGGCAGGCCTTTCTTGATGTCAAAGAGAAGCAACAGGATGGGGCAAGGACATTGGGAACGGAAAACATAGATTTAACTTTGAGTCTGCCAAGCGTCATAATCCTCAATGTCCAAGAGCCCCAGCCTTCTGTATAGATAGCATCTGTATATAGCTGTAATCTCAATATTAACAACAAATAATAGTTAACAACTTCAGGATTATTGGGACGGCATTAATGAGCTTACCACTTTCTAAACTCTACAAGGTTATCAAAGACCTTTATGCATTGTATCGATAATGGCTGCTTCACAAGAAAGCCCACCTATTTTCTGGATGGCAGAATCTAAAGAAGAAAAGGGAGCTTTAGGTTGCGATGCGAATGCAAGCATATACCTTTTAAAAAGTCATTACTGCCTGAAACATTGGCTGTGCCCAGGAGTGATGGTCCCTTAGAAGAGGTTATGCCATTTACATGAAGGGAAAACTGAAGGCACAGGAGTAACACATCACATCGAGTGAGATGGAAAAGGCACAAAATGAGGTGAATAGAAGAAGCTGAGTCATTAATTCACTACAGGTCAGTTCTTTCCTATTCCTTTCTTTTATTCCTTTTCCCTCTCTCTCTCATGCTGATAATTCCTAGTAAGAAAGTTGAAAGGGGCTGATTATTAACAGAATTGAAAAGTGCCAGTCTTGGGGACTGAAGTGTTTTACATAAATCATCTATTGAAATCTCCCAATAGTCCTTGAGGAGTGTGTATTATTATCCCCTGGTCATAGCTCCTAAGATATAAAAGCTCATCCAAGGCCATAGAGTTATAAACTTAGGCAGGCAAATTTCCAACCATGATTTTGGACTCTAAACTTTTATCTCATGAGTGTAAGTTCCAAATGGAACTATTAATATTTGGATGAGAAAACAGTAACTTTAGTCATATTATACCTTGTGTTTTAATGTATTTCTTCCATTTGGTGCGAGGGTGAAGGGCATGTCTTTTTAAATGAAGAATCAGAAGCCATTAGAACATGAGGCACGTTTCATGCTACCTGCCCCCTAGTAACTCAACATAAGGGATGCTCAGCTCAGAATCACTGTCCATAGTGTCTCCATGGCAACAGTCAGGTAGGGTACCGTTTTCTTTCTGAAGCCAACAGGCAGCTGGGTGACTGTTCCGACCAACACAGGTGATGGCCCCGACCAAGTCTCCAATTAGAATGAGGCTCCTGAATGATCCCAGACTCTGATGGCATCACATGGAGACGTTGCCATGGTTTTGATGACAAGTATTGCTTTTCTGAGGATTGCAAAACACTTTATGTTCCAACCCCATGCTCGCTCATTCTTCACAGAGTGGAAAATGTGTCTCCTTGGCTGAAATGTTCCTCTTGAGTCCAGCCCAAAGATGACATTTTTAGGAAAGTTTGAGAAGAATCCTGTGGCTGTTACTGAGTCACGATAGAGTAGAAATGGATCTTTTCTATTTAAAGAGTTTTGAGCTACTGTTTGAAAATGTGACATTGCTAGGGAACGGTGAAAATGGAAAACTTTCCATTCGCTATCAACAAAGAAAGGTCATTACCGAATGTGCAACAATAGAGCTAAGAACTTCTGCCACCTGTCTACAAAGGGATTAGGAAGTTGTTGGGAGTTAAATTTAAGAATATTAGTGAATATGCTTGGGGCTTTAAAAAGGGATTGCTCATCTGGAATTATACACACGTAATTCTAGTTCCCATTCTGCTACTAAATAGCTATTGCTTTTGACAGCTCCCAGAGCCTTGCTGGATCTCAGTCTCAATATTAATTGAAGAAAGAGTTTACATTAGATTTGATCAGGATTTCCCCAATTTACCTGATATAAAAACCACCTAGGGGGGCTTGATAAACACAAATTTCCCTCGTCCCCTTCCTGGAGACTATAGTCTAGTATGTCCGAGGTAGACTGGGAATACATTTTCACAAACATTCCAGGAAATTCTGAGAAAAGAAGTATGTTTGAGAAATCGAAATAAGCAAATATGCTACATGCAAAAATGAGACCATTTTTTATACTATTTTGTGCCTTGCTTTTCCATTTTTTTCAATATGTTCTTACTTTTTATGTGGGTTTGTATATATGAACTCTCATTCTCTATGGCCACATAATATTTCATTATGCTTCAATATCTATTTAATCCCTTTTTCCTGTAAACTTAATTTTCTTTCCTTCATTAAAGATGAGCCATTTTGTACTCTTACCAGGACTATGGGAGTGTCTTAACTTCACTACGACCTTATTAACAATGGATGATGCTACTGAAGAAGAAGAAAAAAGCTTTGCTAATTTGATAAGTAACAATGGTATCTCATTATATTTTTTAATGAGTCAAACATGTTTTCTTAGATTTTTTTACTATTAGTATCTTTTCTTTTGCAAACTGTCTGATAACATTCTTTGACAGATTTTCCACTGGGATTTTTTTTTCCTTATAGACTTAGGAGATCTATTTATATTTGAAGTACATTAAACATAGTCAGTCATCTATGTTGTGAATTTCCATTGGTTTTTTTAGTTTGCCTTTCAATCTTGTGATGATTTTTGGCATTTAACATCTCTATATGCAATCCCTTAGAATATTCTTTTATGATTTCTATCTTTGATGTATACTTAGACCTTCTCCATCTCCAGATTATGTATCACTGAAATGTCCTTATATATTTATGTTTTGGTTTTTACATTTGCATTTAACTTTTCAGTGCATCTGGAATTAATTTTAGTGTATAGTGTTACAAAAGGCTCTAATTATTTTTTTCAAAAAAACTTTTTGAGACTGAGTCTCGCTCTGTCACCCAGGCTGGAGTGCAGTGGTGTGATCTCGGCCCACTGCAACCTTTGCCTCCCAGGTTCAAGCGATTCTCCTGCCTCAGCCTCCTGAGTAGCTGGGATTACAGTTGCCTGCCATCATGCCCAGCTAATTTTTGTATTTTAGTAGAGACGGGGTTTCACCATGTTGGCCAGGCTGGTCTTGACCTTCTGACCTCAAGTGATCCGCCTGCCTTGGCCTCCCAAAGTGCTGGGATTACAGGTGTGACCCACTGTGCCTGGCCTCAAATTGTTAATTAGTTGTTCTAATATCATTCATTTCTATATCAAATGGATTTTAGATATATTGTTTGTCATATAATATATGCTTACATAACATCAAATCTGTCTCTACTTTTTCTTTACATCCTGACCTAAATATTTTGTTTTGTTTGGTGTCAGACTAGGTTTATATCTGACAAAATATATACTTTATAGGGTGTGGGAGTCTAAGTCCCCAAATCAAGGCTTCAGGATTCTTTCCAAGAAGTTACAAGATTTCAAGAGACCAAAAATTATACCTACACCAGCAACAGAAGCAATATATGAGATTATGATAGCAGTGCTATATATTCCTGTAAATGTTTATATGCAGCAGGTAGGAAAAGTTTCATCTGATTAAATCGGAGTGTGAGTCAATTCTAAATGTACTGAGGATTTTAGGGAAGAAGGGAGCAGACAAAAGAAGAGAAAGCAAGGATAAGGGAAAGGGTAGAAAGAAGAAGAAATAGAAAAGATAACGGGAATAGGAAAACAAAGTTTATTTTTTAATTTTAAGAACAACGTGTTTGTGTGTGTGCACATGGGTGTGAATATCTATTCCACTGACAACTAATTAATTCACATTAGTTAATGTGATGTGAAAATGAAAGATGTGTTAAACCGGGGGTACACTAGGTCTTGCTCCAGGAGGGAAACAAGAAATAGGCCAAGTGTCCTAGCAGAACTCTGATTTGTAAGGCAATACTTTTGCCCACATCATGGGCTGCCACCCAGGGCCCAAGAAGGAAAGGATCCTGAAGAAAGAAAGAAGGAAGGAAGGAAGCAAGGAAGGAAGGAGAGAGAGGAAGGAGATGGAAGAAAAAAAGGAAGGAAGGGAGGAAGGAAGGAAGGAAGAAAGGAATGAATGAAGGGGATGGAAGGAAGAAGATGGAAGGAAGAAGACGGAAAGAAGGAAGGAGAGGGAAGGAAGGAAGGAGATGGAAGGAAGGAGGGACGGAGATGGAAGGAAGGAAGGAAGGAAGAAGATGGAAGGAAGGAAGGAAGAAGATGGAAGGGAGGAGATGGAAGGAAAAAAGGAGATGGAAGGAAGGAAGGAAGAAGATGGAAGGAAGGAAGGAAGGAGATGGAAGGAAGGAAAGGAAGGAAAAAACTAAACATTTTTTTACATAAACGATTTGCTGTAAGAATTTCACAATGAATCTGGCTATCTGCTCAACTGTTTAGATAATTTGGAAGCCACAAATAGTGGCCCAGGATCATTCCTATAAGCGATCTGTTCTGCTCTAATAAGCAGGGTTATTGCCCATCCATGCTTCAGTTCAGGTTGTACTGACAAAACTGGGGGATCAGCTGAAACCCAGAAGTCTGCTGTTGACAATCAAGGTGGAGAACAGCTGCCTTTTCCTCCACTGGGTGTAGGAGACTTTCCAATGCTTTCAGCAACACTGTTGTCCTAAACCAATAACACTAGGTATCTTAGTGCATCTCAACTCTTTGGCAATTGTTAGTTCTTGTCCATTTTTCATCCAGTATACAACATGGGCCCATGAAGTTTTATTATCCAAAGAATCAGAGAGAAGTTACTGGAATCTGTGTGTTAATCTTCTGTTTCATCCAACCAAATAAATCATCCTTGCTAAAAGCATCATCCTTACCCATTTCTTCTCCTACGTTGCCATGGATACACTGCTTCCTTAACACCATCGTATTATTCAAATGTGATTGATTTTCTTTCTACCTCCTCTCCACTCGACTATTTGGTTTTTGTCTACCCAACTACTCCATTTATCTTAAGTAAATTCCCCCTAGCCTTGCTTGACCTATTTGTGCCCCCTACTTGCTGCAACCTCTTCAGCGCCAAAGAATGGTCGTATTTTCTAAAAGAACACCAGAATACATGGTTTGACCAGATAATTTTTTCGAACATAAATTAATTTATATTTAAACTTTTAACAAAATGATAAAATGGTTTCTGTTTATTATATACTTAATAAGTTATCATTTGGGGAAAGAAGAAAATATACATTTATTTCAAAAGAGTGATCAATAAAACAAAAATAAAAGATGAGGAGTCACTGTACCAGCCATACATCCCTCACCCACAAAGCCATCTTCCTCTATTTCTTCTAAATAGTCCACGAATTCTAGTCCCTCTAGGAATGGCTCTGCCTTGCCTATGTGGGAAGGTGAAAATAACTCCCCAGATTTTACTGAGTAAACCCACATGTCTTTTTCTAGCAACACATCAAAATAATAATAATGCAAGAAATTCATCTCTCTGGGCTCCAGACTCTTTACTCATGAAGGGAAGGACTCGGTTAGAAATAGGTGGTTTCAAATTTTTTTTAAAACATATTACTGAAAGTGTAGTGTTTTTTAGCTAAAAATCTTACACGGAAAGAAAAAAAAATAGCATGGAGGTGAACAACAAAAGCGAAACCTCTCACAAAATGTTAAAACTCTATGTTTTAAAATCATCGGTTTGCATGGTCCCCTAAACACCTTCCAACTTCGGTGTGCTATTTTTATGATTTGGTTCTAAAAATCTCAAACCTCCTAAGAGACACTGCTTGGGAATAGATGAACGATTTTATTCAGGAGCAAAGAGCGGATGTAGATTACAGTGCCATTACACCAACATGGCTCTTTCTCCCAACCCATCTGGGTCCTTCGAAGCTTTCTTGCAGGATACTGAAGGCTCCAGAGCACTGGAAAGCTCTCAAATCCAGGAGAGAGCCAGCTCCCTTGGCAACAGCAGCAGAGGGAACCCTTCCCTTTCCATCAGCAGATGGTGGTGGGCTTTCACCACTTCTGCAGCACCTTTTCTTACAATGGACTCTTGGCCACTGTTAGACTCTTCTGTACCCTGCCTAGCAACCAGTGCCCTTGGCAACTACAAGAGCTATCATTTCATCAGACCCATGATGCTGCTTGTACTCCCATGCCTCTAGACTGTGTCCATGTTTTGCAGATACGATAAGCCCTGTGTCTAAATGGAAACCTTCTTTATAACTTGAGTGTTGTACAGTTAGATGCCAAATTCCAGAATTTTGTGAAAAATCAAAGTGTCTTAAAAAGAAAACTGGGCCTACATTCAATTTCTGCTTTGCACACAGGTGAAATGCCTACAAGTGTTGACTAGAAGTTCATTCAAATTTCTCTCTGCCCTGATATATTGGCAGGATGTCTTGCAAGTCACATAAGAGCCTGGGAGAAGAGCCCTTGTTCCTCCCACTAAATAGCCATATGACTTTGGCTGAGACACCTCTGCAGCTTCAGTTTCCTCCTCTGTAAAGCAAGAGAGATGAGCTGATGATGTCAAAGGCTCCTTGGAGGGCTAACATTTCATGCCACTTGGCTTCATTTTTGACCAAGGTCTGTTTTTGTAAGTCTCCAAATTCAGGGCTCTGAGATTCCTCTTAATCTCAAGTTTTTCCCATGAGATTACAATATTTCTTGTAAGAGTTCTTAATGTTATGTTCAAAGGACAGGAAAACGCTGCAAGATTGTAAAGCATATCTCACCAAGGGATCTAAGAGGTTAAGGGTGAAATGCAGGGTACCAAAGTGACCCTTTAGAGGGAAATGTCAACTAGAACAGCTATTACTTCTATGGTGACTCCAGAAGGCTTTGGGATCACCAGGCCAGCCTGGTGCTCATGCATTCGTGTGTGTATCTACAAATTCAAGTTCTCAAATAGTATTGAACAATTCCTTGCTATTTGTTGAGGTCCCTCTAGACACCAGGAATTATACAAAGCAATTTAAGGCATATATACTCTGATGGAGAAAAGATACACACGCTTGAGTTAACTAAAGTGTTAGGCAACATGTTATTAAATAATCCATATATGTAGAAGGCTACTAAGGGCAGAAGAACTGAACCTTCAACTTTTCAAGTGAGAAATTTATGGTTAAGATGCTAAAGGGTATTCTTGACCAATAAAATAACTTTTTTTTTTTTTTTTTAAGCCAGTCTCAATCTGTCTCCCAGGCTTGGAGTGCAGTGGCATGATCTTGGCTCACCGCAACCTCCGCCTCCTGGGTTCAAGTGATTCTCCTGCCGCAGCCTCCCGAGTAGCTGGGACTACAGGCATGCACCACCACACCCGGCTAATCTTCTGTATTTTTAGTACAGATGGGGTTTCACCCTGTTGTCCAGGCTGGTCTTGAACTCCTGACCTCAAGTGATCCACCTGCCTTGGCCTCCCAAATTGCTGGGATTACAGGCGTGAGCCACTGTGCCCAGCCCCTCTGCAGTTTTTGTTGTTGTTGAGACAGGGTCTTACGCTGTCACCCAGGCTGGAGTGCAGTAGTGTGATCTTGGCTCACTGCCAACCTCTCTCTCCTCGGTTTAAACATTTCTTGTGCCTTGGCCTCCTGAGTAGCTGGGATTACAGGCATGTGCCACCATGCCTGGCTAATATTTTTTCTACTTTTAGTAGAGATGGGGTTTCACCATGTTAGCCAGGCTAGTCTCGAACTCCTGACCTCAAGTTATCCACCTGATTCGGTCTTCCAAAGTGCTGGGATTACAGGCATGAGCCGCTATGCCTGGCCCAAAATGAATAAAATCTTAAATCTCAAATAAACATGGCACTTCCTACCCAGGGCTGGCTTCATAAGTGTATAACTTGTGCTGTGAAAGAGCCCTATTTTTAGAAGGACCCTGTGCTTGGTTTAATGAGGTGCTATCACCATTGCGAAATTCTTTTTTTTTTTTTTTTTGAGACGAATTCTCACTCTATTTCCCCAGCTGGAGTGCAGTGGCGTGATCTCAGCTCACCGCAACCCCCACCTCCCAGGTTCAAGCGATTCTCCTGCCTCAGCCTCCCGAGTAGCTGGGACTACAGGCATGTGCCACCATGCCTGGATAATTTTTGTATGTTTTAGTAGACACGGGGTTTCACTATGTTGGCCAGGCTAATCTTGCACTCCTGACCTTGTGATCCACCCACCTTGGCCTCCCAAAGTGCTGGGATTACAGGCATGAGCCACTGCACCCGGTCACCATTGTGAAATTCTTAATCATTGTTGAACAATGGACCCTGCACTGTCATTTTGCACAGGGCTCCACAAAATATGTAGTGTTCCCCTGGACATTGCCTTGTTCAAGGAAAAGGTTCCTATTTGGGAGTGGTAAGGGATAACACTGTAACAGGAGTTAGGAATTCAGAAAAAGAGGGCCATGGATGCTACGTTCCACTTTCTCCTGTAGAAAGAGGGCTACACCGGCATGTTTTTGAGCAGCAAAGTAACTCAGTAACATTGACATTTTAGGAGGACTCATCTGATGCTCAGACGATGGGAAGAGACAGGGTTGGTTTGGAGACTCTCATCATGATCCATGGATAAGGAAGAAAGTCCACTTGGGAATAAATAAAAGAGGGCAAATTTGAGAAACAAGTGGAAAAAAAAGAATTGCTATGTCTTGATAATAAATTCATGAAAAATGGAGAGAGAGAGAGAGAATGAGAGAAAGAGAGAGATGTGAATTAGACTTACTTATATGACACACTCTTTGATCAGACTTTTGAAAACAACAAAAGCACTATTACTATGATTATTGGTAGCCAAATTGGTAGGGCTGCCAGGAGCCTTTGAAGTAATGTCTTCATCTGGGAATTTGCCAGTAAGGTGAACATGCTAACATCATTCATTTGTCCATTCATTCATTTCATTCATTCAATATTTACTGATCACCTACTGTACGTCCAAACACTGTCTTAGACATGAGGGATCCAGCTGTGAATAAAACTGTCACAAGTTCTGCCTATGGAAAGTTTACAGCCTAGAGAGGGGGAAAGATGTTAAACAAATAATTACAATTTGGGGAGTGTCATGCCAGGAGCTTCATGTAGTTTGGGAATTAGGGAAGCTTGTCTGGCCTTTTCTCCCAGGAAACTCAAACAAATAAATAAAAGGAGTTGTCAGGCCCACAGCATTTAATTTGCCTCCTTCCAGTTCTACTTAACAACAGCTTGTATGTGTATGTGTATGTGTGTGTATCTGTGTATGTGTGAGTAATTTTCATTCCCGAAAGACTTGACAGGCCTGATAAGAAAGAGAGAATGAGAGACAGAGAGAAGGAGCGGGAGAGAGAGAG
Source organism: Homo sapiens (assembly GCF_000001405.40). NCBI lineage: Eukaryota > Metazoa > Chordata > Mammalia > Primates > Hominidae > Homo > Homo sapiens. The sequence continues at coordinate 12,683,467 of NC_000017.11, read as the reverse complement.
AGCGCGCGCGCACGAGAGAAAGCGACAGAGGAAGACAGAGACAGGTACTGACAGTAAAGTTGTTGGTGACAGTGACAAATGAAAGAAAGGAGGGGAAGCCGGTGATGCCTCCCTTTTATTCTCTTCTGAAACGGTTTTCCACTGGGTTTAATAGGAAATGCTTTTCTCCTCTGCCATCCGCATGGTTTTTGTCTCTCTTCCTAGTCCTAGTTTTTGTTCTGAGGATGGGCATCCCTCAAGCCAGACTGAACTTTTCCCTAGGAATTTTGGAAATGGGACTGGAAGAGAAAATTCAATAGCAGTCGGAGGTGGCCATTTTCACCCACATGAATTGGGAAACAAAGCCAGTCAATATTGCGGGAGAAGATGGAGCACAGAAGACGGCCAGAAGAGTAGCCTGAGAGTGTTCAAATCCCCAATTCCAGCTTATTTCCACCCAAGTCGCTAATACAGTCCTGTCGTTCAGTTTGATGAGATACCCCAGTATGTTTATAATAAGTGTTCCTTTTTGCTTAAGCTTGTTCAGGGTTTCTAGTGTTTGATTCTCTATTATTTGCAAACAAAGAGGTTCCATATGATAATTGTTGAAGAGGGGCATCCCGTGGTGGCAGAAAGCTATCAGCACAACCAGGTAAAGCTTTGAGATCTACTTTTAAATCCTGTTCTACCAATCAAAGACTTCTGGGTATGTGGATGCAGGTGTTTGTAAAAGTGAGCAAAACGTACACTTCTGACAGAATGCACATGGCAGTTATCATACTTAGGACCTGGGTTAAGAAGTGTTGAACAGCAGCTTGGATGGCTATTTATGATGCATCCTCTCCATATGGTGCCAGGTCAAGATCACAAACCCTGGATACAACAGAGCATGAGCCCCCTGAAAACTCTCTCCGCGAAAAGGGCAGTGGTACCTGTTTATAATTTAGTCTTTTACCTTCCCTTTTCTGTTGAATCCTACCCTAGGTTTAGCTGGACGCATCCTTATATGTAATCTTTGACCTTGACATTATTGCCTTCAAGGACACTACCAGGCATAGGTCTTTGGGAAAGCTATTGGCTGATGAATGGATAACTTCCTAGAAAGTAACAAGCAGGACCACCATCAGAGGCTTCTGGTCTCCTCCAGAGCTGGAAGCTGATACTGTGTGGCACACATCATATGTACAACTCTCCTCTGCTCTTCCTGTGCATGGTTCACCCACCAAATTCTTTCCTTTGCCTGGCATTATCTGACTCTAGGACAAAGCCACCGTTCCCCACCAGTGGCCCGTGTCATCTGTGGGTCTGACATGTTCCTCTTTGGGGTACAGAAGCATCGAATTTCCCGGTAAAGAGAAGAGGGTGGCTGACAGAATGCTTGGAGAAGGTGAAATGAGAGACCTGGTTATCTGCGTCGGTCTTGCCCTAATCCTGGCCACATTTCCCAAACAAGGCTGAGAGCCAGGGATGATTTTTGTGTGGAGTGCTAATGCCTGAGCTCAATTTGCTCCTTGCCTTCTGATTCCAGGTACCAATGATAACTGTTCCCTAGCCAAATGTTGCCCTGCATGCTGTTATCTGTTGTATTCACTGACCAAGAATAACATAGGCCTGACTGTCTGCTCATCTACTGCAGGGAGTACTCAGAGAGGACGAGGTGAAAATGATGATCAGGTCACTGAGGTAGCCCTCGATGGTCTCAAGGAACAAGGTGAGCTCTGAGGGGTGCTGGGCTGGCCTGGCCTCAGTGACTCTTACAGGAGAGCACTCAAGCAGCGGGGGCTGAGACCAGGTACACACTGTTCTTTCTTCATCCTAAGGGATGTCCCGGCTCTGCTTCCTTTAGGGAGATTAAGAGATATGAATTCAGGCCAGCATCTAGTGCTGGGCATTTGGCGAGTCAAAACCAAGAGAATACTGAAAGCCAAAAGGCTCGGTCTCAGAATTACCATGCAGTGATTTCAATGATTGAGCCTCACGCATGGGCTCAAGTTGTTTTAGAAAGATGTCTGTTCACACGAACACTGCGAAGCTATTCTTTCCCTAAGCACCACACTCTCAGTTTGTCAAAACATTTGAAGAAGACTAATTCATGCCTCAAAAGGAATTCTCTCTCACTCACAAAGCTGCCAGGTTTGTGAGCTTGAGGCTTTCATGTTAAAATAACTCAAGACACTAGAGGAATAGGGAAGAAAAACCTCAAGTGGAAATGCCTTACGATGTCACTAAGAGGGCAGAATCCACAATTCACATGCTCACCGGGAGGATGGGGTGGCAAAGTCAGATGGCTCAAGCCAGCTCTGACTGGTTCGGATACTTGTGCGAAGCAGTACAGGGTAGCAGTCACAAGCATGGACTTAGAATCCAAAGGTGCATGAGATCAAGTCCCAGCTTTTCCATTTACAAGGCATGGGATTTTGAGATAGCTCCTTCAGCGCTGGAGGCTTGGTTTCTTCTTCTATGGATGGGAGGACTGTAACAACAGTACCTCCTTACAGGATTGCTGTAAGGATTAAATTAGTTAGCACACGCAGCAGGCATGTGAGCATCAGATAGTTCTTGGGGTGCTCTATTGGGGTGTAGGGAACCTCATCAAAACCCTCTCCAAGTCAGGGAGGACTGGGAAGCAGCTGACAACACTGTCACTACAAGTGTTCAACTAGCACGGCTGTTCAGCCGCGGGGAACTTTTCCTTCCATCACAAACAGGTCCCTGAAGTACAGAACAGAAACTCGGCAACTGACATAAACAATTTCAAACAATAATTTCAGAAGACAAATTGCTCCATTTGGGCACCAAGATTCCTCTCTGAGGCTTTCCCCACTTGTTTATGTATTCTGTGGCACAGAGCCATGAGTGAATTAAGCAGACAGCGCGCACACACGCCCGGGGCCGGTGGGAGGGGCCTCCGGGAAAAGGACCTGCCATTTGACCTGCGTTCCTTGAAAGCTATTGCTGCAGAGATGCCTGAGACAAAGGGACTCAGATTTACGCCTTCTTGTGTTCGCTTGTTCATCGAGAGAGGCCACAAGATTGGGTGCCAGGAGATCTGAGTTCAAGTGCTTCACCATGCTGTATGTGTAAATTCGGGCAGGTCATTCCCGTTTCTATACCTTAGTTTCCCATCCCTGTAAGACAGACGTCATTATACTCACCTCTAGGGTAATTATAGTGGTCAAATTAAGAGCCCTTTATCCCTAATAAATTACCATACGAAGATTAATGAGGTTAACCGTGGGCATCCACTAAGTAGCTGAATAAAAATTAGATATAAAGGAGAATTAGAGTTTGGAAGAAAGGGTGTATTTTATGAGGCAAAGAAGTTCTTCTAAAATTAAGAGGAGAGTCTTCATTCCATGGGGCTGTGGTTCTTGAATACAGGTTTACGTTCTTTTGAGAGCCTAAGTGAAGCTTGTGATATATACTATTCTATTATAGCATTTAAAGCATGTATTGCCTTTTCTGACTATAAAACAAGTGCGTGTTCATTATAGAAAATTTGAAAAATGTATAAAAGTTTCAGGATGAAAGGCAAAATTAATAGGAATTCAAGTCTGCAGAGATAAGCAGCACCTGCTAATACTTTGCCTTTTTTCTTCTGATTCATATACCTGAACATGGATATAAAAAGGTACCTACCCTACAATTTCTCAAGAATTGGGACTATATCATATGCAATTCTGAAACCTCCTTCTTGCATTGTAAACATCTTTGCATCTCATGATCCTCTGAAAACACGATATTTAAAGTGCATGTTAAATCCCATTTTTTATGTATTTAAATATTTTCTTTTTGTTAACCAACTCCAGTTTTTCCCTCGGTGTTACTGTAGCACATATACCACTGCAAAGAGCATCCTCAAAGATAATCTTTACCTCTCTCATACTATATATATGTTATATATCATATACAAACATATGCATATACATATATATAAATGTAGGTATATTAACCATTCTTTAAATGTTAGAAAATAATCCTGGCTCTACTGTTAGACACAAGGTTTTGAAACAACCAAACATGATGCTTGAGAATACTTTCTGTCTCTGGGACATTCTGTAGTGTCATGCTCTAATCTATGTGTTAAGAACACAATCCTTTGTGAAGGCTGCATTTCTACTAAGCCAGGGATTCCTTTGCTATCCCTATGCCTCATTCTGTCCTCCTCTCCCAGCCAATCCTGAGTTACATTTGCTGAATTTCCATCTCCCCTTCTCATCTAATTCTTTCAATCTTGAAGCCAGTGCAGATGGCTACCATGTTAAAATAAAAAATTAAATTAAAAAAAAAGCTTTAAGCAGACGGACTGTTAGGTTGAGAGAGGAAATAGGTTAAATGCCAGGCATCTGCCTATCTGAAAAGACCATGTTCCCTTGGGCTGCGCATTTCTCTGGGGGACCATGTGGTAAATTTGGTTTTGCAAGCCCCGAGACGAGAGTTCTAGGTCTGAATCTGCTGGGTGACCTTGAGCCAATTTCTTAATGTTTCTGGAAACTCAGTAACCTCATCTGTACAATCAAACTTGTAATCTCACAGAATTGGTAGAAAAATATCACGAGGTCAGGAGATTGAGACCATCCCGGCTAACACACTGAAACCCCATCTCTACTAAAAAAATACAAAAAATTAGCCAGGTGTGGTGGCAGGTGCCTACAGTCCCAGCTACTTCAGAGGCTGAGGCAGGAGAATGCCATGAACTCGGAAGGTGGAGCTTGCAGTGAGCCGAGATCGCGCCACTGCACTCCAGCCTGGGTGACAGAGTGAGACTCCATCTCAAATAATAATAATAAATAATAATAAGAAGAAAACAAAAAAATAAAAATATTAATGAATATGATCTTTTTTGGTGGGGGAGAGAGTTGAATACATCAAAGAAATAAGAGGTGCTATAATTTGGCAGACTGCCTCCAGCTGTCTATCCTCAAAACTTTGTTTTCTCTCTCTCTCTCTCTTTGGTTTTATATTTAGACAGAACAGCATTCTCAATTATAAGAGAAGAGGATCTGGGCTCAGCCATGAGCCTTTGCTGGTCCTCATAGCATGTAATGATCTTGCTGAGACCCAGACAAGGCTTGGCACTGTCTTCAGAGGCATCAAAAGACCAGATCCAGAATAAAAACCACACCTCACCGGAGAATAAGTTTAATTATTATGCCTTTTCAGTTTTTTTTTTTTGAAAGGAAAAGAATAAGTGATGATAGATATATAAAACACTTTGCAAAATACAATATAAGTTATATAATGACAATAATTATCTTCATAACTCTCAAGCACAATCTGGGGTAAAAAGAAATGATAGGCTGGGCGCGGTGGCTCACACCTGTAATCCCAGCACTTTGGGAGGCTGAGGCGGGCAAATCACGAGGTCAGGAGATCGAGACCATCCAGGCCAACATGGTGAAACCCCATCTCTACTAAAAATACAAAAATTAGCTGGGCGTGGTGGTGCACGCCTGCAGTCCCAGCTACTCGAGAGGCTGAGGCAGGAGAATCGCTAGAACCTGGGAGGCGGAGGTTGCAGTGAGCCAAGATGTTGCCACTGCACTCCAGCCTGGGGACAGAGTGAGACTCCACCTCAAAAAAAAAAAAAAACAAAAAAGAAAGAGAAATGATAATAGCTGGGCAGTGAATCTTAAGAGAAATTCATGAGAGGCTGGTCATTGTGAATTTAGAATCAATATGATATCTTATAATAACATAAATAATTGTAAATTAACATATCAAAGCATATTGATATAAACATTGATATGAGAATTAATATACACTTTTTTTTTTTTGAGACAGAGTCTCACTCTGTCGCCCAGGCTGGAGTACAGTGGCGTGATCTCGGCTCACTGCAAGCTCAGCCTCCTGGGTTCACACCATTCTCCTGCCTCAGCTTCCCTAGTAGCTGGGACTACAGGTGCCCGCCACCATGCCCGGCTAATTTTTTGTATTTTTAGTAGAGATGGGGTTTCACTGTGTTAGCCAGGTTGGTCTCGATCTCCTGACCTCGTGATCCGCCCATCTTGGCCTCCCAAAGTGCTGGGATTACAGGCGTGAGCCACTGTGCCCGGCCTATAAGTTTTTTTTTAATTTTTAAGTTTAGGGGCACATGTGCAGGATGTGCAGGTTTGTTACCCAGGTAAACGCGTGTCATGGGGGTTTGTTGTACAGATTATTTCATCACTCAGGTATTAAGCCTAATACCCATTAGTTATTTTTCCTGATCCACTCCCTCCTCCCATCCTCCACCCTCCGACAGGCCCCAGTATGTGTTGCTCCCCTCTATGGGTCCATGTGTTCTCATCACTGAGCTCCCACTTGTAAGTGAGAACATGTGGTATCTGGTTTTCTGTTCTTGCATTAGTTTGCTAAAGATAATGGCCTCCAGCTCCAACCATGTCCCTGCAAAGGACATGATCTCGTTCTTTTTTATGGCTGCATAGTGTGAATTAAAGTATAATTAATATTCATGTGTGAATAAGATAGCTACCATTTATTGAGTACATCAGCACATCCCTGCACTATGTCAAGCACTTTTTATATGCTTTTCCACTAAAACCTCAAAAATTTCCAATGAAGGAGGCATTCTTGTTTCCACATTTACACATAGAAAAGTAGAGGGTTGAGAGCTTAAAAGCATGCACTCGAGTTCATATCATACAATCAATAAGGATGGAGGCCAGGATTTGAAGCCAAGTCAGCCAGATGGCATACCTATACCACATATACATTGAGATTTTCCAACAAAAATTAATAGCAGAGTTGTGGGTTTTCAGTCTCTTAGCTAAGAAGCAAGTTTCATTGGTTGTATTTTGAGTTGTGAGCATGACCCAGGATTAATGAGAATTTGAGAACAACTTAAACCTCCCATGGCCTCAGCCAACTCCTGATTTAGCTGCTATGCAAATATGGTATTGTTAACCCACTCCCCATCACTCCATATCTTAAAAAAAAAGGCAAATAATACTCAGTATAGGAGATACTGGATAATTGTAATCAAGAATATAAGAAAGAACATAAGAAAATTTAAAAATTACTGATAATCTCACCACCCAGAGCTAATCATTTTGGGAATGGATCCCTCCAGGCTTTTTTCCATGCATGTGCTTTAGCACTTTTGGTATGTTTTGATTCTCAACTTGTTGGGATTAAAGTTTTTTAACTTTTAAAAGAAATTTCTTTTTTTACTGTCTTATGGTCAAGACATTTCTGTGTGTGTGTGTGTGTGTGTGTGTGTGTGTGTGTGTGTGTGTGTGTGCGTGCGCGCGCAGGGGGAGGGTGCTAAGTCTAAAATTGTATTCTATATCAAGTAAGAGGATTAAAATATGTAATCAAATTTTATTTAGTGTCCACGTCCTCTAAATCTTCACTTAAATCTTTGCCTACTTTATTAAAGACTTACAGATACGTTTTTTTTTCCCCACCACTATTAGGATGTCAATTTCTTCTTATGTTTTAGGCGTATTTAAAAATTATGTAGATACGAATACAGTTTTATTTTAAAAGATGCAAATGGTAAAGGAAAGATAAGGTCTTGCTCTCTGTACCCATGGATACCATAATGAACAGTTCTACTTATATCTTTGAAACTTCTTTTTTCTGTGTACTTATATATAAATATGATTGATTGATTGATTGATTGATTGAGACGGAGTCTTGCTCTGTCACCCAGGCTGGAGTGCAGTGGCGTGATCTCGTCTCACTGCAACCTCCGCCTCCTGGGTTCAAGCGATTCTCCTGCCTCAGCCTTCCAGGTAGCTGGGACTACAGGCTTGCGCCACCAGTGCCAGGCTAATTTTTTGTATTTTTAGTAGGGACGGGTTTTCACCCTGTTAGCCAGGATGGTCTCGATCCCCTGACCTCGTGATCCACCCATCTCGGCCTCCCAAATTGCTGGGATTACAGGTGTGAGCCACCGTGCCTGGCCAATACTTTTTAAAAAACATAAATGAAAATATGTTGCCGGATTGTTTTATAACCTGAATTTTAAAAAATTAATTCTACGTTTTGGAGATCTTTTCACATCAGTTCATATAGAATTTTATCATTTCTTTTTGCTTTGCATTGTGTTTTATTGTATTCTATACTGTGAATATATTGTAATTTAATGAATCGTTCCCTTACAGATGATGTTTATGCTGTTTCCATCTTTTTTAGGTTAGGCATTATAAACTGTGATAAAATTGTATCTGTTAAGACTTTACAGTATGGATAGCTCACCAACACGATAGGTGTATCTATGTCTTCATGCCTATTCAATACTCGATATTATCAACATTTTAAAATTTTGCTAATTTGAAGTTTTTAAAAAATAGTATCTAGATCTTTCACTTTGCATTTTCTTGAACGCTAGTGAGTTGAGTATATTTCATATGCTGACTGATTATTTTCTCCCTTGAATTGTCTTTCCCTTAGGTTGTTTGCTTTAAATCTTATTGTTCATATAAGTCCTTTTAATAATTTTGTCTCACGTATATTTTCAAGTATTTTTTTCAATCTACAGTTTGATTTTAAATTTATTTTGATGATTTTTTAATGTGGAGTTTTAAAGTGTTTAAGTGACCAAATATGTCCATTTTTATTTCTAACCTGGCCATGGCCATAAGCTTGGGAAGGCTTGTCCTACACTGAGATGAAAAGATTATTCTCCTCTGTTTTCTTCAAATATTTTATAGGTTTCCTTAGCTCTTTAATCCATACGGAATTTATTTTAAGGTATATCATAAAATATCTCAATTTACTTATTTCCAAAGAGATAGTCAATTTTCTCAACAAACCCATTACATATTTTATTGTAGATAAACAGTGGACAGCCACTGTTATCAGAGGTTAAATCTATGCGTATATACATAAGTGTATATATGTGTATGCATGCACATATACACAATTCTCATCCACTGATAATAATTGTCTGTTTTACTTCTGGTACTAACTCCTAGATATTTCTTATATAACTATGTTTAATGTCTTAGAGCAAATCTCTTCTTCTTGTTGCCTTTCAAAAATTTCTTAATTTTTTTTTCTCAAATAAACTGAAGTTTAAAAAGTCAAGTTTTATTAAAACCCCTGGGACTTTGTAGGAATGGCATGTGTAATTTATAGGTTAAGTACTAGAAACAACTAGTTTGATAAATCACTATTTAGGAAATCAAGGACGATAGCAGTAATTGGATATATGCCTGGAGTTGTAGCCCAGAAAGAGGCACATTAAATCTACTGGGTCAGGTATGTGTGTATGGTTATGCGGTGGGGCAGGGAAAGAAGGAAAGGAGCTGCAGGTTATAATAGAGATAATCATCATGGGACAGTGGAACAAATACGTTCATACCTGGCCTCCAAGTTGTCTAACATCTTTGAGCCTCAGCTTCTTCATCTCTAAGATAGGAATAATCACATTTTTGTAAGGATTAAATGAGATGATAAAGGTGCCCACAGATAATAGGTTCAGTAACTCCTAGTCCTCTTCTCTTCCCTTTTGATGAGGCATGAGTCATATTTGGTAACACGTGGTCCCTAAATAGCAGACCACATGGAAGTTTCCAAAGGCATTAGGCAACTGTTACTCATTTTCCTTTTCAATCTCTACTGAAAAGGTATGAAAGGCTCATCAGATACCAGCCACCATTGGGTAAGTACCCAAGGTTACTCTGAGTTAGTTGTACAGTAGGGACAAGCATTCATCGCCAAATAGAAATAGGCCTAAAGTTAAGTTTGTTACATTGTAAGTGCTCCAAAAACACTAGCCATCATTACAGCTCATAAATATTCAAATCCATTATTCCCACACTTAGGCATTTACTCTAAATAATGAGTAGCCTACAAAACAATCCAAAGGGAGGAAAATATTTTCTTTCTTTACATGAAGGATTTCACAGTAGTGTTATGCATACAGATTTTCATAGTAGTGTTATTTATAATATAAAGATTATAACTGGCTTAATTTTCCAATACAAGTGGAAAAGGTTTAGTAAATTACTATATACTCACTTGGGGGAATATTATACAGTCTTTAAAGCAAAAACTATGTTGCTATGTAGCCGCTTGAAAAATATTTATGCTATTATACTAACGATAAAAAGGCTGAGTATAAACTTATGTATATACTCTGATTATCACGTTGTAAAAATCTTTATGCAACTGGACCAGGACAGAAAGAGAACACAAATGACAAAAAATATAATGTATTGAGGAGAACTATTGAACTATTGTTCAATTAATGTTGAACAGCATTTTCTGGATTTAACTTTTTTGAAATCATTTTTTAGAAGCTCCAGACAGGGCAGTAAGTCTCAAATAAATAACAGAAAGTTCCTTGTGGAACTTTACCTAGGACTGAAAAACCAGCCCAACCAGTCAGCAGAAAACAAGATTGGCTTCCTAAGGAGAGTGTTTCCGGAAATAGAAAAGGCAGAATAGTTTATGGGGTATTTTCTAGTCATTTCACATCATCTGTGAAATGAGGATATTGCCTGGAGTTATTTGACCATATTTTATGAGAAACAACTAATTTGATGCTTTCGTACCACTTAAGAGGCCAAGGGGAAGGAGATACAAGTTGAGAAGGGAAAACTTACTCAATGCAGTAGTTCAAACTGAGGTGTCAGAAGGGATTGCTGATAAAGACATACTAAGTATTTGAGGGTCTGTGTATCCATTAATCATTGCTGCACAAACCAAGTGAGAGCTAGGAGAACCCAATACATACATCTCACAATATTACAGTGGCTTAATTCACTTTGAATTCAATTTCTTCTCTAGTGATCTAAAGTAGCTGAATACAGCAAACATCCATGAGTCAGAGGGATTGTACTCATAAGAGAAGTACCCCAATAGTGAAAAGAAAGAACTTATCTTCCCTCACCAGCAGGAGAAAAGAAAGACATTATTCTCCCTTCATTTTGCTATGCTCTGGAAAAACAAAAGTCACAAAACAGTTTTATTTATTCTAAATTTCTGGGGATAAATGATACATTTTATTTTAACAAAAATTGGACACCTCTTTCTGTTTTATCTAAGAATAATGATCCAAATCTCGTTACGTAAAGCTTGACAGCTTGACTTACTAGCTATTCTGAAACATATAAGCATTATCTGCCTAATAAAATAGAAATTCAAAGTACTAACGTCGTAAGGCTGCAAAACTATTATTGGGCTAATGGTCATGGTTGTTGTTATTAATCCTATTTGTGTTCATCGAAAACTTTTAACTACTCCACGCATAAGCAAGAACTCTTATGCAACTCACATGCCACCAGATCCAGTTATCCATTTCCACACAGTGAATAAAGGTTCACTAATTTCCTTCTTTTCAGAAAGAAACCCTTAATAATTCTACAAAGATCTTTCCCTCATAGAAGTATGAGGATGTGAAGACCATGAGTCATTTTACCAATATGGAAACAGAGGCCCAGAGAGCCCTGGGAATATAAACATATTCCCAAGACCACGGAGTCCCAGATGGGCTCCCACTGTGACTTGGCCCACAGGACAGAAGGAATGGAACCAGGAAAGCAGAGACCTGTGAAATGCACCTGCTGGCTCCTCCCCCTTGATCTGGACAGAGATGTGGGGTACCTGTTCACCATTCATTAGATGCTCGGGAAGCCTTGCTAATTAGATGAAAATAAAGGAAATGAAAAGCAGCCTGTTCTAGCATCTCCTATTCAGGTTTGGCTTTTTTGAAGCATGTAAAATTCTAACCCTGGGTGGAGTATTTTGCTTCTGCCCTGCACTTCTGTTATTCTTCAATTTAATCCAATTAGAGTAGAGCACATTCAATCTGGTTCAAGCCAACTTGACACAATCTTGCTAACTGTTTCTGTCACATGCTGTAGCAGATAAAAGACAAATGCCACTCTTCCTGGTCTTAAAGAATTTATATGTTTTTAAAAAAGTATCCTGGGTACACAGAATTGAATTAATCACAATCCTTGGTTCATGACACTGTCACACTATCGTCATTGAGCCATAGATGACCTTTGTTTAATTAATTTGCTTAATAACACATGGACACAACTACTGCCTAACCTAAGAACAATAGGGATAACCTGCTTCTTACCTTTCGGCTACACCCCTACCTCCTTATTTAGCCTCTCCCACTGTGCTATGACTTTGACTTTTGTATTTATAGTCACTCCTCTCCTTTTTGTTCTAGTTTTAGTACACACAAACGCACATCTAACAATAAACCTATATTGCTTGTTTTTGATGTTTTTGAATAGACTTTAGAGGAAGAATAAAACCTATTTATTCAACATATATTTAATGGGTTCCTTCTCTGTGCCAAGCATAGATGATATGAAATGACTGGAAAATACCCTATAAACTATGTTAGGTGCTAGAGAATAAAGACAGTAAAAACCAAACACGAATAAACAAGTAATAATTTCTGCCGTTATGGACAAATAATAAGCAAATAAACAAGTAAAAGGTTTAGTCTGTCCAATAGTGATAAGAGCTATGAATAAAACTAGGGCAGGGAAGGTGGGGGTTGGGGTTCTTGCTATAGTGATTAAGATGGTGAGGGAAGGGCATGGGAGCTGTGAGTGAATCGAATACAGCTGGACTTGAGGAGACAGGAATGGTCTCAAGCAGGTGGCTTGAGCCAGACCCCAAATGTTCCTTTAACTTTTACATTCCATGTAGAAATTAAAATATGTTCATTTTTTAAGGTCCATTAAATTGTATTCTCATATGTAATGCTTTGATCAAGCATTTACAAAAATATTTAGGGCCATTCCCTTGGAAAAGTATTGAATCTTAGGGCTAAAAGCAACTTGAAATAGAAACCAGTCAAAACCCTCTATTTTGTAGAAAGTAAAAATGAGATCTAAAAAGGTGAATTAAATTATATGTACATACATAAATATTACATATCATGGGAAAGGTACTCTTGTAGGTTAAATTATTTGTTCTAAACTAGAAAACTAATTGCCAATGAAGGTAGATAGTCTGGGCTTCTCTCGAGCTCATGGTGAAAATGTCTTCAGTACTGTCCATTATGATAAAAATCTTGGGGACCGACTTCTTAGGCTAAGCTCAATTCCTGAGAGAGAAAATTCAGTGCCAGAGATGTTGAGGATTTAGCTTAAAGTAGGAATCAGTCGTCCTTTTAGGTTGTCTGAAGGATGGAGAATAGAGAAACGACAGAGAGAGATGACTGCAGGGTCTTGCTGAGATGTCCCTTGCCCTCTCTGAAAGGACAAGCAACCAATTACAGGCACCAGGGGCCTGATCCTGCATCTATTGGAGTAGAAGAACACAGTGGGGTGGGTCCCACTACCTGAATTCAGCCACAGCCTCTTGAGTACCTGCTTTGCATGTTCTTTGCCTTCTTTTAACTACAGCTCCAACCTCTGGAGCCTCTGCTGCTTGAGCACCGGCCTGCCTGCTGAGCTTATCTTCCTCCTTGCCAGACGACCAGAGACCAGAGGTGAAGCTCCCATGTTCTTCCTCACCCATAAGCTGGCTGTACTCTGGGGGACCTAGGGTTCATTCTCATGGTACCCCCACCCCATCTGGAGTTTTCTGCTTTCATGCCTAAAGTACAAGTTTTGCATTTTGGGGAGTCCTTGGGGACCCAGAGAATCTCAAGAGCTTGATAGGATATTGGATGGGGCAGCAGAAAGTGTTGATCAAAAACCACTCGGATTGGTCAAGAGATCGAGACCATCCTGGCCAACATGGTGAAACCCTGTCTCTACTAAAAATACAAAAAATTAGCCGGGCGTGGTAGCGGGCACCTGTAGTCCCAGCTACTCAGGAGGCTGAGGCAGGAGAATGGCGTGAACCCCAGAGGCGGAGCTTGCAGTGAGCCGAGATCGTGACACTGCACTCCAGCCTGGGCAACAGAGCGAGACTCCGTCTCAGAAAAAAAAAACAACAAAAAACACTCAGATTGTAGGTAGGGTTGCCAAAAAGAATAACAGGGCCTAGTGAAATTTGGATTTCAGAGAAAAGTATGTCCCAAGTACTGCTATATAGTGAAAAAGTAATCACTATTGCTTGGAAATTCACATTGAACTGAGCATTCTGTATTTTTATTTGCTAAACTGAACAAGGTTATATTTGTGGGGGTGGGGTCAAGTTCATGGCAATTGCCAGACTTTGCCTCTGTTTGCGCGGTTTAAGATGGGGAAGTGGGAAAGAGAGAGAGAGAAGCAAAAGAAACACAATGATTCTTTAGAAGCAACATCCATTCATGGATCTCTCTCTCCACTTTTGATCCTTTATGTCTGAGGGCTGTGTGTGCCTGTGTGTGGCACACATACGTACCTCCCTGTGTGTTTTGTAGGACACAAGGATTGATATGGAGGAGAACTGTTGATAGTGACACTGATTAGATATTGAATAAACAACATGAGAAGATTAAAAACTGTAAAAATGTGATTAGTTTAAAATCAGCACAAATTACTACATTCATGTAAAACTGCCTCTCCTTCACACACAATTGCCACACAGCACAATCACAGTTACACTTGTTCCCAGTCAATCTTTATGTGTTTTCAGAGAATGATAAAATGTTACCAAAGGGGTCTAAGACATTGCCTAATCCAACCTCAACATTTACCGATTAAATAACTGAGACAGAGAAACTGACCAACCGCCGGTCCCACTGCACATCAATATTAATAATAGAAAAATGTTTTGTAAGAGCCTTCTAAGGCCTGGGCATTTTCGAAGTTCTCTACTTCACATTTAATTCTCACAATGACCCTATAGTCATCCTCTTTATTCAGGTGAGGCAAGTTGAGGCACAGAGAATTATGTAATTTACCTAACGCTCAGGGTCATGTAGCTAGTAAGCAGAGACCACTATGAAAAACCCAGCTAGTCTGGCCCCCGAGACCCACGCACTCAACCAGGACACCCTTTGGCTTCTCAAATGAGTTTATATCACTAAACATGTTCATACATGTAAACTTTCAGAGCTTACTGCTGCTGTAGCACAATTTTGTCCTTAATCACGAGGTCACTCAAATACAGCTTATAGAAAGTTGGTCGGCCATGGTTGACATCGATGATGATTTCAGAGTAAAAGCAGTTATCTGCTCACCTATAAATAAACCCCGTCACAGTGGGTCTGTTGCTGTAATCAGAGAATGGTTCTGTTGCATTTATTTTTTGAAATATGTTTAATGGAATACATAATACCACGATCTACTATCAAAGCAAATATTCGCAGTGAGATAGAAACAGTTTTATGAGTTTACTGTTTGAGTTGCTTTTGAAAGAGAAGGAGGAGAAGAAGATGATGAAAGAGAAGGGAAAACAGTGAAAGAGAGAGAGAGAAATCAAAATAAAGTCAAGGCCCTTATTCACTGTTGGTGACAAAATAAAAGACATTCTCTTAAAGAGAGGCCCTCTTGTTAGCATGCTGCGACCTCAGTGCTGGCACAGCCATAGTAGTAATTACATCCAGAAAGAATAACCTCCATTCAAACATTACATTTTCTAAGTTTTACATTCCACTTGTTTTTTTTCTCTTGTCTGTCAAGAGACTATCAATGTTTGCATCTCAGACTCCAGATTCCCTGTTTATCAATGACGGGAGGATTAAGGATGCCTGCTTCTGCTGTGATATCATGTTTTCCCGAAGCTACCTTTCCTTATGACACAAAAGCCTGCACAACTTTAAAAAAAGTGAGGCTGGAATTCTCTGAAGCTCCAGGATCAGGGTCTTCAGGGTCTACTTAGGAGACACCAGGACTCCACAAATCCACTGAGATGGAAGTTGGGAGTGTGGCAAAAACTGACTTCCCTCTCCACTGCACTTTAGCTGAAGGAGGGATTGATAAGCGTTTTGCAAGTCTACTATCAAGTACATCACCAGATCCTTTTAGAGACAAACCAGCACCCCCAGACCCTCCACATTTAAACTGGCAAGGAAGCATTTGAAATGAATGCAGCCTCATAGAAAACAAATCTACATCCTCTCTTCTTCAGAAAGGTGGCAGTGTTGCCTTACAGTTTTGACCGAATACAACGCAGTGGTGAGGTCTCTAGCTGGTTAACAGATCAACCGCCTCACCTCACCATGGAAAGGAAAGGAAGGACTTAATCCACTGCCGACCCCAGTGGCTGGCGGACTCATCCCAGAGCTTCAGGGGCAGTGAGACTTGTGACCGCCTAAGCTCTTGAGTTTTCAACTTGCATCAACAATGAAGATCCTAAGAAAATCTCCAGTTGACTCCACAGGCATCTAAAAACCAAGGGCATCTAAGAAAGTCACAGATGAACCTTACCTCCCAGCATCTACATTTTTCCTTTTTGAACCATCCATCCCAAGTGAAACAACTGAGTTGGCCCCATGTAGAAGGGCTAAGGAAACTTTAGCTTAGCAACCTATGCCAGCATCTTTCTGACACCTGTTATGTCTAATGTTCACATCAGAGTTCTCCTAAAAGTCATCAATCTAAGTAGAAGTCCTACATTGTTGAGTGTGTTGTTAACCAGTTTTCTAAAACCAACATTATACACAGAGCTACTGAAAAATAACTTCAGAAGTCAAGTGTTGCTTTGTCTAAACGTGGAGACCCACACAGACACCTTCCATGGGCGCGTGTACAAGCCCTTCTGGAGAAGCGGTTAGAGCTCCCGTCTCTCCCTTCCACTCACCTCCACTCAGCGTCCTTTGAGAAGTTTCTCCATGTGCCACTAACACAGAAATTTTGGGGGAAATTCTCTATTTATAAATATCAGATGGTTTGGGAAAAAATATTTGTGGCACTGGGCTTTCTTTTTTTTTCTACAGTGATGTCATTTTAAATACTTGGTGTGCTCCAAATTTGCTATTTTTACTTCCCCCAAGTGACTTTTTTTGGGAAATACATTTGTTTGGATTAGCTACATTTTAAGTGACCCCTGTACCTAACACACAACATCAGGTTCATCTTCTCAGCGATTATAACCGATACTACGCAGCTTCCAAACTTGAAATCCCTTATTTGTTCATTTCCAAAGTTGCTCCCTCTGAATGTACCCCTCCAAAATTTCTATTCATAGATGCAGAGAAAATAAAATAAAAGGATTGGCCTTTTCACAGATGAACAACCACACTCGACCACCCAAAGCACTTACAACGGAAGACACGAAAGGCCCCCAAAGTCAAACAAAACTCTTCGCTTCCACAATGTGCTTTTGGGGAACAAAGTTGAGGTAGACCTGGCAGGCTTTGAAACATTTATTGGAAAGCAGTTCTAGAGTTGAGAATTGCAGAAGAGGAAAGTTTAAGAAGGAATGCTAAATGCCTTAGCCCTACCTGATCTGAACTTGCTCCTAATCAGCAAGGAATGCTCAGACCCCAGGAGTGTCATGTTGAGTCTCAGCAAGCCGCTGGTCCCTTGGCCAGGCGCCCCCTGTTCTCCACCAGCAACAGGCTCCCGGGAGCCCAGCTGACCGCAGCTAACAACCCAGAATTCATCCAACTCTCCGTGAGCTCCCCTGGGTAGGAGTACAGTGGCAGCCAGTGTCCCCAGAAAACTGGCGCCTCCCCCCTCGCCGTGCGGGGCTAATTAACTCTTAGCCGGCGGGACCCTCCTCCTCCTCGGAGGTTGGCCAGGAGCAGCGCGGCATCCCAGGCGTTCCTGTCTGATGTCATAGGCTGCCGGCGATTGCGGAGAATCGCCACCACGCCTTTATGAAGGTCCCAACTTTGCCATCTGATACCCTTTACTACTGACAGGCGCTCAGCCAATCAGGAGCGGCGAGCGGGGTCTGGGGACCCGGAGCCGCCGAAGCCGTCTCGGGAACCGGCTCTTAACTCTTTGCGGCGGGCCCCGCAGCCGCCGAGGCACAGAGGGCGGGAGCAGGGCCAGGGGTCGGGAATCTGGGAGAGGGGCGCGAGCTAAAGAGCGGATGCCCGGAGGAAAGAAGGAAGGGCTGCGACGCCGCGGGGCTTGCAGGTGGTTCGCGGGGCTGCGGCAGCCGCTGGGAGCTCCGAGGTCCTGGGGATGGGCGTGCGCAGCCGGGGCTTCCCCGGCCGGGCTTCTGCCGGCGAAAGGGAAGCGGCCGGGATCTCCCGCCAGCCGGCTGCAAAGGCTGCGCGAAAGGGCGTGCGCGCCCGCGGGACAGTTCACGCGGGGCAATTTGGAAATAAGCTGGACCCCTGAGAAGAAAAGCTTCCGACGGACCGAAGCCCACGCATTCCCCTCGGTTTGAGGGGCTCAGGGCACTGGCAGAGACGATTCTGTATCTCGCAGCTCCAATACTGGACTTAGATGCATTTCCACGGGGAAATGGAAAGGCTTTCATTTTCTAGGATATGCTTTTTGGGGGGACAAATGTGACACGGCGCATCTGGAGATCCAGCTGCGACACAACGCTCCCACCTCACAACCCCGAGGGAATGGGAAAAGATACCTGAGTTGGAGTGAAAAACCTACTGGGCTCTAAATAGGGAGGGGCTCTGGAGCAGGGGGCAAGTCAGAGCTCGGGCTGGGCTTAGCTTGGGAAGGCTCAAAAACTTTGCCTGCGAATGAGTCTCTCCTTAGGGGAAAATCCATTCCGTAACCGACCCAGAGTTATTTGTGCATCTGGCCGAGGTGTTATAGGCACATGGATCAATGAAATAAAACAAAGACCCATCTCTCAAGAAGCCCGTTAAATAGTTGGTGGCTCAGAACATAAAAACCACTCTGTATACGTATATAATTAGGGCTTATTTGCAACTTCATATGCACGTGGACCCCGGGTGTCGTCTATTACACACAAGCCTGCCTGCATACTACGAGTCCTTAAAAGATCAGTCGGTGACAGATGGAGACCCGAGGTGACAATAGCTCATGGGGACAACCTCTAATGTCCTGGTCCCGGCCTCTGCCCCATCCCCTGTTGCTGAAAACACATTAGAGGGGTTAGCCCTAGAGCTTACTCTCTGGATCTGAGCGGGGCGATTTTGTAAATAAGGTCTTCAGGGATAGACACCTTCTTGCTGATGTGTCAGAGACGAGGAAGAACAATCCATCCATGTTCCCTTTGGGGATCTAGTCCTGGCCTGGGCGCCTGTCTATAGGCTGATTTCGTGTGCAGGAGCATCTCAGCGATTACGTAACATCATTTTCCCATTCCTGCTATAACAAATTACCACGAATGTAGTGGCTTAAAACAGCACACATTAATTATCTTGCTGTTATGGAGGGCAGAAGTCCAAAGTGGGTCTCAGGGGGTCAAAATCAAGGTGTCAGCGGGGCTGCGTTAGTTTCTGGAGGCTCTAGGGGAAAATCGATTTCCTCACCTTTTCCAGCTTCTAGAGGCCGCCCGAGTACTTGGCTCATGGCCGCTTCCTCCATTTTTGAAGCCAGCAATCGTGGGTCAAGTTCCTATTGCATCTTACCGCTTTAATGCTCCCTTCCCCACCTTCTGCTTCCCTCTTCTACATTAACCTTACGGCAAAAATAAACTCTATCATAAAGTCAGTTTATTATCCTCCCTAATCTCATCCACTGCCTGGATTCCCTTTGCTGTATAATGTAACCTATTCACAGATTCCTGGGATTAGGACATGAACATGGGAGGAGAGGGCATGATTCCGCCTGAGATCTTTCTTTCTCTTCTACCTCTCCTGGTCTTCAGTCAACCCCCAGCCCCCTGGTCTTCAATGAGAAGAAGGAAAGTGGAGGGAGGTTTGGGAACGGGTGCACACAGGAGTCTGGAAGGGCTCTGACCGGCTTTGAGATGTGTGTGGCAGGGAGGTACTCTACAGGGAAGAGATTGGTGGGATAAGGAATATTGCAAAATTATCTGAGCAGAGAAAACTATTTTGAGCAACATTAAAAAAAGAAAAAAGAAAAAGCCAAACAGATTTTTATCCCGAAGGCTTTGGGGCTGAGAAGAGATACATGGCAACTTGGCAGAGAATTATTTTTTCAGTGCAAGTTGGGATGAAATTAGCTGAAGCCAGCATTGATTGTAGGGTCTGCATGACCTAGATGAGCTGGCCAGGAGTAAGTTGTTTTCTCTCTGCAGGCCTAGGGGGAGTGTGTGTGTGTGTGTGTGTGTGTGCGCGCGTGTGTGTATGTGTGGAGTGTGGTGTGTGTGTGTGTATGTGTGTTTGCAGGGAAGCAGTTTCTTTTTTTCAGTGAGTTTGGGAAATGCCAATAACCATAGCCCCCCTCAATTTTCCCATCACAGTGTGGAGCTACTGACATATATCCTGAAATTTATACCTCCTATGGCTTGGAATATCTATGGTTATAAATATGCTCATAAAGAAGTTCATCATTTCTCCTCTCTAGCCAAGCACTTTTGGTAAAACAAAAAAAATTTTTGAGAGGGGTGGAATTTGGAGAAGATGTTCTCAAGGAGAACAGAACTCCTAAGCTGCTAGGCTCGAAAAGCAGCAGGCTAATGCAGCAGCGGCATGCTGCCAGGCTCTGTCCTGCAATGTCACCCACCACCTTGGAGTATGTTTTCCTTGCCAGGCTACTCCATGACCTTCTTTTCCTGGGGCTTGGAGTAAGCCCGTGATGTGACACAAAGGCAAGACATGAGCCTCCAGTGTGAGAAAGATCTTCTTTCCATCAGGATAACCCTGTACTTTGGAGTGAATTATTGGAGTTCTCTGGGATACTCAACGTCTTATCTGTAAAATGGAGTTAGAAATATTTACTTCCAGGAAGAGTTGGGATATTTAAATGAAAGAATACATGTGGGGTGCCCAGAACAATTTTGGTGTGTTTTTTATTATTATTTTTTATTATTTTGAGACAGAGTCTCGCTCTGTTGCCCAGGCTGGAGTACAGTGGTGCGATCTGGGCTTACTGCAACCTTGCCTCCTGGGTTCAAGAGATTCTCCCTGCCTCAGCCTCCCGAGTAGCTGGGATTACAGATGCATGCCACTGCGCCCAGATGATTTTGTATTTTTAGTAGAGATAGGGCTTCCCCCTATCAAGACCAGCCAAGCTGGTCTTGAACTCCTGCGCTCAGGTGATCTGCCTGCCTTGGCCTCCCAAAGTGCTGGGATTACAGGTGTAAGCCACCGTGCCCGGCCCTGGTGTGTTTTGGACCCTTCTTTTTACTTCCCCTGCCCCAACCATCTCCAAACATTCATGAAGATTCCAAGCAATTCTGTCCCTTTCCCCTTCATTTTGGCTTTCTCTCCTTTGCTGTTAGTTACCTGTGTAATAAGTTGCTAGACATTTAGCAGCTTAAAACAATGCACATATTTATTATCTCACAGTTTTCATGGTCAGGAGTCCAGGCATGGATTATCTGGGACCTCTGCTTAGGGTCTAACAATGCTGCACTCAAGGCGCTGGCTAGGGTGGCAGTCCCATGAGAAGCTCAGTGTCCCCTTCCAAGTTCACTGGTTATTGATAGAATTCAGGTCTTTGCAGTGTTAGAACTCACAATGGCTTGCTTTTTTCCAAGGCCAGCAGGAGAATGTCTTTTTCTTTCTTTCTTTCTTTTCTGAGACAGAGTTTTGCTCTTGTTGCCCAGGCTGGAGTGCAATGGCGTGATCTCGGCTCACCGCAACCTCCGCCACCCTGGTTCAGGCGATTCTCCTGCCTCAGCCTCCTGAGTAGCTGAGATTACAGGCATGCACCACCACCCCCGGCTAATTTTTGCATTTTTAGTAGAGAAGGGGTTTATCCATGTTGGTCAGGCTGGTCTCCAACTCCCAACCTCAGGTGATCCACCCTCCTCGGCCTCCCAGTGTTGTGATTACAGGCATGAGCCACCGCACCTGGCTGAGAATGTCCTCTTTTAAAGGGCTCACCTGATTAGGTCAGGCTTACCCAGGATAATCTTTCTTTTAACTCAAAGTCATAGTAATTAGGAACTTTAATTATGTCTGAAAAACCTCTTCATCTTTGCCAAATAATGTAACCTAATCATAACAGTGCATCCATCACAGTCACTGGTCTCTCCCATATTGAAGGAGAGAAGATTATCCAAGGGGATAGCTCATTGAGAGGTCACCTTTCAATTCTGCCTTCCATAGCTGTGGTCCTCAGCCTTCAGCCACAATGGAAGTGATTATGTCCATAGGTGTGAGTTCAAAGTACAGTGCAGAGTCACCACCTTAAATCTTGACCCCTTACACATCTCCTTTCCTAGGAGCACCATGAGGTCAGCTGCTGGGTCACAGACAGGGGATAGTGTGGTGAGCAGAGGGACAGCTCACCTATGTTGTTCTCAGGACCTCGAATTCTCCCTGTGGTCCTCTCTTAGCAAATCCCCTTCCCCACCAAGGTCATTATTGTGTGAGTGGATCTCATGGTCTTCTTGAGACATGAAGAGTTCTTCAGTACCTGTCTCTAGTATCACCTCTTGTCCATTTTCTCTTTTTATTCTCTCACACATCGGTGAATAAGTAACTTCAGGGAAGCATTTATTCATCTTTCATTAGTTCATTTAAGATGCATTTAGGGGGCCAGGCACGGTGGCTCACACCTGTAATCCCAGCACTTTGGGAGACCAAGGCAGGTGGATCACTTGAGTCCAGGAGTTTGAGACCAGCCTGGGAAATATGATGAAACCCCGTCTCTGCTAAAAATACACACACACACACACACACACACACACACACACACGCACACACACAAAAGTCAGGCATGGTGGCACATGCCTGTAGTCCCAGCTACACAGGAAGCTGAGGTGGGAGAATCACCTGATCACCTGAGCCCAGGAAGTTGAGGCTGCAGTGAGCCATGATTGTGTCACTGCACTCCAGCCTGGGTGACAGAGTGAGACCTTGTCTCAAAAAAAAAAAAAAAAAAAAAAGAAAGAAAGAAAGAAAAAGAAAATGCATTTAGGGATGTGAGCAAGTCACTGTGGCAAGTGCCCTGGCAGGCATGCATAGAGAGATAGGTTTGCAAACTCAAATGAGTCGAGTGAGCCAGAGAGAAGATAAAATGTAGGCAGGAGGGGGTTTCACACAACAAACTGTTTAGCAGGTGGCTCATCCAAGGGGGGCAGCCATGACCTAGCTCTAGGTGACTGTAGCCATGAGAGAAGGAACACAGGCCCTCATTGCTATTCTCCTTAACTGTTCAAAGACACTAGAAATCCAGGTTGTAATGTGAAAGGTATTGGCTTTTAAAAATAAGAACAACTAGGCTGGGCGCGGTGGCTCACACCTGTAATCCCAGCACTTTGGGAGGCTGAGGTGGGTGGATCACAAGGTCAGGAGTTCAAGACCAGCCTGGCCAATATGGTAAAACCCTGTCTCTACTAAAAATACAAAAATTAGCCAGGAATGGTGGCGGGTGACTGTAGTCCCAGGCACTTGGGAGGCTGAGGCAGGAGAATTGCTTGAACCTGGGAGGTGGAGGTTGCAGTGAGCCGAGATCGCGCCACTGCACTCCAGCCTGGATGACAAAGCCAGACTCTGTCTCAAAAAAAGAAAAGAAAAAAAAAAAGAACAATTATCAGTACATTTAAAAAATGTATTAAAACACCATAGGTCAGCCAGGAGCAGATCCAAATTGTACAATCTGAGTCTCATAAAATTTGAGGGTTCTTTAAAAAATGAATGCAAAATTATAACTATGATTTTAAGTGCAAGGTTGACTTTTTACATAGAATGAGAAATGAAATCACAGCTAACAGTAGCATGGAAGATTTAGTATTTTTTTATTTCTAAGATTCTTCAGTCAATTTGACCAGAAATGGTAATGTAGAAATGCTTTCTAATTGCATCCTGCCTTTTCTCCTTTCTACCTTGAAGTCTCTCAAACTCCCAGTTACTCCCAGCACCCACAAGGCCCATACAAGTGTGTGTGTGTCGGGGGGTGGGGTGGGGGGGAGAAGAGTCAAATGGAGCCAATAGAGCATGTCTGCACACTGAGTCAGACCCCTGTGAATCTTCTTTGTGAACTCTGTTGTGAAATTTCTCCTCTGCTTTCCAAGAGCTTGACTGCAGTAGGGAGGAGGAAGTATGTACCATCAAGTCACCTACTTGAAGAATTACCTATTTAAGAAATGCAGCCCCAGCCTCTCAATTTCTTTCCATTCCAGAAATATTTATTAAGTGCAGACTGTGTTCTAGCACTGTAAGGAATATAAAGATAAAGCAGATATGGTCCAGAACCTCTAGGGGCTAAGAATATAGTGGTGGGGGTCATCCACAAACTCTCAACAAACCAGAAATCCAGTGTCATTATTCTACGAGTTAATGTCATGAAAGCACAGATGGAACTCATGTCAGCCACACTATTAACATAACCTGCTTTCTTTCATAAAAGTGAATGTAGAAGGACTTTTGCCTAATTTAAACAAAGATTTAAACAACATAAAGAAAGTAGTTTCAGTTGCAGGATCGGTCACAGCCCCTTCCGAGTCTGCCCGACAGCCAGCAATGCTTTCACCTTTCCTCTCTCTCTTTGCACTTCTCCATCCTAGTTCCTGCCCAAGAAAAGGGAATACAATTTGCTCATCCCGATTTGGAGCCACTCGGTTGGGCCACATTTACTAGATAGCAGGGTCTCTGTGCTGAAAGTCATGCACCCCTGTGTGGCCTCTTCTTCTTCGTCTTCCTGGATCCTTGCTACTCTCACTTTAAGAGGGGTGAAGAGGAGTGTAAAATAGAAACAGTGAGCATTCTGGCAGTGTGTAAATACAAACCATTCGTGATTCCAGCTTCGTTCTTGCCTTTAGGTTACATGACACAGACATATTGCCCAAGCTTGTTTGCACTGGATCCATGCAATGATAGTTTCCTCGGGGTCCAAGTTATATCTGAGATGGCTGTCTCACTGCTGTGACTTGTTTGCCATAGAGAATATGGACAATGGAGAAGTGTGTTGTCTGGAGATGAACTCATAGTTGTCATTCATTTCTGGGTAGGTGCAATTTTCAGGGTGCAAATTCTTCAATTTCACTTGTTTTTTTTCCCCCTCTATTTTAACAGTACCAATGTGAGTAAAGACCACCCAGTCTTCCAGTAGACATTTATCCATCTTTGTTTTTCCAGGTTCTCTTGAAATTGATCATTGCTGCTTCTTTTCTTCCTCTTAGAACTCCTTCCAAAGCTGTATATCTTTCTGAAATTCTTCTCTTGTGCTCTAGACCCATATATCCAAATGCTTTCTCCACTTGATTTCCCAAAAGCTCTTTGACAATAAGAGGTGCAAAACCAAATTTAACCACTTCCTCTCATCAAGTTTTCCTTCAGACCTAATCCTTTTCCCACACTTTCTTTCCTGAACTTTCCTGCTCATTCCAATGAATGGGGAAAAGTATCCACCTAATGACTGGTTTGGGGACGATGGCCACAATCTACGTTTCTGCATTCTCTCCATCCTCAATCGATCACCACGCCACATCCATTCTCCTCCCTAAATACCTATTGAATGTACCTCCTTTATTTATCCCTAATGCCTCTTACTTACTTCAAGCTCTTGTTGACTTTTCCCCTGGTTTACTGCATGTGTCTCTTGAGTGGTCTTCTTCCTCTTAGGCTTTCCCTGCTCCAGTCCATCTTCCACGTTGTCATCAAAGTGATAATCCTAAATCATAAGGCGGATCACACTGCTTCCTGCTTAAACTCCTTTTTGGCTCTCTTGTGCCAAAGGGTTATGTCCATGCTCCTAAGTGTGACATAGAAAGCCCCACATACTATGGCCCTTGTCAATTTCTCCTACTTTATTTCCTCCCCTTTCTTCCCAACCTCGTTTCCTTCCTTCCTTCCTTCTTTTCCTTCCTTCCTTCTTTCTTTTTCTTTCTTTCTCTCTCTCTTCTTTCTTTCTTTCTTTGTTTCTTTCGAAGTTTTGCTTTTGTCACCCTGCCTGGAGTGCAGTGGTGCGATCTCGGCTCACGGAAACCTCCACCTCCCGGGTTCAAGCAATTCTCCTGCCTCAGCCTCCTGAGTAGCTGGGATTACAGGCACCTGCCACCATGCCGGCTAATTTTTTTTATTTTTAGTAGAGATGGGCTTTCACCATGTTGGTCAGGCTGGTCTCGAACTCCTGAACTCAAGTGATCCACCCACCTTGGCCTCCCAAAGTGCTGGGATTACAGGTGTGAGCCACCGTGCCCAGCCTGTTATTGCATTTTCAAAGTATCATCAATTATTTTTATTTTTTACTTTACTTTTATTTTATTATTTTATTTTATTTTACTTTACTATTTATTTTATTTTATTTTATTTATTTTATTTTATTTTAGACAAGGTCTTACTTTGCTGCCTAGGTTGGAGTGCAATGGCGTGATCTTGGCTCACTGTAGCTTCCACCCCCTAGGCTCAAGGGATCCTCCCACCTCAGCCTCAGACCCAGCTAATTTTTGTATTTTTTGTAGGGAAGGGATTTTGCCATGTTGCCCAGGGTGGTCTTGGGCTCAAGCGATCTGAGTGCCTCGGCTTCCCAAAGTGTTGGGGTTACAGTCATGAGCCACCATGCCTGGGCCATCAATTACTTTTTAGCATAAAAAAATTCCTCCACTAGTTTGAAGGCTCCTGGAGCACCGGAATATAGTTTTCATTTATGTTTATAACCCATTATCTATTTTTCCTTTTATTACTATTTTGCTAATTTTCTATTATTCTTTCCATAATAAACCGCCCTTTGACATAATTTGTATTTGAATTATTATATACAGAATAGTGTTTGTTGTCTTTTGTCTTTTCTTCTGCGAATAGATTACACATTTCTTGAGAGCTCTGGCTTGTCCTGTATCCTTCAATTCTACCAAGGCATGATACATTGAGGCTTTCAAAAAGCAGCTGCCCAACAGGGGTTTGTTGTGTGATGCTTGGATGCAGCAACTGTTTTGTTCTGATTCACTCTGTTCAGGGCCTGATACAACATTATACACTTAAACCTCTTCTGGTTCATAAAGTGTGATCTGGGAGTTTGCCTTCTCTTCTAAATGTTTTCCTTTTCTTTCTTTCTTTTTTGCAACTGGTTGTGTTCTGTTTCCTAACTCCTCCTTTCTCTCAGTTTGCTTACTATCTCCCCCGCTTTGCAGAAAACAGAATGGAGGCCCATAAATCCCTGACCTGCTTCAGGTGACCTTACAAATCATGCATGCCTCATCTCATTAACTCAGGATGCCTATTATGGCTAAGGAATGGTGAAGCACCACCCTGTATGCAACAGGAGTGAGGAAGGGGAGGAGGAAGGCCGGTGGTACTATTTAGTGGACAGAAATTCCCCCAGAGCTTTCTAAGTCTCTTCACCTCACCCCACATCTCCAGGGCTGTGAGTCAGGAAGGGGAGCTTTTCATTTTAGGGGGCACTAGGAAAGATATTTTTCTCTCTCTGAAAATAGCATGGCCCATTCAAGGAGCTACAACAAATTAGCTAAAACCAACATCTGACTATGAAAATTAGTACATTCCAAGTGAGAATGTCTGAAAAGGAAAAATTCCAAATGCTATTAAAACCAGCTATAATAACAGTAAAGAAAATTCACGGTGGGAGGCTTGTCCACCAGCGATACTCTCAGGAAGCCGGTCTCAGGAACCCAGTGTTCAGTTGAAGGAAACTTAACAAATAATCATTCAATCCAGCAAATGGCCAAGGGACATTCAGATCCACTGAATGCTTTTGGAGCAAAATTCCTTTTTGCACATAAGATTTGAGCAGATATGCTAGTTTTATAGAAACTGACTCAAGCGGTCCTCAGACTATAACCTGCCCAATGTCCCAGCAGCAGTTCACAGTCCTTAGCTGTCATATGCTTGTCTTGATAAGGACCTTCCTGTTTTACAATTGCACTGTTTTTATGCTTCTTTTCTCCAACGTCATATGTAATTTTAACTTTTTTTTTTTTATTATTATTTTTTTTTATTATACTCTAAGTTTTAGGGTACATGTGCACATTGTGCAAGTTAGTTACATATGTATACATGTGCCATGCTGGTGCGCTGCACCCACTAACGTGTCATCTAGCATTAGGTATATCTCCCAATGCTATCCCTCCCCCCTCCCCCCACCCCACCACAGTCCCCAGAGTGTGATATTCCCCTTCCTGTGTCCATGTGATCTCATTGTTCAATTCCCACCTATGAGTGAGAATATGCGGTGTTTGGTTTTTTGTTCTTGCGATAGTTTACTGAGAATGATGGTTTCCAATTTCATCCATGTCCCTACAAAGGACATGAACTCATCATTTTTTATGGCTGCATAGTATTCCATGGTGTATATGTGCCACATTTTCTTAATCCAGTCTATCATTGTTGGACATTTGGGTTGGTTCCAAGTCTTTGCTATTGTGAATAGTGCCGCAATAAACATACGTGTGCATGTGGTACCAAAACAGAGATATAGATCAATGGAACAGAACAGAGCCCTCAGAAATAATGCCGCATATCTACAACTATCTGATCTTTGACAAACCTGAGAAAAACAAGCAATGGGGAAAGGATTCCCTATTTAATAAATGGTGCTGGGAAAACTGGCTAGCCATATGTAGAAAGCTGAAACTGGATCCCTTCCTTACACCTTATACAAAAATCAATTCAAGATGGATTAAAGATTTAAACGTTAGACCTAAAACCAAAAAAACCCTAGAAGAAAACCTAGGCATTACCATTCAGGACATAGGCGTGGGCAAGGACTTCATGTCCAAAACACCAAAAGCAATGGCAACCAAAGCCAAAATTGACAAATGGGATCTAATTAAACTAAAGAGCTTCTGCACAGCAAAAGAAACTACCATCAGAGTGAACAGGCAACCTACAACATGGGAGAAAATTTTCGCAACCTACTCATCTGACAAAGGGCTAATATCCAGAATCTACAATGAACTCAAGTAATTTTAACTTTTTAAAGCCCGTTCGTGTGTATTTTCCTTTGCGATTTTTCATCTCAATCCTTTGAGAGATTTAAGAAACTTTTGGACCATTGAAAAAATGGACACAGGACAAAGAACCACTGATTCACCAACAGTGGCCTCTCTACTTAGAGACAGACCTAAGACCAGGTCTTGGTCACAAGGCTTCTGTGTGACTCTTGGACACATGGGGCCTCTAATGTGACAGATGACTGAGAAGCCTGCTCAGGTTTCCCTCTCTGGGTATCCACATACCCTGCCTGAATCCCTGCCTGCCTGGGACAGGTGTTTTTTTTTTATTCCCCTGGGTGGTCAGCATTCATGTCAGGGAAAATTTAAACATCTCTAAGTTGCTTCCTGGCTCATGCAGTCTTTTCTTACAGTACGTTGCCAATTCCTTTTCTTTTTTTCTGGAAAATTCTTTATTACGAACTGACCTTGGTACTAACCCATTCCATTAATAAAAACAGGATTTTGTTACATTATCATTTAAAACTAAAGAACAGTAACTGTGTCTATGGCTTTCAAGACACGAGTCTAGGATATCTTCCAGTGTGTTTGACAGCAAATTTGTTAAAAATGACCAAATGAGAATCCTAGAAGATCCGATAAAATGTATGTGACTGCAGATGGTTTCGGTTTGGAAAGAAGATGAATGAAACACCTAGTCATTGGTAGCTCTGTCAGTCTTCATCTTGTATATCTTGTATACATGTTTTAAGTCTTCATCTTTGGCAATACCAGCACAGAGGCTAGTTATGGCAAAGGATATGGGTTCTGGAGCCTGGCACCAGAATGCAATTCCCTAACTCCGCCTTTTATTACCTGTGTGACCTTGGGCAACTAACTTAACCTCTCTGTTCTTTGTGTCTTGGTTTCTTCATCTGTAAGCAAGGATATCTAGCTCATAGGTTATGGAGAGAATTCCGTGGGTAAACAGATATAAAGAAAACACTCGGGACAGAGCCTGGTACATGGTAGATTTCCTACAAATGAGAGCCATGATGATGATGTTGATGACGATGATGATAATGATGGTGGTGGTGATGGCAATGACGATGATAATGCTAGAATCCCTACACATCAACCAATCCATTTACAGGCAAAGCTAAAGTGCAAAGAAACACCTCTTCTCTTCTAAAGTACTCTACAAATGCCACATATTCAGACTCTGTAATGGTGATCCTTTGGGAAATAACTATTTTTTTGTGGTAAAACATCCAGACCAATTACAAACCAGGGGAAAGTTCAATATCATTTAAACGGCATCCAGTTCCATCAGACCAGGCTGGCACTGCATGAAATCAGTGCCTCGTGGTTGCTGTGGTGCCCCTGCAAGGGGGGTGGGGCAATCTCCAGGGATGCTGCCATCAGAACCCCTGAGATGCTGGCCTGGGTTAGCAGGCTTCTGAGTTTTCTGAAGGCTTCACTCAAAATATAAATGAGGAATGCTTCATGCTTAAGTTAATTATAACAATGGAAACAATTATATTCGGTTTTGAGGCATTTAGATTTTGGAAGTATTGTTTTTGCCCTATTTGAAAAGAAAAAAAATAAACCCTGCAGACGAATATCTGCTTGGCCAGAACTCTGTGAAACTAGAGCTAATAGTGCTAAAGATTTTTTGTGTCCTCTTTTTTTTTCCTTTGGCTGTATTTGAGGTTGCTCACCAGTAGTTTTTGAAGACAGGCATATCACCACACCCGCTGAGGAACAGAGCCCAAAGTTAAATGCTGATGAACACATCTGTCTTCAAAAAGTTTTCTGAAATTGGGCTGCAACATCCTTATTTACATGTATGTATTTACATATACACACATGAGTACAACATTAGCCAATATGGAGAGAATGCTTACTATATGCTAGGAATCTGAATGGTGGTATTATCTCACTTAACACTTAACAATAACCTTAGCAAGAGGTAAAATTTTTATTCCCATCCTACGGATAGGGAAATTGAGGTTCAGAGAGAGTACCATCCTTAGACCAATGCAAGTAGGGCCTCCATCCTAGATGCCACATCTCAGGCATCCTCCTGTACTTTGGAGTGCCTCTCTTGAAATAGTTTAAGTCTTCCTGTGGTACCTGGGAACTGTGGAGGCGAGAGGTGGCATCTTGGCTAGGTGTTCTGACTCCATGTCACATAGGGTGGGACCCTCACATAGGGTGGGCAAGTTCCTGTTGCTTTCCCTCAGGGTACTCTCCAACCCTCTGTCCTGTGGTGGGATCAACAAGATGCCCAAATGAGCTCTGAAACTTGAGCCTAATGAATTGTCCTGGGTCCCCATGACCAGACTTCAGGAGGGTAGCCTAGTGAGCTGATAACTTCCTTTGGCTTGTGCATTATTTCTTCTGTGGGATCGGCACAAGATTAGGCCTCAAGGGTGGAGCTGACGTGATTTTGAGTGACTCAAATTATTTATATAGACGGGATCCCTGCTATATATATATAATATATATTATATATTATAATAACATATATTATATATATTATATATTATAACATATATTATATATATATTATATATTATAATAACATATATTATATATATTATATATTATAACATATATTATATATATTTTATATATTATAATAACATATATTATATATATTTTATATATTATAACATATATTATATATATTTTATATATTATAACATATATTATATATATTTTATATATTATAATAACATATATTATATAATGTATAATATATATCATATATATTATATATGATATATAATATATATTATATATGATAATTATATATCATATATATTATATATGATATATAATATATATTATATAATATATAGCAGGGATCCCATCTATATATTATATTATATAATATATATAATATAATATAATATAAATTATATAATATAATATATATTATGTATAATATATATTATACATAATATATATTATATTATATATAATATATATAATATATATTATATATAATGTATAATATATAAAATATATATAAATTATATATAATATATAATATATAGTATATATACACACACATATATACAAATACACACTATACAAATATATATACAATATATATATTTGTGTGTGTATATATATATTTGTGTATATGTGTGTGTGTGTGTGTGTGTGTATATATATATATATATATATATATATATATATATATATATATTCATGCAAAGCCCTTGCATCTTCTAGGGGTAGCCCTGCTTACAGAGGTGAAGCAATTTGGTGAGCATAGGGGCTGACATTTGACCTCAGATGTGTCTGAAGTACTCACATATTTGTTCTTTGTTTTAAAAAATACTAGGGGTTTTGATCCTTACACGTAAATTTTGCAAAAAATGATCAGTTCTCTCTACAATATTTGTTACATCTTTTATGTGCAGAGGGACCAAACCATCCTTCCATGGTTCTCTTTGCTCTATGACCTCGTTCTGTGCTAGGCTTCCCTTACATAAGAATATAACTTTAATAGTCTACACAGGTTTATTACGGGACACTGGGACTTCCCAGGAGTGAATTAATGTCTTGGGATTGGTATTATGACAGGTGCCATTAAGCTGCCATCACTGGTGTAGCCTGGTCCTTGAAGAAGCATTGATGGAATTTAGAAACAGCCTCACGACTCTATAGTTGGAAATGACACCCCATGTCTGGGGACAGAGCAAAAGCATTTCTGACGTCTGACAAAAGCATCACCAAAGAGAGAGAGAGAAAAGACAATTCTACAAACATTCATGACTATGAAATTAAAAAAATACCGATGTTATTTGTTTATTAAAGATTATAACTCACTTCAACATCACACAGAACGAACCCCCTTTAACCAGATAATAAGCACAGCCTGTTCTTTATGATAATGCCAACAATAAAACTGGAAGACTTTACTATTTGTTATTTGTCGGGTCGACTGAACAAATCATTTTTCTACATGCCGGGCTTGGAAAATTCTTTTATTTTCGTTCTCCTTATTATAAATAAAAATGGCATAGAGCTGATAAATTTATCTCAATGCTCTTTGCACCGTAAAAGCAACATGAGTTGGCACTGGCCAGAAGTTCCGGGGTTTGCAGCATGCACGGTGCACATATGTTCTCATTTTCCATTAGGGCTGCATGAAAGCTTCACTTTAGCTCACGGCAATGGTAGAAGTTGGGTTTATTTTTTTTTTAATTTTCATACCAATGTGGATCCCAAATCCATTTATTTCTCTTTATGTTCAGCCATCATGCTGAACCACATTAGCATGCATTTCTTACTTAAATGGTGTAATCGCCTCCTAAATATTCTCCCAACTTCTGATCTAGCCTCTCTAAACTCTGGCTCCACACAGCAGCCAGAAAGATCTTTTAACATAAATCAGTTCCAAGTATTCCCTTGCTTAAAACTCTCCTGCAGCTTCCCAGTGCCCTTAGCATAAAGCGAACACCTCATCACGGCTGCTCTATCTCCTGACAGCTTTGCTTTGCCCCTCTGCATCTTCCTCCTTCTCCTCTTGTCCCACTCTTCACCCTGGGGGGTCCGCAGGGAGGCTGGTCAATAGGACCTGCATTAGTGGACTCCTTTGCCCTTTAGCTTCTGAGTGTGTCCAGTTAATGGGGAGTTCTGCTGGGGATTGGAGGGAGGCAAAGGGTGAGGTCAGGGCATTTGTTTCCCAGGGTCCCCGCCAGGGCTCCAGTCAAGAAGTTCCCTCTATTTGACTCCCTCCCTGTGGTCCCAGTGACCACTCTCTCCTGTTTGTTCAGTGCTAAGAGTGGTCAGGGGTCTGCTGTCCTACCTACTATGTTTGGTGGTTTTCCTATCCCACCCACAACTTTGTAAATATCCCTTTTTGTCAGAATCACCTCCATTTGCCCGATTTTTACATGCCCTCTGCCCCTTGCTGACTTAGAATCCCCACGAGCCTGGCACCTGCCTGCCCTGCTAACCTCACTCCAGGCTCTCCTTGTTTACTGACCTCTGGCCACACTAGCCCCCTCTCCTTCTGCACATACCCCATGGCCATTTGCAGTCCACGCTGCCTGGAATGTCCAGCCCCCCAGATCTTTGCATGCCTGGACTCCATTCACAGAAGTAGCAGCCTGGCAGAAAGGAGTTCTCTGACCTTCCTGGCTTAAGTAGCCCACTCCTCCCAAATAATTACAATCCAATTAATTTTAAGTTCCTGATTATTAAAATGATTTCATTTAGTTATCTACTTTTTTTTCTGTCTCTACTACTGGAATACGAGCAGGAACCTTAATTCTCTTGTGCTCCTTTGAAACCTCAGTGCCCAGAATTTGTCCAGAGTAGGTTATCAGTGAGTGGTTGCTAAGCGTTT
Organism: Homo sapiens; assembly: GCF_000001405.40. Lineage (NCBI taxonomy): Eukaryota > Metazoa > Chordata > Mammalia > Primates > Hominidae > Homo > Homo sapiens. The sequence goes on along the minus strand of NC_000017.11, from coordinate 12,649,464 downwards.
GTCCAATGAATCTGGTTATACCGTCTCATTTCAGAGATAAGGAAGCTGAGACCTGTGTAAATGGACCCTGGACCCATTTGCTCAGGTACTCACTCGGGGAATCAAACCAGGGTTTCTGTGACCCAGGGGCTCTTTCCTGTTTGGGGTAATTCCTATCTCATTTATGTCTTATTTTTCTTGTAGAAAGGGACCTGTCTTCTTTACTTTCTGAATTTATATTCAATAAAAATTTGTACTTTACTGAATTTGTATTCTTAAAATTATGAATACTTGGCTGGGTGCAGTGACTCACGCCTGTAATCCCAGCACTTTGGGAGGCTGCGGCGGGTAGATTACCTGAGGTCAGGGGTTCGAGACCAGCCTGACCAACATGGTGAAACCCTGTGTCTACTAAAAATACAAAATTAGCCAGGCGTGGTGGCGCATGCCTGTAATCTCAGCTACCCGGGAGGCTGAGGCAGGAAAATTGCAAGAACCCGGGAGGCAGAGGTTGCAGTGAGCCGAGATAGCACCACTGCACTCCAGCCTGGGCAAAAAGAGCAAAACTCCATCTCAAAAAAAAAAAAAAAATTATGAATATTTTATTCTAAAGCATGGATTTTCTAACCTGCATTTTCCGCCAATCTTTTCTCATTCTTTCTTGCTCTCTTTCTTTTTCTTTCACCCATCTATCTTCCACATCGTCTTGTAGTTATGAATCACCGACTAAGAGTTAATGTTTAGGTAATGACTTAGAGAAACCATGTCAGTATCAGGAAGAAATTGAGGAAATCAAGCCTGGGGGAATCTTTAAGGAAATCAGGGCATTTGTACCACAAATAGTAGGAGTAAGAGTTACCACTACTTGGCTGATGAGTCCTCACTCTGGACCAAACATAGTATGAGGTTATTTACACATAAACCACATTTATTCCTTACATCAATCCTACTATTCATGCATCATTCTTCTATAGTAGGGGAAAAAGCTGATGTTCAGGGAGGTTAGGGGGTTGCCTAAGGCTACTGACGAGAGCATCCATTCCGACACAGGTGCTACTTGCCCTAAACCCATACACCACCTTCCTCAAGTCTAAGGAGGCTTCTGGTAAGGAAGAAACCCCCAGGGGGCAGGTTACCAGCCTTCACCCTGAGGGTGAGACAGATGTAAGACTGACTGGGAGTCCAGTTAAAGATTAGGAAATTGGGTGAAGCAAGAACGCCCAAGAAATAGCACAGAAGAACCAGGTTAAGGGTAAGGGACAGAAATTAGGTCTTGAGCACCTCAGGCCAGAGGCTGGGGATCGAGGCCCGTCGGAGGACGGTGCTTTCTAGCCCTCTGAAATTCTGACCCCTTCCTTATGTCTTTAAGAATGTTCTTTGGAAGTGGTATGTAAAAGAAGAAGGAGGGGCCGTTGCGGTGGCTCACGCCTGTAATCCCAGCACTTTGGGAGGCCAAAGCGGGCAGATCACGAGGTCAGGAGATCAAGACCATCCTGGCTAACACAGTGAAACCCCATCTCTACTAAAAATACAAAAAATTAGCCAGGTGTGGTGGCACGTACCTGTAGTCCCAGCTACTCGGGCAGCTGAGGCAGGAGAATCACTTGAACCCGGGAGGTGGAGGTTGAAGTGAGCTGAGATCACGCCACTGCACTCCAGCCTGGGTGACAGAGTGAGACTTTGTCTCAAAAAAAAAAAAAAAAAAAAGAAGGAAGAAGGAAGAATGAGGGTCTTTTTCTCTAACCCAGTGATAAGAGGAGATACTGGTTGGAAGTATTCAGTGATAAGAGGAGATACCCTCTCCAGGGAAGAGATAAGTGCACAAACATGGGACTAGCTCTTGAAGTCTAGTAAAACAACCATACAGGACAGAGTTGGGGGAAGCATTCAGAAGTTAGAAATATCTAGCAAGAAAGGAGGAGGCCAAGCTGAAAACTTAGTGACCATTAACTACCAATAGGACTCTTCAGACCATAGGCTATCAACTCTTACTTGAAGCCCAAGATTCAGTATTAAATATATTTCCCTTACTGGAGTCGCCTGCAAATGCTGCCTCATTGCCCCAGGAGAGTTTCTCTCTATTGCAGAAAAGAATGAATAGCCAGAAAGAATTGCTAGATGTATCCAGGTATATCCTGCCATCAGGGGATCAGGCAGGTAGAGACAGTATCTAGCCATGAAGTATTTAACCACCATACTTCAAGCATCCCTTAGAAATTTCTTAATTTATTACCATGCAGGGGCTGTTGTGCAATTGACACTGGCAAAAAAATACTTCTGCATTTTACTAAGTCTACTTTTGAGCCGCCCAATGTTTTCATCATAATATTTACTTCTGGGTAAATAGGCTAAATTCTCTGATTCTGATACAAAACAGAAAGATCAGAGAATGAAAATAAATAGATGACATGGCTGTTTAAAGATAATGTAAAATGTTTTCTAGCCGCATAAATATTTGATTGTAAAACTTTCAATATGTTGTGTCTATTAACTAGTAATGTACAACATTTAAGTAATTCGGCAAGCCAAAGTGGGCTAGGGTCATGCAGGGGGACAGAGTGAAGGCCCAGCCTGGCGAGATGCCAACTTGCAGTCAAAACACAACCCCACGCCGACCCCAGACTCTCTATCCATTCCATCTGGAGCTCTTTGGTCAGGATCAAGCCATAGACCAGGGCAGAGGGTTAAATAGGACACTTTGGGGACATTTAAAATTTTCCTATCACTTTCTCTGGCTAATTGGGTTTGCACAGAAGTCTCTACATATCGTTTATGTTTGATCCTTTTGATATCCCATTCTTTTGGTACTCTTTGAAATGACTCTTTGATTTGTGTGTTTGGGATGAAAGGTATGAATGATGTTTCTGGAATAATATGCATCCTTTCTATGGATTCACTTTAAAATTCCCTCCAGCTCACCGTATCCTCGTCTCTTCACATGCATTATCTGCCAAAGAGCGTTGGATTTGCAGTTAAGAGGGCTGAGTTTGAGAGACCTGTTTTGCTATTTGAATTTTGGCAATTCGCCTCATCTCTTTGGGCCTCAGTTTTATCATCTGTTAAATGAGACTAGTAAGATGTACCCTACCCTTTCTCCGTGTGACGATACATATAACGTGCCATCTATGAGGAAGAAGCCCTCACCAGACCCTGAATCTGCTGCCACCTTGATCTTGGACTTCCCAGCCTCTAGAGTTGACTCTGGTGAGGATTAAAGGTAAAAACATTGTAACATAGTTAACACAGTCCCTGACCCATTAGGGCGGTTTTCAATTTAGCCACATCCAGCAACCCACAAATCAATCCGTGAGGCACTATGAGGAAGATGGTTTTTACACTTTGGGCTCACATCACGAGATTCATTTTAAATTGTGGGAAGACATGAGGCAAGTGCAATATTTATTTCCTTATTGCATGGAATTAAAACTCCATTAAAAAGATGTATAACATAGAAATAATCTGTAAATTCTGGTGAACTTTAAAAATGGCAAAATAAAAATATTTATACACACACATACACACATGCACAAAGATATCCCCTAGCTATTACACTGGATGGTTGTGACTATCAAAACCAAAAACCAGATAGAACAATTAAAAGTATAAAAGTCCTAATTTAAGAGAGTATTGAAAAGAATTTGCCTCTCTTTGTATGTACTCCAATATTTAACACTGAGCCTAGCACACTGAAAATCTCTTTTTTTTTTTTTTAATTATACTTTAAGTTCTAGGGTACATATGCACAACGTGCAGGTTTGTTACATATGTATACATGTGCCATGTTGGTGTGCTGCACCCATTAACTCATCATTTACATTAGGTAAATGTTCCCCATCCTGTGTCCAAGTGTTCTCATTGTTCAATTCCCACCTATGAGTGAGAACATGTCATGTTTGGTTTTCTGTCCTTGTGATAGTTTGCTCAGAATGATGGTTTCCAGCTTCATCCATGTCCCTACAAAGGACATGAACTCATCCTTTTTTATGGCTGCATAGTATTCCATGGTGTATATGTGCCACATTTTCTTAATCCAGTCTATCATTGATGGACATTTGGGTTGGTTCCAAGTCTTTGCTATTGTGAATAGTGCCGCAATAAACATACGTATGCATGTGTCTTTATAGCAGCATGATTTATAATCCTTTGGGTATATACCCAGTAATGGGATTGCTGGGTCAAATGGTATTTCTAGTTCTAGATCCTTGAGGAATCGCCACGCTGTCTTCCACAATGGTTGAACTAGTTTACAGTCCCATCAACAGTGTAAAAGTGTTCCTATTTCTCCACATCCTCTCCAGCACCTGTTGTTTCCTGACTTTTTAATGATCGTCATTCTAACTGGTGTGAGATGGTATCTCATTGTGGTTTTGATTTGCATTTCTCTGATGGCCAGTGATGATGAGCATTTTTTCATGTGTCTGTTGCCTGCATAAATGTCTTCTTTTGAGAAGTGTCTGTTCATATCTGTCACCCACTTTTTGATGGGGTTGTTTGATTTTTTCTTGTGAATTTATTTAAGTTCTTTGTAGATTCTGGATATCAGCCCTTTAAGGAATGAGCACCAACAGCAGCCTAAGAGATTCTCCTTTCACCCAGTTCTCCAAGGAGTGTGTTCAAAGAGGATGAACTTCCAGAATGAGGAACCCCAGCTAATCAAGACTCACAATGTGCCCTTGCTGTTTTCAAGGGATACATCCTGCAATCTCAAGAAGCTCCAAATTCCTGAATTTGCAAAGCACAGTGTGACATTCCATTGGTTTTAAGAGGCTTTAGTTTTTTAGTGATAGTAAAAGATGAAAATATGTGCATATCAGGTTCCATAATGTTGAAGGGGAGACAAAACTGCATTGAGATGTGACTGTGGGGTGACAGTCTGTACCCACTCCTGCCTAGGAAGCTCACTTCTGCATTCCACTAACCACCCCACTGATTGAATTCCCAAGAAAAAGGCTAATTTCTAGACATGGACTCTAGGCCCATCAACAGTAAAAAACCAGAAATCTTAAGACAGCCAATGACAAGGGACTGTTGGTTTGCTATTTTCATTAACTGGGAAGAAAGTAATTTCATAAATCAACGTGAATAATGTACTAATTATAATTCTCTGTATTCATTTGATTCACTCAGAGACTCCTTGAGGCCTCCCGCAGTCACATCTACGTAACAGGATTGCTTCAACTCACCTGTGTTGAAACTCTTCCTTCCTATTTTATGAAGTAGTGTAAAGGCATTCATATTGAAAGGCCTACAATCTAACTACTTTTAACAAATTGTATAGTCTCCTGTGCCTGAGTTTACAATAGAGTGTATACATATCCTGTGTCCCCTTTTCTCATTCATTGTCTCACTCACTAAATATTTAGGGTGTTTACTATGTGCAAAACAGAGAAATGTTGCATTCTGTGGGTGACAAAGTCCAAGACATTATTTGTACTTTGTCTCTGAAGATCTCACAATCCCTGGGGAGGAGCTGGTAAAAGTCATTTTTTTCAGCAGAATATGAGCTTGAGTGCAGGGGCCTCATCAGCCTTGTTTGCTAATACAATCTGAACAGTGCTGAGCACACGGTAGGCAACAAAGAAATATTTAGTGAGTGAACAGAGGAATAGATGTAACACCTACTGTGTCTTATGGAACCTGAAATGCACATATTTTCATCTTTTACTATCACTAAAAAACTAAAACCTCTTAAAACCAATGGAATGTCACACTGTACTTTGCAAAGGTTTTTTTTTTCTTTTTTAGTCTTACATAAAATAATGATTTATCTCACAATAATTGTGTTAACTTTGATGACATATGGCAAATAATGATACAAGGTAGGATTTATTGATTACGTATTAGAATACAACAACTAATTCCCTGGATATTCTGAAGGGGAAAATTTCTTTGTGGACTGGGCTAGACCACATTTAAAGAGGAGAAAGGAACGACTTATTGAAACTGGAGGTTGGAGCAGGGAAGGTAGAAGTGGAAGGAGGTGAAATGAGGTTTCAAATGTGTACACAGAAAGGTATAGAAGGTGAAATGATTAAAATATGTTTCACGCCTATAATCCCAGCACTTTGGGAGGCCGAGGCAGGTGGATCATGAGGTCAAGAGATCGAGACCATCCTGGCCAACATGGTAAAACCCCATGTCTCTACGAAAAATACAAAAATAAGCTGGGCATGGTGGCCTGTGTCTGTAATCCCAGCTACTTGGGAGGCTGAGGCAGGAGAATCGCTTGAACCCGGGAGGCAGAGGTTGCAGTGAGCCGAGATCGTGCCATTGCACTCCAGCCTGGTGACAGAGTGACACTCCGTCTCAAAAAAAAAAAAAAAAGGTTCAGGGCAATTGGAAAGATAGACAGTATTGGAATGGAGAGTTCATTTTGAGAAGTAGTACAGCATAAGCCTGTAAATAAAGGTAGGATCATGGCAGACTTTAGAGGGCTTTGAATAACAAGCTGGCAAGTTTGAATTTCATCTTGTATATACATTTTGAGCCAACAAATGACATACTAAAAATAGTGTTCTAAGAAGATTAATCTGTGCAGGGTGGATTGAAGTGTGTAAAACTGGAGACTGGGAGAGAAGTCAGGAAATTATCTTTGTAATTTAGCTGAAATGTAATGAGGGATTGTACTGGGGTGTTAGAAATAAGAATGGGGAACAGAGGTGAGATATGAGTTAAATTTTGAAGGAATTGGTTAATGATGTCTCTTAAGTGTATTGAAATGACCAAGAATATTAAATCCAGATGAAAATAATTAGCCTTTAAAAATTTATTTTTCCATTATACAGTATTTTTGGCAAGGATTGTCCTTACATTTGCATTTCGTTTCAAAAGCATTTTAACAAAAAAACATGAAACTTCCCTCTAGTCTAAATATCACTGTTCTTATTTACACTTTGCCTTCTTCAATCTTGCATTACCTTTTTAGATTTTGCTTACCTGTTTATTTTGCGGGAAGCACCTTCTCTGGTCTATTTTGCAGGAACTGATGTACTGGTGAAGTTTGAAAGTCTCTGCACGTCTGAGAGCATCTCCCTCTGACATGGCTTTTTCTTATCTAAAATTTGTAGAGTTGACTTCCGGTGTTTGTACTGTGAAGAAGAAGTTTGATGTGGAATTGACTTTTTTCTTTTGTGGGTAAATATTAAACATACTTGGATGCTTGTGGGATTTGTTTTCTCCCTAAAGCTTGAATTTAAACAAAAAAAAGGGGAAAACAAAAGATGTCTGGATGTGTGTTTCAGTTCATTCATTGTGCAATACTTGGTGAATCCTTTACACTGAAGATTCATGTCTTTATTAGTTCAGGAATAATTTTCTTCTATTTCTTTGACTGTTAATCTTTTGAATACTCTGATCGCTCGGGAATTCTTGTTACACATAACTACTAGATCTTCTGGATCATTCTCCTTGGGTTCCTCATCTTCTTAATACCTTATCGTGTTTATCTCATATGCCAAGTTACATGGAAACTTTTTGAACTTGCACTGTAATTAAATCATTCCACTTTAGACAGAATCCATTTGCTATATACTGCATTTTAAAAGGTATCTGTCACTTTAAAATTGCTAATAAATACTTTCTGATGTCAGATTGCTTCCTTTATGGGACCATTTTTATAAATGTGAAATCTTCCTGAATAGTTTTGAAAATATGTATTAGAAATAAAGTTGCCTGTGATTATTTTAATAACTGTTATTAAAATGGGGGTAATTTTCTTTGATTTGTCAGATCAGTTCCCTTTTGGAGGACTGATGAATATTTTGACATCCTGCTGCTTTGCTTCACAATCATTTGAACAGATGACTTGTCCAGTATTCAGAGATGAGGTGGGCTCTATCAAGGATTTTGAGTATTGGTACTTAAATATTTCAGGTCCAAATGAAGGGAAAGGGGAATGTTTAGATTTATAGATCTTTAGTTTGCCAGATTAGAGATCCAGTATCTTGTAGAGAATAGGTGGAGACTTCACACTAGAGGCATCTGTGGGAAGGGGGAGCCAGGCCAGGGCACCATGACATCACTCTGCATTTTAATTATCAGCAGGTATGCTGGATCCAGCTCCCACTGGTTTGTGAGATTCAACTGCTTCAATCTCTGTGAATCTGCGTTCCCAACTCTGTGTTCAGTGATGCCACATTGCTAACTGAAAATAGATGGTGGTGGGAGTATTTACACCACTGAAATTGGCAAACACTACAAATCATGGCTCCCTGCTCTGCCACTGACTGATGCTTGTTAAACATTTACCAGCATATGACTGCTCATAGAAAACATAGTTAGCTTTCCATTTTCCCATGTCCAATGTCTAAATATGTCTTGAGAAAATCTGTGCTGAAATTGAAGCTTGATTTTGGTATTTTTGACGCTTCCTCCCTGTTCTGGGCTGCATTGTGCCCCCTCTCCAAATTCATATGTTGAAGTCTTAACCCCTGGTACATCAGAATATGACTGTATTTGGAGATAGGGCCTTTAAAGAGGTAATTAAGTTAAAATGAAGCTGTTAAGGTCATTGTATTAAGTCCCTACTCCAACCTGACTGGTGTCCTTATAAGAAGAGGAAATTTGGACATACAGAGTCACCAGGGTTGCACATACACAGAGGAAAGACCATGTGAGGACACAGTGAGAAGGTGACCATCTGCAAGCCAAGGAGAGAGGCCTCAGGAGATACCAATCCTGCTGATGTCTTGATCTTGCATTTGAAGCCTCCAGAACCATGAGAAAACACATTTGTTTTTTGAGCCATCCAGTCTGCGATACTTCGTTATGGCAACCCTAGCAAACTAATATACCCCTCTGATGATTCTGTACTTTCTCATTTTCCACCTTCCCCCTTTCCCCACTAGAATGTCAATCAGGGACTTTTCTAATTCTTTACAGAATGGCATAGAATCAGGAAATGAAACTACATCCTACTTATCAACTTGCATGTTTAGTGATGGGGTTAGAGATCCCATGCTCAAGGGCCAGGTCAGCTGTTTCATGCTGCAAAACTGCTGATCCCTTTCTCCCCCTTGTCTTCCCACACTTGCTCCCAGAGTCTTGTGTTCATAGGCAGTGAGGCAGGTGAGAGAATGGAGCAGTGTGAAGAATCACACATAGGTGCAAATACAAGTCAAGGGTGAAGGGCTCAAACATGATGGACGGACAGAGTTATCTTCATATAAGGAACAAAAGACCTTTTTTTGGCCACAAAGAACTGCCTTTGTCCAAAATATGCTATCTTAGAAAACTATGAAATCATGGACTGAGAGCTGTTCACAGATTAAATTCTGAAATTGGCATCTTTAATTCCAAAAACATCCCCAGTTGATTCAACTCCTTATCAGGTTCCCACCTAATTATGTCAAATGTATCTCACTATGCAAAAAAGGCCTCTGGATGAAGCAACTTCAGTTTTTCATGAAGAATTATAATTCAGGCAGGCCTCTTGATTTTGTTTAATACCAGGCTTACAGTTGACTTTTAAATGATTGATAAATTATGATTATGTAAGAACATTTGTATGGAAAGACTGTCTTTAATATGGCTAAATAAATATTTGTCTAATTTATTCTTGGCTCGGTTTGTGATCATAGAGATTTTCTGAGGTAACATGCTCTGTGAGATAGAAAGATGATTTATAACACTGGACTTACTCAAATACATGCATGGTAGCACAATACATAAGAGATTAATTCCTTCAGCAACTGCTTACCGAAGCCCTGTTGTCTACTAGACACTAAGGATGCAAAGACGAATGAGATATAGCTTCTGTCTTAAACAGTTACAAGGCATATGAATGGTTCCTCATAGTAAAGCAGGTTCTAATAGCAGCTCTACCATTACATGCTGTGTACACCTAGAGAAGTTATTTCACCTCCTTGAGCCTCAGTTTCCTTATCTATAAAATGGGGTTACTAAATCTTGTCCGATCATTCCTAAGTCTCAACTAAAGTCAAATAAATGACAGTTAAAGAACATGCTAATGGCAAACTTTTGGCCTTCTCAGGTCTCATCTTAAAGGCAGAAACATGAGTGCTCATTGGTTTGTCTTTTCTGGGCAGAATGACCCTCCTCTTTGCACTGGCTGGGCAACTTTGGTCAACCTTGGTCTACCTGAGCCTGGGCACTCAGAAGAGGAGGCCCTAGGGTTGCTTCATTTCCTGCTTCTTTCCTTTCACACATTCCCTGCCCACTACGTCACAATTTCCACTCTTACAACTGATTGTGGGACAGAAGAGTATAGGTTTTGAGTTTGAGGGTCAGGAAGGATAGATCTTATTTTCCTTTCCATGCTAATATATTGATTTCTCTTCCATCTATTGCATTTGTTTAGAAGGAGATACTTTGGAGATCTGCCAGTAAATCACCAAATCAATAAATCTAATCAATAAATCACTCAACAGGAGCCAGATTCAGCCACAGGGACTGAATCTGACCATTTGTTTGCATTGAGTCCCAGGAACAAGACCATCCATTTGCAATGAGGCTTTTCTAGGCCAGATGCTTCTATGCTCACCATGAATTCTCACAGTAATTGAATTTTGCAGTTGAGAAAAAGCCAAGAGAGTTTAAGTAATGTGTCCACAATCACACAGGTCTGCCTGCCCCCATGGTTCAGCTCCGTCTACTCTGCACAGATTGCCTCTCTACTGTCTCCAGGTTCCTAATGAGTTGTCAGAAGAGAGGTATTCATGGAAGCCCAGCTTCTGGGCTTAGAACAGATTTGCACAACTATCATTTTCTGTCTCTCATATTTTGGGTCCATACTTTGAATTATATGCAAACATCTCTTTGTCTCAGCTCCTGGCCATTACTGACTTTGGAGCTGTCTGACATTAAAATCAGAAAGGAGAATTTATATTGAAAAAAGAGGAAGTTAAGGGACCTAGATTCTGAATTCCATTTCTCTACTACTTTGCCATGTGATCTTGGCCAAGACACCTCACAACCCGATCTTAGTTCCTCATCAGTAAAAAGAGGAGTGTTGAGTTGGGTTTTGCATTCGAGAGTGGTGGAGAGTCAGCCGGAGCCCAGGTGCTGTATTTCCACCCCAAGTCTTTCACCAGCGGCTCTGTAGACCGTACACAGCCCTTTTATTGGAGGGGAGAAGGGAGATCAGGCTGGCACTCTTCTTAGTTCCCTTCTGCCCATTAGCTGGCACATCCTCAGAGAATAAAAATGTCTTTTCATGTAACTCTAATCAAAACACACTTTGAAAGGGGTGCCTGTTGCCAAAAATTTATATTTATCCCAAGAAAAATTAGAAACTATTTTTGGATTATCTGCACATGACTTGCCTGCCTTGCTGCAGATAAACAGGAATTACTTGTATACAGACCCCTGTGCTGCTCAGAACACGTGTCATGGAACACGGGTCACATCTCGCCCTGCAACTCTGCCTGTGGAAATGAACGTTCTACATGCCTGCTTGCCTCCCTGGCAATTCCAAATTATGAGAAGATTAAGGGTATGGGAAGCACTCAGATCTACGTTTGAATTCTGTTTCCCATGCTTCCCAGCTCTTGTAGCTTTGGGCAAGTTATTTAACTTTTCTGAGCCTCAGTTTGCTCATATGTAAAATGGGTATGATAATGCCTAATTTCAAGGTTGTTGTGAGGATTAATTGGAATAAAGCCTTGTTATTTGGTTGTCCCTGAATGATTGCTATGTTTTTTCCCAGATCTGGTATTGGCCTAGAAATAAAAGGTCTTAATCTACATTTAAGAAGATGACTAGTGGGCCGAGGCAGATGGATCACCTGAGGTCAGGGGTTCGAGACCAGCCTGACCAATATAGTAATCCCCGTCTTTACTAAAAATACAAAAATTAGTCGAGTGTAGTGGTGGGCACCTGTAATCCCAGCTACTTGGGAGGCTGAGGCAGGAGAATCACTTGAACCTCAGAGGTGGAGGTCGCAATGAGCAGAGATCACACCACTGGACTGCAGCCTGGGTGACAGAGTGAGACTCTGTCTGAAGAAGAAGAAAGAAGGAAGAAGGAAGAAGAAGAAGAATGAGGAGGAGGAGGAGAAGGAGAAGAAGAAGAGGAAGAAGGAGAAGGAGAAGGAGAAGAAGCAGAAGGAGAAGGAGAAGGAGAAGAAAAAGGAGAAGGAGAAGAAAAAAGAGAAGAAGAAGAAGACTAGAGAAATTAGAGAAACACACACACATTTACCTAATCCTCAACATGCTTTGGCCAGGGAGAACTTACTCTGGAGAGGGAAATGCTATAGACAGCAGGCTGCAGAGCCAGACTCTCGAATTCAAATGGCCTGTGAGTCAGGCATGTGTCATAGACGCCAAGAGCAGCATGAGGTGATGGAAATGCAGTTTATTGTGGCATGCATATGTTATCTACAAGTATTCAGAGTTTAAAATTTCAAAACACTCTGTCAGTGCTGCAACCATGTGGATAGGCTGAATGTGGCCCTTAGAGGTCCAATTTGTAACTCCTGCTCCAGAAGAACATGCTACTCCATTCCTTTAAAAGCTGTCTAAAAAAATGAAAATGAAAAAAAAATCACCTCCCCTGGAACTTGTCCTTTCTTTCTTTATTCATAGCTATTGGACTTTCCTGGTGCAGGCATTCCTTTACAAGCATTTGCTAAGCACTTATCTTGCACAAAACATTGTGGAATAGCAAAAGAAACTATCAACAGAGTAAACAGACAACCTACAGAATGGGAGAAAATTTTTGCAAACTATGCATCTGACAAAGGTCTAACATCCAGCATCTATAATGAACTTAAATAAATTTACAAGAAAAAAACAAACAACCACATAAAGAAGTGGGCAAAGGACATGAACACTTTTCAAAGGAAGACATGTATGTGGCTGAAAATCACATGAGAAAAAGCTCAACATCACTGGTCATTAGAGAAATGCAAATCAAAACCACAAGATACCATCTAACGCCAGTCAGAATGGCTATTATTAAAAAGTCAAAAAACAACAGGCACTGGCGAGGTTGTGGAGAAAAAGAAATGCTTTGACCCTGCCGGTGGGAGTGTAAATTAGTTCAGCCACTGCGGAAGACAGTGTGGTGATCCTTCAAATACCTACAGACAGAACTACCATTCAACCCAGCAATCCCATTACTGGATATATACCCAAAGGAATATAAATAATTCTATGATAAAGACACCTGCACGTGTATGTTCATTGCAGCACTATTCACAATAGCAAAGACATTGAATCAACCTAAATGCCCATCGATGGTAGACTGAATAAAGCAAAATTGGTACATATACACCATGGAATACTATGCAGCCATAAAAAAGGACAAGACCATGTCCTTTGCAGGGACATGGATGAAGCTGGAGCCCATCATCCTTAGCAAACTAACGTAGGGACAGAAAGCCAGATACCGCACGTTCTCACTTATAAGTGGGAGCTAAATGATGAGAACACATGGACACATAGAGAGGTACAACACATACTGGGGCCTTTTGGAAGGTGGAGGGTGGGAGAAGAAAGACGTAACTAATGGGTACTAGGCTTAATATCTTGGTGATGAAATAATCTGTACAACAAGCCCCCATGACACAAGTTTACCTATGTAACAAACCTGCACTTGGACCCCTAAACTTAAAAGTTAAAAAAAAAAAACATTGTGGAAAAGATAGAAAGGAAAAAATATACAACAATATGGATGCAGTATCCAAATCTAGAGGCAAAGCATCTAGAACCAAAAATAGCATTTTAAGCTATGGAAATATAAAGAGATGGCTTCGACTGGGGTGAGGGGAAGTGCTGGTGTAGGAGGAACGAAGATTAATTCATAATTAAGGTGTCATATGAGCCCTCACCGGTTTTGACAGGCAGCAAAAGAGGGTGATGAGGACATCCTTCATAAGTGATGGTTCTGGGTTTTGCTTGTCTCTTACATGTATGTTTCTTCTCTTTTGCCTATTGTCGTGTTGGAAGCCCCATGAAGGGGGTCCTCTATTTGGTTTTCCTGGTTCCCTCCATGTTCTGTAACACCTATCTTAGTTTCTTGCTATGTACGAATCTTTGTCTGGACACTGAGAAAATGAGATGTCAGGTTTCCCTATCAGTGGGAAGCAAATAGTCTAAGGCATTTGAGGAACACAGATAAAGTTAGTGAGATTAGAGTTGCGACTGAATGAACCCGTGGATTCCTGAGACTGCAGCTGACAGATGAAGTCTCACTCCCGATAACGGTGCATGAGGATTTCCTCCTCAGCTGAAAGGAGAAGAATGACAGGCACACCAGTCCCTAATTGTCCCTAATCACTGATGTTTGCAAACAACTAAGAAGGAAGACCTCACGCATTACAGATCTTACCAGGAAGCGGTTGGTGAGATTATCAGCAGTCTAAGGATAAAGAGTGTTGATTTAACTGTAGGAGGATGGAGCTCGGGAAACTCGGCAAAACCAATGAAAAGGGATCTCCTTCCTTCTCCTGAGGCTTCTCGTCTTGTAGTGACAGGTCATGGTGCTTTTCACTTCAGCCTGTTTAAGGGCTCCAGGAAAGGCAAAGCTGAAACACACGAAGGGATAATAACATTTCCTGAACACCTGTTATTTGCTACAAACCACTAAATGGAGTTCTTTGCCTGGGATAGCTCATTTACTCCTCTTAGCACTCCAGGATTAAATGAGAGGGAGGAATTGCTTTTCTCGTTTGATAATAGAGGAAAATTGAGATTCAGAAACTGCATGCCTTGTCCCACTTCTGGTAGGTCAGGGGGCTGAGCTTCAAATGTAGCTTTGTCTAAAACATAAACTTTCAAAACTACCAAGTAATCTCCCTGTCTTCGGTGGGGGCCCCTAGAAAAGTGACTCTGCCAATGTTGGGTTTGGGGGCAGGAGGCTTTCCAGGGAATGGCTTGGAAATAATTCCTACAAAGGAGTGAGGAAAGCAGGATAGAGCATGAGGAGAAGTTAAACTGTGACGTGTTTCCGATCGAGGTCTCAGCAGATTCAAGCAGAGTAAGACCTATTAGGCACTCGCCTCAGGGCAAAATGTCAGGGTGCCAGAAAACTCAGTAATCAAGATACATATTTTAATGCAGTATTCAAACGTTTAAACTAATGTAAAAAAAAATCATGATGAACAAAGAACCAAAATTTCAAATAAAAGGCAAAATCCAACCCTGTATTTACATGGCTGACCTCACTTGCCCCACCCTAATCCCCATCCTGTCAGGGTTTGCATTTACCACATTTTAAAAAAATTTATGATTATAATTTTTTAGAGGAAGGGTCTCACTCTGTTGCTCAGGCTGGAGTGCAATGGTGCGATCACAGCTCACTGCAGCCTAGAACTCCTGAGCTCAAGCCATGCTCCAACTTTGGCCTCCTGAGTAGCTGGAACTACAGGCACACACCACCATGCCCAGCCAATTTTTGATTTGATTTGATTTTTTTTTTATTTGTGGCAATGGAGTCTCACTATATTGCCCAGGCTGGTTTCAAATGCCTGTTCTCAAGCCATGTTCTCTCCTTGGCCTCCAAAGATGCTGGGATTGCGGGAGAAAGCCACTATGCCCACAGCCCTATAAAATATTTTGTGCCGGGCGTGGTGGCTCACGCCTGTAATCCCAGCACTTTGGGAGGCCAAGGTGGGCAGATCACGAGGTCAGGAGATCGAGACCATCTTGGCCAACATGGTAAAACCCCGTCTCTACTAAAAATACAAAAATTAGCTGCGCGTGGTGGTGCTTGCCTGTAATCCCAGCTACTTGGGAGGCTGAGGCAGGAGAATTGCTTGAACCAGGGAATCGGAGGTTGCAATGAGCGGAGATCATGCCATTGCACTCCAGCCTGGCAACGGAGCAAGACTCTGTCTCACACACACAAAATTTTAATACTCTATTATAAACTTTTTGCATTAACTTTTTAAAATATTGATTTAAATATTTATTTGCTTGTTTATTGAGATTTTTTGGTTCTCCCTTAAATTTCGCATCTCAGTCAAGTTCTTCACTCACCTCACCCTAGTTCTGGCCCTGAATCCCAGGGAACTCTGGATCTGGGATAATCCTTCAGAGTTGTCCTGCCTTAAAGAGATGAGATCAGGCCTTTTTTTTTCTCCCATCCCCAGAACCAGTTATTGGATAGATGTGTTCCTAGGAAGAAGATGTAAGCTTGGGTGATTCCCATTAGCTGAGAGCAAATCTCTGAATAGGATTCAGCTGAGAGCCAGAAGCCCCCAACACTCCCAGAAGCTGGTCGGCTCTGGGAGTTACAGCCTTGTAACCACTACACTTCCCAACGCAACTAACCTCAAGTCCAGGGCTTTCCCTACTGTCCCCTTCTCTCAACTAGGGGCAAATCTTGTCATTAGATTAGAACTTCTATGGAGGGAAATCTGCTTGGAGTGTATTGTTTACAAAATAAAAATTTCCAATATCATGTGGTTTATCAAGGAGGATATTCAGGGTTGGAACTATTTATGCGTCAATTCAAGAGTTCTGTGCTGTTATTTCCATCTGCAAAGGTCATTCTACTAAGGCTAGAACTTAAGCCCCAGGGAGTTTCTTGGCTTAGTGAAGACTTCTAGTTTTCAACAGCGATGAGACAAGGAGTGTCTGAATTCATTCAGCATCAGCCTCCAACTCCACCCCACACGTATCCGCTGGTAAGTACCTCAATTTCATGTGACTTTGCATATTCTCTCATAGTAGCTGTCTGTCGAACCCCTATATGCTGACATTAAGGTTCAGACATGTTCATCTTGCTGCATTCTACCTGGGACTCCATCAGCTTGGAACGCAAATGAGATGAATTGGTGAGAAACAGGCCAGAGGTGCTGTTGCAGGTGCCATGGTCTGTGGAAAAACAATGCTTTGGCTGGTTCACTGGAGACCGTGTCATCAAGGGTGTCAGGCCCAATAGGGACAGGACTTGAGGTCTCATAGGTCAGGGGATTTAGGCAGGGGTTATACCTGGAGGAGGGGTGACCAGCCAAGCTAGGCATTCAGAAATACTTTAATAAGAGCGTACAGGCAGGAGCAGACGGGTAGAAAGTACAGAGAAGGGATTTGAGCAGTGGGGATCTGAGGACTCTAAATGGGATTTGGAACAGGGTTCTGTGGACAGGAGAGGTTGGCTATCCCAGTCCCTCAGTTACAACTGCCATCACATTGTCTTTAAGGACACAGACTCTGAAGCCTGACTGCTTCAGTCTGAATTTCAGTTCCTCTACATACCACCTGTGTTGACCTTGGATAAGTTACTTAACCTCTCTGTGCTTTACTTCTTCAGAGAAGGCAATAATGTGGGCTTTGTGAATTGTCATAATGTAAAAGAGTTAATAAGTGTAAAGCACTTAGAACAGTGCCTGGCACAGAGAAAGTGCTGGGGTTTTGTTTGTTTGTTTGTTTTTTGACGGAGTTTCGCTCTTGGTGCCCAGGCTGGAGTGCAATGGCGCGATCTCGGCTCACGGCAACCTTTGCCTCCCGGGTTCAAGCGATTCTCCTGCCTCAGCCTCCTGAGTAGCTGGGATTACAGGCATGCGCCACCATGCCTGGCTAATTTTGTGTTTTTAGTAGAGATGGGGTTTCTCCATGTTGGTCAGGCTGGTCTCGAACTCCCAACCTCAGGTGATTCACCCACTTCGGCCTCCCAAAGTATTGGGATTACAGGCATGAGCCACTGGGCCCGGCCTGGTTATTTTTTTTCAGACATCTTGTCAATTCTTCCTTTACCTGTTCTCTCCCCTATTTACCTTCTCCCTTTCCTTCCTTTTTTCTCTTTTTTCCTTAACAGGTCCTCATGTGAACACAAGTTATTATCCAAAACGTGGTGTCCTTCATGTTTAATTTAAAATCAGGTAAAGGAAAGGGAGCATATTCTTCTACTTCAATTGCTCCTTTCTGCTTCTTTCTGGTTCTCAACTGAGATTTTCCCATGGCTATGAGGCTCCAAATAGAAAACCTGTTTCCTACCCTTGACCTCTGTGCTCATTACCTCATCATTAAGCCTCTATTAGCTTTTTCTGGACCCTAATGTTACCTAGATTAGATTTAACGTGGCATGGTCAAGTACACAAGGAACCATTCAGGCCATCAGAAAGCTTTCTCCATTTCATGAGAAATCTTGAATTCATTTTGAGATGACTTCAGGAGAGTGCAGAGATGTTCTTTTTTTAAAAAGTTATTTTTGCCTGTGGAACACACCATTTCCACAAATAATGAGTCTCATCCAAAACGCCGCTGTGGGCAGGCAGACTCACAGCTCGCGAGACAGTAACTCTTTCCTCCCCCACTCCTCCACTCTCCCATGGCTGGCTCATCAGCATGGAAGAGAAAATTCATCAGCTCTGGAGAGTCATCTTAGAGATACGCAGATTTAAAATATGCAAGACAGTATTGCAAAATTAAAAATCAGTAAAATCCCACAAGCGGAACCAAATGGACAGTTTTTAGTATCTCCTTACTGTTGAGGGTGGAGATAGGAAATTAATAGAGAACCACATAAAGTAGCTTGAAGCAAAAATAACTTGTGAAAAGTGGTGCTAGATTCAGATAAGCCTGAGAATGGACGTTGTTTTCCTTCTACAGAAAGGCAGAAGCATGAAACAGCTCCGTTAAAGAGAAGACAGTATTTGTACTCAGGATTTGAACAAGGCCCATTTATTGAATATAGTTGCAGCACTGGAATCTGCAAGACAAAAGAGAAAGAGATGGATCAAAGTTCAATGAATTAGAATTGTTTGTTTTGAAGCCTAAACATTCCACAACTTCACGCGCTGCAATTAATATTTACCCCAAATTAAGGAAAAGACTAATCTTATTCAGAAGAGAAGTAGATCCGTGAATAATGCAAAACTGGCAACCAAAAGGAGAGGCTCTATCTGTTCGTTCGTCTGTATCTGGAATGTCAATCTGAGCTTCAGAGAATTCATAGACAAGTAGGGAGAAAGCTTTACAGAAAAGACAGATTTGGTGCTGGGATAATAAGTCTAAGCAGGAGTTTACCAGGTAGACAAGGTGTTCTCTCTACCCAGGACACCTCTCCTTGTCCCCTGGCAGATAGGGAGAAAAGAGGCAACCTTCAGGTTTGCTCTTTAGGAGATCTGCATTAGCTGAAATATACAATATTACGGCAGCAATTTTAAGAATCACAGACCTCTCTGGGAATCTCACGAGCATCCTGCTCCCAATGCAAACACACAAATACACAGAACTTAACACACGATTTCAGGAGGTTCCTAAACCTGTTTGTAGGCATGAGGTTGCATGGCTCTAGGCTTAAGAGGAGGAGGCAGAAAAGACCAGAATGGAAACACCTTCCCGTTAACTGAATCAACAACCTGCCCACTGAAGCCGTTGTGGTAGATAACACCAGTGCCGTGTTATTGGTAGTTTGTGGTAGATCATAGTTTAAGTTAACAGCTTTGTGCCTGGCACATAGTTCCTCCCATAGTGTATAAATAATGGACACAGTTATTCTCAAATAAGCCCTTTATTTTGATTATTATATATTTTGGTGTAAAGAAACCCTTATTTTGTGTTAAAATGAAAAGAAATAGTTAAAGCCAGAAGACCCACTTCACATTATCAGTCAAGATCTTGGAACCTGCCAGGAATCTTGCACGCTGCCAGGAAAAAGCAGCCCCTTTATAGAATGGTGTCTGAATACGGCTCCGTTCTGTTAGTGGCACCTTCTCTGTAAACATTTATCGTATAGGATCACGGGGAAAGCTGGCAGCACAAGACTACCTTTTGTGGCAAAGCTGCTTCCTCATGGGAGGGGCGATTACTAAGTTTGGGAAATATTTCTTGAAATTAACAGATTTTGGACATGTCATGGGTACCATACTTGCCTTAGACATGCAACTTCAAGAAGAATTTTACTACCTCGAACTCCCCCTAACTTCTGCCCTCCCAACCAGACTGTTACCCCTTGAACTCTTCTATATAGAATTATGGAGACCTTAGGATCTCTGCTGATGAATGCTGTAAGCATGTCAGGGTAAGCGTGGGTTCTCTGGAAAACTAATGGTTTTCTTATTTTCCTGCAAAAGTAAATTTAGGACAACATATCATTATTAGATTTATAACATGGACTTTTTTTTTTCTTATTTATTTCTGGAGAAAGCACAGGAAGATACTCTTACCTACCATTTTAAGGTTTTTTTGTTTTGTTTTTGTTTTTGTTTTAACAGAGTCTCTCTCTGTCGCTCAGGCTGGAGCAAGGTGGTGTGATCTCTGCTCACTGCAACCTCCGCCTCCCAGGTTCAAGCAATTCTCCTGTCTCAGCCTCCTGAGTAGCTGGGACTACAGGCGCCCACCATCATGCCCAGCTAATTTTTGTATTTTTAGTAGAGATGGGGTTTCACCATATTTGTCAGGCTGGTCTTGAACTCCTGACTTCAGGTGATCCACCCGCCTTGGCTTCCCAAAGTGCTGGGATTACAAGCGTGAGCCACCACACCCAACCCATTTTAAGGTTTAAATACTTATCATTTATTACAGTTCATGGAAAACAGCATTCTCTTTAAACTTCTGGATTATTTTTTACACCTAATGTGAGCAAATGTTCATAAAGGCTTTTCCAGTATGAAGTGATGGATTTAGGCAAGCGGGTGCTTCTGAAAGACACGAAAAGACTCAGTAAGCACAGTTGCTATTTGTGAAAGAGACTGATGGGTACTTGTGGAAATTAGCAGCTCCCCGTCTTTTTTGGGCTGGTAATTGTTATGTGACCAAGCTCTGGCCAATGAGCTGTAATGGAAGTGTTGTGCGGGGCTTCTAGAAATCTCTTTAAAATAGAGGAGACCACACTTTCCCTCCTTTCTCTCTTTCCTCCTACTTGAAGTGTGCCGTTCTGATAGATAGCCATGATAGAGAATAGCTATTTGAGACCATGAAGTAACCTGGAGAATGGAAGCCACATGCTCAAGTTGGCAGAGGATACAGTTCAGAGCCTGGGTCCCTGATGACTCTTTGGTGTCACCATACCAGACATCACACCAGCCACAGGCTGCCTACCTCTGGACTCTTTTTATGATTAGGCCACTATTAGGAGAGTTTTTTAGTTTAGCAGCAAAATCTAATTCTAATTAATAGACTCTTACAGGAACAATCACTTCAACTCTAAGTTTCTATTGAAATAATTACCCATGGCTTATCTTCCTGTTTGGTAACTGTCTGAGCATTCCAGTCATGTTGTGGCATTGGTAGATCACAGGTCATCAGGCTAATGGAAAGTTACAGTTGACATAGTTTAGCAATAGCTCTGATGCAGCTTCCATAAGACCTAAGAGAATCCCCAGGGCTCTGTCTTTGAGCTGCCGTTGGCCAATCTTCTGTCTTTACCTGGCCTGTTGAATAATGGATATACACAGCCTAGCTCCTCCCTCTGCTATAAATATTCTAGACATGAGAAGCACCAAGCCATTTTTCTTTCAATTATTTTGTGACTCTTATGGCTATTTGACTTTTCTGCGTCGAAAAACAAACATAGAACATTAAGATAAAGCCAGGTCTGCCACAAATGCAAAAAAAAATTTTTTCTCTTCCCTTGAATGTTTTCCTAGTGACTCCTTTTGGAATGTTATTTTGAACTTACAAAGGTTCTTTTAAAAAAACTTTGTATATTTCTTTTAAGCATCCCTTGAGAAAGTCAGATTTAAACTTAGCAAACTCATTGGCTTTTTAAAAGCACGTTCTTAAAATAGTTGATGTAAATCTTGGTGGGAAATCTTTAGGTGCCCCGAATGGACAGAAATAGAAATGTTAATGGAAATGCCATTTGTGAAGACATTGGTGACGGCTCCATTCAGATGGACCCAATCAGGAAAGACGGGAGTTTGCAAACCATTCCAATGTGAGTCTGACTTTAGGAGCCCCAGAGGGGAAAAAAAATAAGAAGCCAGTGAAAGAAAGTAAGAGAGCAGGCGGTTATAATGGTGTTTGGACAGGAGAGACTCCTAGGTATGCATGTTAACACATTACAAAAGTCACAGTTATTTTCTAACCCTTTTATGGAGCAACCTCATCTTTCAAAGATTACAAATATTATTAAATGAATCACTCTGGTAGGTCTGCGAGGCTTGGCATGACGTCAGCTATTTTGCTGTAGGTCAACAGGAGAGTGAGGTCACAGAAGGTCCAAGCTACACGGAAAGCTAGTGGCAAAGGCCTCTGGGTGCTTGGCTTTACAGACTGAGGACTCTGAGCGTCAGATGTTTAGAAATGTGCTTAGTCACATGGGTGGCTCATAGTAAATCCAGGCAGTGCCAGCACAGAGGTGTGGCTTGGTGATGGTGCCGTGAGGCGACAGTAGAGTAGGAGCTTTATCTCCCCCAATTCTATTCCAGACATCCCGCAAACCGCCCCCCAAAATCAATCACGTTTATGAAGAGTTGAGTTTTCCTTAGTGTTATTTTAAGGATGATTAAAAATATCTACAGAAATACAATTCTGAGGCCGGGCGCGGTGGCTCACGCCTGCAATCCCAGCACTTTGGGAGGCTGAGGCGGGCAGATATCCTGAGGTCGGGAGTTCAAGACTGGCCTGACCAACATGGTGAAACCCCGTCTCTACTAAAAATACATAATTAGCTGGGTGTGGTGGCGCGTGCCTGTAGTCCTAGCTAATCGGGAGGCTGAGGCAGGAGAATCGTTTGAACCCAGGAAGCGGAGGTTGCAGTGAGCTGAGATGGTGCCATTGCACTGACTAGGCAACAAGAGCGAAACTCCATTTCAAATAAAAAAAAAAGAAATACAATTTGATTTGTCCCCTACCACTCTCACTTTCTCAGTACTTCTCTCCTGCTCTTCAAACCAGAGGACTTCCATTTCTCTGTAATTCTCCCACCCTCATTAAGTATTCCATATCCACCAGAATTCCCAGCCCACAGGTTTTTATGTGATAGTGCCTTGCTATATTTATTGCTATATTCATTGAAAGGCTTCAGTCTTTAATGGTACCAGGCAGATTTTTAGCATGTTAATAAATGTGGTTTAGGCCAAGCACGGTGGCTCGTGCCTGTAATCTCAACACTTTGGAAAGCTGAGGTGGGAGGATCGCTTGAGGCCAGGAGTTCAAGACTAGCCTGGACAACATAGTGAGACCCCCATCTCTACCAAAAATTAGCCAGCACGGTGGCTGAAGCCGGTAGTCTCAGCTACTCAAGAGGCCAGGCAGGAGGATTTTTTGAGCTCAGAGTTCAAGGTTACAGTGAGCTGTGATCGTCCCATTGCACTACAGCCAAGGCAGCAGAACAAGACCCTGTCTCTAAAAATAAAAATATGAATAAAATAAATGTTGTGGTTTAGAATTATAGATCCCACCATAAGTCTGGGCATTTTTGCTAAGAGTGCACTCTAGTCATGGTGACTATACCTCCTTATCTGCCCTGTTGTGCTACTGCTATTGTTATTATTACTGTCGTCTTTCACTTGAAAAAGTGTCCTAAGGCCGGGTGCAGTGGCTCATGCCTGTAATCCTAGCACTTTGGGAGGCTGAGTTGGGCGGATCACTTGAGGTCAGGAGTTCGAGACCAGCCTGGCCAACATGGCAAAACCTCATCTCTACTAAAAATACAAAAATTAGCCAAGTGTGGTGGGGTGCGCCTGTAGTCCCAGCTACTCCAGACGGTGAGGCAGGAAAATCACTTGAACCTGGGAAGCAGAGGTTGCAGTGAGAGCGGAGATGGCGCCACTGAGCTCCACCCTGGGTGACAGAGCAAGACTCTGTCTCAAAAAAAAAATTAAAGAAAAAAAAAAAACCCAAAAAACAGTGTCCTAAGTTTGCATGATAAATTATAGGCTGTTCCACAGCCAGGGGACAAAGGACTCGCAGGCTTTTGAGTCCAGAGGTTGGAGTGGAGTATGATGTATCCAGGTCCATTGCTGGGGCAGGCCAGTTGGTGTTGGCCATAGATGCCAGCTCCCTGTTATTAGAAAGGTAGATCATCGGGTTCAAGCCTCCTCCAAATGGAGATTTTTCCTCTGTCACATTGCAGACATGGTCCTTAAGGCTGGGACAGGGACCTGGCTTTGAGAAGCAGCCCATCCTGCGTGTAGCACTGACGGCAAGGGAGTTCTTTGTCAGACTGAGCTGAATGCTTCCTTCTGGAAGGGCCAAGGACATCTGCTCTGCCTTCTACCTGATGACACTTTAGATGGTAGTATGGGAGGCCAGAGGATGGAAAGATACTATCTGACTGGAGGGTCAAGAGAGATCATTTGCTTCTCTTCTCTCTCCCAGATCTCTCCCAAGGGCAGCAAGGAGGCGTGGCTCGGCACTCCCCCTGTATCTGTCAGCTGCGTGTCCCCATGCAGGGTGCCAGGTGCTCATCTTTACTGCTGGATGGTCAGTGAGGGCATGGGGCTGGGTCCACTGCCTGTCTTGTTTTAGCTTCCGAATGGCAGGGCAAACACATATGCTAGTTAAAAGCATCTTGAACCTGTGAGGGCAGGTGTTATTGTGTCCCCAGTCCCTTTTGTCCCTGGACTTAAAAATCCATAGGCATTGGATAAACTTCAAAGCAGCTGCCTGGAACCTCCTTCCTCAGCTGACTCCAGAAATGCCTTCAGGGGCTCCCTTCCCTTCCCTTCCCTTCCCCTCCCCTCCCCTCCCCCCTCCTCCCGTCCCCTTCCCCCCCCCTCCCCTCCCCTCCCCTCCCTTCCCTTCCTTTTCCTTTTTTTTTAGACAGGATGTTGCTCTGTCACCCAGCCTCGAGTGCAGTGGCACAATCTCGGCTCACTGCAACCTCCGCCTCCCGGGTTCAAGTGATTCTCCTGCTTCAGCCTCCCAAGTAGCTGGGATTATAGGCGCCCGCCTCCACTCCTGGCTAATTTTTGTTGCGAGCTCATTTTCTAAAACCCTCTGCTTCTCCCTGCAGCGCACGGTTCTTCTTCTATGCATTTGTTCTCCTGGCTGGTAGTTTGGGCTGTGACTTACAATACGATGTTGGCCATTCATTCAATAAATATTTTTTGAGTGTGGAGCTACCTGGTAAACAAGCAGGAGTATTCTCAACCTCACAGGCTTTAAAAAAAATTGACAAATACAAATGGCATATAATTATGGTGTATACATGATGTTTTGAAATCTGCATACATTGTGAAATGGTTAAATGAAACTCATTAACATACGTATTGCCTCAGCTACCTACTATTTCTTTGTGGTGAGAACACTGAAAGTCTATTCTCCCAGGGATTTTCAAGCATACGATACATTGTTATTAACTGTAGTCACTGTGTTGTACAATAGAGCTCTTGAACTTATTCTTCCTAACTGAAATTTTATATCCTTCGACCAACAGCTTCCCACTCTGGCCTTCCCAGCTCTTGGTAACAACTCTAACTTTTATGAATTTGACTTTTTTAGATTCCATATAGAAGTGAGATCATGTGCTATTTGTCTTTTTGTGACTTGCTTATTTCACTCAGCCTAATGTCCTTCAGATCCATCCATGTTGTCATAAATGGCAATATTTCTTTCTTTCTTTTTTAAGGCTGAATATTATCTTTATGGGGCTTTAATTCAGGAGACGTGTTGGAGTCAGGCCTGAGCAAAACACCTCTGGATTCTTCCTTCTCAAGGCCCACTGGGGATTCTGTAGGGATCAGAGGAGCTGAAAGACTAAACAGGGCTAACCCTAAATTAAAAAGCCCAAACTTTGTTTCTTTATGACTTCTAACTAATGCAAATTATTAAGATAATTTAGTAGAAAAAATTCAACCAATCACTCTAACCAAATCTATTTTGGTTATTTTAAACCCTTCTATCTTTCTTATTTATTTCAACCATACTGTGCACACACTTGGCATTTGCTTTTTGTATGCAGATGTCAGAGTGTGGGTACGGCAGGGACTTCCATATGCACGGAGTTGGGAGCATTTGTCCCTTGACCTTCTCCCCTATACTCCGTGTCCTTCCTGCTCCCTGGAGGGGAAGGCCCACTTGAGACACCTTTCAGCTCTTGGCCATTTGGCCCTTCTAGACTTTCTGTCCCTGACTGAGATTATTCAGCAGCGTACACACCTCTGTCTAACTTGCCTAAGAAAAAGCGACGATAAGGACGCTTTCATCCATTTGCTCGACTTCTCTGAGTGGACTCTGGACAGCGCTGTTTGGGAGCCTACTTCTCATATCACTGTCGAAGGTGTCAGCTGTCCAGAAAACTGCCGAGAGAAAATAACACTGAGATTAGCTAAATGCAGATGGCCACCGTGAGCCCTTCTCCAGGGCACGGGTGAGGCGACAGCAAGTAGCATCGGTCTGCAAGGTGGCATTATCTAGAAGTTGTGTTCTTGTCGTTTCTCTTTACTGGTGCACATCACAGAGCTGGAGGGACACAGCTGGATAATCCTGGGTCCAGACTCAGAGCCTTAAGCTCCTTTTACTTATTTTTTTAATAACAAAGAGGAATCTCATGTTTTGCTCCAACGAACGACATAAAGGAGAAGTAGTGCATATTTTAGGAACTTTGTGTCCCAGATACCAAAAAGATTTTGTACCATCCTTAGAATAAGCAGATAGACACCATCTCCCCAGCCCACAAGGTCACAGCTTTGAAGGTTATACGTGTGTTTGGATGTTTACGATCCCATTTCCAGGACCTTTGCACTTTTTATTTCTCCTTTCCGGGAATGCTCTTTCCCCACATCTTGGCAGCCTCCCGCTCTCATTCCATTCACGTCTCTGCTCGAGTGTCATCTTCACACAAGATCTCCCTGACTTCTTTATCTCAAACAGCCTCTCCCTGCAACATAACTTCCTATACTGTACTTTGCTGTCCAGTATTGAGCCCGTGATATGTGACCAATGCAAGCGACGAACCGAGTTCCTAGTTGTACTTAACTGTAGCCAATTTAAATTTGAAAACTGAAGGAATGTAAAATATTGCTCTGTTAAAACAACTCGATTGTCTGATGGAACTACATTTCTCTTTAACCTTGGAACATTTAGCTTCCAAACTGAGAAATGCTGTAAGTGTAAATACATTTGAATTTCAAAGATTTTTAAGGATTTGGAAGATTAGGTAGGGAAAAATGTAAAATATCTCCTTAATGTTTATATTCATTACATGTTGAAGTAAATATATTTTGGATATATTTGGTTTTATAAAATATACTATTAAATTAATTTAATTGCTTTTGTTTTACTTTTAATGTAACTGCTAGAAATTGAAATCTTCTATGGGACAGCATTGTCCTATACTTTGCCTTTTTATTACCTAACATTATATATTTTAATAGAGTCTATATTATACAATATAAATATTATGCATTATTTCTGTATTGTCTGTTTCTCTGGAAGGCCTACTAGAGTCTTACATTTTTTAAGTACTAATATTGGAATGCGTTTGTGTGATTTATACAGAAGAAACATAGCACCTCCTCAGAACTCCAAGGGGAGGAAAATACACTAGATTTGGTCCCAAATAGTAAAAAAATATGAATAGGAGCTAGGCCTAGGTGTGGGTGAGAGACAGGTGATAGGATGTTTAGAATGAGCCAGATGATTCCTTGAGCCATTGTTCCAAATCTTTCATTTAATGTATAGGATATCTGAGGCTGAGTGCTTGACACTCTTCAGGACTCAACTCTTGGGAGGATGCTTCTTTTTCAAATTAAAATTATAGAAGCACAGCGAAATTATTTGGTGGGTTGTAGCTAAGAGGAATTGCCCCTAAATAAATGACAGTGGCTTCTGTGGTCACCCAGAGTCAAAGAGAGCTGTGTATGCATACCTGCCCGTATGTTTCATGGAAAGACAATGTTCTGATCTTGTTTTATCTCTAGAGTCACACACATCATGCCAAAAAAAAAAAAAAAACAAACCCCTATTTGGAATAACTTAGGTAAAAGTAAGATATAATAATCCACTAGTGGAGGCCATGCCGAAGGCTGGCTGGAGACAGGCTAGGGTACAGTGATGCATTTGCTCAATGCTCACAATGATATACTCAATTTTCACAATGATATACTCAACGCTCACAGTGATATACTCAATGCTCACTATGATATACTCAATGCTCACAATGATATACTCAACGCTCACAATGATATACTCAACGCTCACAATGATATACTCAACGCTCACAATGATATACTCAGTGCTCACAATGATATACTCAATGCTCACAATGATATACTCAATGCTCACAATGATATACTGTACAACAGGATGTGCCACAGTCTCTTTGCTATGAGCATAGAGTGACGGAACTTGCAAAATTCCAACCACGCTTTCATTCCATCCCTTCATTCAACAGGTATATTTTGAGTGTCTTCCATGTGCAAGACATTGTTCTAGCTGCTGGAAATATTGCAATGAAAATGCAAGGTCTCACCATACAATCCAGCAGTTTCACTCCTTGGGCTTCAAAACTTACGTCCACACAAAAATCTGCACACAGATGTTTATAGCAGCTTTATACATAATTGCCAAAACTTAGAAGCAACCAAGATGTCCTTCAGTAGATGAATAAATACATTGGTACATCTAGACAACAGAATATTATTCGGCATGAAAAAGGAATGAGCTATCAAGCAATGAAAAGCCATGGAAGAGCCTCAAATGCATGTTGCAAAGTGAAAGAAGCCAATCTGAAAAGGCTTCACACTACAATTCCAATAAGACACTCTGGATAAGCTAAAACTATGAAAACCGTAAAAAGATGAGTGGTTTCCTGGGGTTAGGGTGAAGAAGGGATGAACAGTCAGATCACAGAGATTTTAGGGCAGTGAAACTATTCTGTATGATATTTTAATGATGGATCCATGTCGTTATACATAAAACATACAACACCAAGAGTGAACCCTAATGTAAACTAAGGATTCTGTGTGATAATGATGTGTCAATGTAGGTTCATTAATTACAACAAATGTACCACTCTGGTGAGAAATGCTGATGATAGGAGAGGTTGTGCATGTGAAGCCGACTTATTTTTCTGTTATCCTAACCCTGCTGTAAAAAAAAAGACCTTAGGAAAATAAAACAAATAAACAAAAAAGGTCTCTGTTTTCACGGAAAGCATGTAAAGTGACCATCTTCCCAGTTGTACAAATGTTAAGTAAACATAAAGGCTGAGAGGAGAGAAGGCAGGGGGCATTCTGCTGGCATTGGAGCTCTGGATTCCGGTCCTTCCAGAGACAGGCTGTACTCGTCATTTCCTGCATTTTGCTTTTGTGAGCTTCTGTGGCTTATGCTAATGAGATCTGGGTATAGGTCACTTGCCTGTGCTAGAGTGCTGATGCCTGCAGATGCTACCAACTACTTTGCAAGTTTATCGAGAGCCTTAAATACAATACTAAATGCAAAGTAACTAGTGTGATGACCAGCATACAAAAGGCTCTCAAAAAATGATAATGATGATTTAAAATCTCTCAGAGTTCTCCAAATCTTTCTCAAGCTGAAGATCCCAAAACAACACACAGCTTTATGCAAATCTGGCCATTGCTAAGCACTTCAGAGGAACCTATATCGATTTGGGCTGCAAAAGAGCCTTTTTCTTTTCTTCGTTAAGAAAACAGAATGAAAGATGTAGAGTAAGTCTGAGTCATTCACCTGGTGTAAGCCAGGATTCACCAGGAACAGCTGGGATACACACACACACACACACACACACACACACACACATTGAGCCCCATGTGCTCCCATCATAAAAAATGTCTCAGAAGTTTGGCTTGTTCAATTTTTTTTCCTAAAAAACAGAACATTTTTTCCTCTTGCAAAATCTTTTGCAAAACTCAAAATACAAAACAGATAAAAGCAGAGCCCTCTATGCTGCAGTAGCACCCGGGACTCCAGCTTCTCTGCCTTTGTGCTCCTGGGGAATGTCTCCGGAGCTGTAGCACCCCTCAGAATGGATTTGGAAAACACTGTGGTAGGAGATGAGGAAGGATGGAAGGACATAGAGGCTTTAGTTTGGCAAACTTAACTGTTGAATAAGTGTCAGAGAGCTGGAGAGCAAGTTGAGGCATTGCAGTGGAAACAGGTAGTGACGAAGTGGGGCATTAGCCCTCGGACTTGACCTGTTACGAACTCTCCCAGTGAGGAGGGAGCAGAGGCAGGCAGAGCTGTCCCAGGAGCCTGAAGCAGATTTATTAATGGGATAGACAAGCCTGAAAGTTAGAAACTGAGCTTTATTACAGTTAAATGGCAGAACATAGGCTTTTATTTAGATGTCTCTTGTCTTTTTCTTTTCACTTTCTAAAAATGACATGTAAGTTTCTATATTACCTACAATTTATAGAGCCCACACTCATACACTCTCTTTTGCTTTGGGGGGTTTGTATATACTGACTTTACATGGCACTGGATCATTTATACTTAACATGAAATTTAATTCATTCTACTTCTAAATAATTATATTTCTTTATATACCACACTAAATGATTTTTTAATGCCTGAAGAAGATCCAAACTTGTATTTCTGCTATGCCATTCTGTCTCTCTCTTTTAAAAATTAAAACTTTTGTTATTGGAAATTTCAAATATATACAAAAGTTGAGAGAACAGTATAATGAACACTCATGTACTCATCATACACCTTCAACAATTTACAAATGGCCAGTCTGTTCCATGTATATTTCTACTGCCAGTCCCCTGGATTACTTTGAAGCAAATTTCAGACACATATTTCATCTGTGATTACAGTTAATTCTTGTTATTCATGGTAGTTATGTTTTTTAAAATCACTGTGAACACTGAATTAGTGAATACTGAATCATTGCTCCTAGGGAAAATACAGGATTAGGTTCCTGAGAGCCTCTGGCCACAACATTTTTGTCAACTGATTAATACATAAACTTGTATAATGCATGTTTCTGTTTAAAGACACTTTATTTATGTTGTTGATTCATTGACATTGAATTTACCGCCAACAGCACTATAAGTAATGCCAGAATGAAGCTTACTGAACACATGCATTTTCTCTGTAAGGCACACATAGCGTTCTTGTACTTAGGAACACTATGCAGGGTTTCAGCACCATGCTTGTGAACCCCTTCCTTACACCTTATACAAAAATTAACTCAAAATGGATTAAAGACTTAAATGTAAAACCCCAAACCATAAAAACTCTAGAAGAAAACCTAGACAAACCTTGCGGACATAGTCATGGGCAAAGGCTTCATGATGAAAATGCCAAGTCAAAATTGATAAATGGGATCTAATTAAACTAAAGAGTTTCTGCACAGCAAAAGAAACTATCATCAGAGCGAACAGGCAACCTACAGAATGGGAGAAAATTTTTGAAATCCATCCATCTAACAAAGGTCTAATATCCAGAATCTACAAGGAACTTAAACAAATCTACAAGAAAAAAACAAACAACCCCATCAAAAAGTGGGCAAAGGATATGAATGGACACTTCTCAAAGGAAGACTTTTACACAGCCAACAAACACATGAAAAAAAGCTCAACATCACTGATCATTAAAGAAATGCAAATCAAAACCACAATAAGATACCATCTCATGTCAGTCAGAATGGTGATTATTAAAGCGTCGAGAAACAATAAATGCTGCCGAGGCTGTGGAGAAATAGGAATGCTTTTACACTGTCGGTGGGAATGTAATTTAGTTCAACCATTATGGAAGACAGTATGGTGATTCCTCAAGGATCTAGAACCAGAAATATCATTTGACTCTGCAATACCATTACTGGGTATATACCCAAAAGAATATAAATTATTCTACTATAAAGACACATGCACACGTATGTTTATTGCAGCACTATTCACAATAGCAAAGTCATGAAACCAACCCAAATGCCCGTCAATGATAGACTGGATATAGAAAATGTGGTACATAACACAATGGAACACTACACAGCCATAAAAAGGAAGGAGATCATGTCCTTTGCAGGGACATGGATGAAGCTGGAAGCCAACATCCTCAGCAAACTAACACAGGAACAGGAAACTAAACACCACATGTTCTCACTCATAAGTGGGAGTAGAACAATGAGAATACGTGGACACAGAGAGGGGAACAACACACACCAGGCCTGTTGGGAGGGTGGGGAGTGAGGGGAGGAAACTTAGAGGACAGGTCAATAGGGGCAGCAAACTACCATGGCACACATATACCTGTGTAACAAACCCGCACGTTCTGTACATGCATCCCAGAACTTAAAGTAAAATAGTAATAAATAAATAAATAAATACAAAGTGTAACCAAAGTCTCATGTTCCATTATTCCACAGGAAATTTAACAATCATTGAAATATTAAATATCCAGTCTGGGTTCACATTTCCCTGATTATCTCATAATTTGTTTTTGACACATTTTGTTCATTTGAATCATCTTTTAGAGGTTTTATCAACTTTGTCAACCAGCCTCAACTTTTCCATTTATATCCACGACATTTTAGCAGCGTTTATAGATGGCGCACCAAGGCCTTGATTCAAGGAGATTTCCAAGAGCTCACGTCAGGGGTGCTTTTCCATTGGCTGCTCCGGTGGGGGCTACTTTGCATATCTTCAACTATGGGTGGGTTTCATCTGACTTCTTGCCTCTGCACTATATTCAGCAGAAATTCCTCCAAGTTGTTTTCATGTGGATAATGCTTTTCCCTATTTTGCAGCATTAATGCAGATATTTTCACTAGTTTTTCTGTGTGGGGGGAATAGCAGTTCTATGGACATTTGGAAGAGGAGTAGGAATAAAAACATGTGCTTAATCAGTCATCCTTAACTGAAACGATGTAGTCTTAACAGATTTACAGCACTCTTCATTTTACAACCACTTAAGTAAGTTTATAAAGTTAAAACAGACCAAAGAAGCATCCACCATTTAAAGGACTATTCAGCCCCCTAATTTTTAGATGCAATGAAAAATTCATTAATTAAGAAAATTATTTTCTTCTAAAATGATTTGTTGGACATCTGTCATATGCCAGGCTCTATGTTAAATGCCAGTTATAAAAAAGAATAGGCACAGTCCCTGTCCTCATGCTTCTTACAGCCTACACAGCAAGGGGGTTATACACATAGGAACAGCAGGATCCACAATGGCCATCACTGGGAGCAGAGGATTCTGGGAGCAGAAGTGATTCATTCCACCTGGGGTTCCTGTGCTGGGAAAGCTTCATGAAGGAGGAGATATGGTGGCGGGAGGGTAGATGAATGGACACTAAGAAGACGGTAAAGAATGTGCTTGGCAACTAATGGGTAACCTGGTGTTTCTGGATCATAAGGACTGAAAAGAAAGCCAATGTGAGATTATGAGAGTCTTTAATGTGAAGACTTGGGGCTTTATCTTCTCAGGCAGTAGAAATCCATAGACACTCCTAAAAATAGTATTGTGACATGATTAAAAGTTCAGTGAAATAAGAAACAGCAATCAAATGAATCATTCTTTAAGGATCAAGAAAAGACTATAGAAAAGACTATAATCAAACTTACTCCAAATCTAACCAAAATTTAAAAGTGTTCCAGATATGAGATAAACAGTATATAAACTTGGAAAATCCCTTTAAAAATTTTTAAGATAAAAAAAGGAAAGCAAAAATAATTTTCATTGCAGTTCAATCTTAAGCCCTAACTTATTTCGTACTTTTATAAAGAGAAGGACATATGGACCCCAGGTTCATAGTTTGATTACCAGCAGTACACCTGACCACACAAGCAGCCAGGACACAGACTTCTCAGTGTTGCTACCCTTTTTCTTCTGACTCAAAATTTGACTTTTCCTCCAGGCCAGTGAAAGCAAGCGCTTCTGCCACACACTTTCCACTATCTGTTTTTCTCTCCTGATACCTGAAATACAGGAAAGGAGCATGATTTCCTGATCTACCTTTGCACTCGTGATGGTATCTTACCTAATTCTTCTGAATTTTAATTTTCACCCCAGATGAGTGTTTATCTCTTTAACTTTATACATGCTACCCCACTCCCCCAAGTGCTAGAATGCTCCAGACTTTATTATTATTAGAACTTTTAAAGAATTTTGGACATACTGGTAATTATTTTCAGACACCAGGCCTTTTGCCAAAAATCTAGAATCAGTTTTGGACCAGTTTAGAATCTCCGGGTCTTTGTGAGTGATAGAGAACATCTCGGGGAACACTTTTCAGAGTCCCAGAATGCTCTTTTCCAGCGAAGACACCTCACAGCCACAGCTCTGTATGTCTGTATTAGCACTTTCCTCAGACACACCCTGGTCTCCATCAGCCTCTCTAATAGATCAGAGCACACGGCCTAAGGCCCTCTTGGTCTGCACTTATTAGCAAGTTACTTTAGGGCTTTGCAGACAGCAGAGGAATCTTTTGTTCATCTCTATCTATAGTTCTCCAACTGCTGACATTTTCTAAGGCCTTAGAATCACATATACCAGAATTGGAGGGAGCTCAGAGGCTACCTAAACCATAAATGCTCACGTTTTATTTTTGCATCAAAATCTTTCGTTCAAACATAGCAAAATGTTAAGCTCAAATTTTCATCTTACAAGGGAGATCATTGCTTGATATAAAACGAATAAAAGTATAACTCCTGAGGGTGCACAGGGCACCTCTGCTAAAAATCCTTGGGCTCTGCAGAGCATAGTTTGAAAACCAATGGTTAATTGAACTTTTTATGAAAGCGTAAGTCATGAAAATAATGTTCAGAGACATTAAGCCATTTGTCCGCAGGGACACCATTGGAAGAAAAGTCAGTATCCTAATTCCAGTCCTTTGATGGATCCCAAACCCCCAGGACTTTCCATGGGGTCATATATACTGCCCACTTATTTGCCAGTCTTGTCTCCAAAAGCTTCTCCTAAGGTAGAATTGAAGACATTCATTTTGATGACCCATTTACTTGGTGATTCACCTCTATTTTTTTTTCTATATACAATTCACAATTTTGCTCGTAAGGTACAAACTTGTGTTTTGGGCATCTTGTACCTAAAGCGATAAAGTCTGGACGAAGAGCACTGTTCCTCATTAAGATGTTAGACTTCTAGCTATATTGCTTTTGGTGAATTTTCTCCTCAAACCAGTTGACTGTTTTCATAAATGTTTCGCTCTGCCTGGCAAAACAACGGGTTGATCAGTTGGCTGTTTTTATGAATGTCTTGCCCTTTCTGGCAAGATTGATTTTTCATTTTGTTTTGTTCAAACATATCAAAATGTTACACTCAAATTAAAATCTTATAAGGGAGATCATTGCTCAATATAAAACAGATGAAAGTAGAACTCGAGAGGTTGGGTCTGGATAGTGTGATTGTATCGTTTGTCTTCCAAACGTGGACATTTTTGAAAGTAAACGGGGGTTCGATTAATTAGTAACCTGGGACAACAGGTGCAATCCTGGACTGTCCTGGACAAGCAGGACAGATCACCTGTTGTCCTGTTATAGTTTCCAGGTCACCTAAAGCTGGGATGAAGTTGACAACATTGCAGTTAATAAACCACAGGAGAAATTAGAGAAGAAATAACACTAAGAGTAATCAAAGACAGAAAATATGAGAAACTGGTGTGACTGACAGCTTTACAACCAGAATTGAAGCTTTGTGTGTGGTTGATTGGACCTTGAGCCCAGAGGAGTGGGTAGCCCAGGTGGGCAGAGAGTAGAAAGGAAGAGAAGAGAAGCTCCCAAAGGAGAACCAGTTAGAGGGCAGAAGTAGCCATAACAAGGGAATTTGGCTCCTGCATTCTCTTCAATTGTCTGTGCAGAATAGCATACGTGAGACATTCTAGCTGGAAAATCCCCAAATTCCAGAAACAATGGCCTTATGCAAATCGTAGGAGACATATCTGTATATGGCCTGACAAGGATGAACTCTGGAATGTTTTGATGGAAGAGAAGGAAGTTGGCATTGCCTCAGCAAATGACATCGGGGTTAGAAAGGACAGCTGCTCACATTCCTGGCTGGTGTTGCATCCATCAGAGCTGCTGAGTGCTGCCTATGTCTGCCTGTGGCCACATCAGCATCCCCAAACCAGGCTTGTAGGGGGCTCATCATTAAGAGGCTATTCTGTCCCTTGATTCAAATTTTATTTTGCAGAAAGGCAGCCATTTTGTATGGCTTGATATGTCACATTTACACAGTCCTCTCTGTTTCTCAAGAAAGAAAACCATATAACCTTTAAAAAGTAGAAATCTAGAGTCAAAAAGGCAAAGTTGGGTCGTGCTCTGGTTGAATGGCTCACGCCTGTAATCCCAGCACTTTGGGAAGCCGAGGTAGGCAGATCACCTGAGGTCAGGAGTTCGAGACCAGCCTGACCAACATGGAGAAACCCTGTCTCTGCTAAAAATACAAAATTAGCCGGGCGTGGTGGTGCATGCCTGTAATCCCAGCTACTCAGGAGGCTGAGGCAGGAGAATCACTTGAACCCAGGAGGCGGAGGTTGCAGTGAGCTGAGATTGTGCCATTGCACTCCAGCCTGGGCAACGAGGGCCAAACTCTGTCTCAAAAAAAAAAAAAAATTCACCCTGATATCTCTATATTTATGTGCTATTCACAACCATGGCTAGTGTCCATTGAATATTTTCTATGTGCTTTACAGGTTTATCTCAGGTGACACTTGTGACTGTAGGGTGGCCAACCATCCCGGTTTGCCTCGAACTGTTCTGCTTTTAGCACTGAAAGTCCCATTTCCAGGGAAAACCCTCAGTTCCCGTCAAACCACAACATTAGGCCACTCTACTTACAATATTCCAAAGAGGCTGGTTTATTTTCTTACCCATTTCACAGATCGGACTTTACAGATGACCTAACTGAACTTCAGACAAATTAAGTCAATTTTGTAATCCATGAGACTCCTAGAACATGAGGCAGCAGGATTTGAACCCAACTCTGCCTGACTTCAAAGCCAGTGCTCTCAACTATTACACTCTCACCTCTTTGTTCTCACTGATATAAAACCAGAGATATTAACACTAATGATGAACCGCATCCCACTAACAAGGCAACTTCCTGATCGCTAGTGAGAACTTAAATTATGTTTCCATATGTTATATAGCACGTGGAACATTAGAGTTGAAAGCATTCCTAGAAGGCATCTAGTTGGCGCTATTTAATTCATATTTGAGCCTCAGAAGGGTAGAAGGCATGACTCAATGTCACACAGCAAATGAATGACAAAACTGAGACTGTATTGCAAGTCTTCTGAATCTCAGTGCAGTGCTTGCTCTCTTTTCCATGAAGTCATATAATTTCTCAGTGCTCTCTTTTCCATGAAGTGATACAATTTCTAAGCTTTTCAACAAAGCATATTTGAAATTAGAAACTTAGCATGGACACTTTGCCAGTAACTG